>NT_187660.1:4292101-4593906 GCF_000001405.40 Homo sapiens | reverse complement strand
GAATTCCAGATAATATGAATAGATACTGTCTCTTCCAGGAATTGGACCTTAGTGTCTACCTCCCAGGCCACCTTGTGCCTGGCCTGGACTTAGTGATTCACATGCAAGACTAGAGTATTGAAAGCCGGGAAAGAGTATCTGTGTGGTAGAGAAACCTAGCAAACGCCTCCTTGACCACATGATCAAGGTGAACATCACCAGTAATGAGGCATGTTGATATCACATCCCCTTGATATGAAGTGATGAGAAGGAAGCTTAACCTCTGCAGAATTTTTTCCAAAAGCTCATAATTCCAGCCTAATCAGGAAAAAAATAATCAGACAAACACAAATTAAAGAGCATTCTAAGGACCTGACCAGTAATCTTCAAACTGTCGATACACAGTAACAAGGAGAGGCTAAGAGTTGGCCACGGGCCAGAGGAACCCAAGGAAACGTAATGATTAAGTGCCAGATAGTATCCTGAACTGGATACTGGGAACAGAAAAAGAACGTTGGTGTAAAAACTTAGTGGAATGCAAATACATTACTGTTAATGAAAATTCAGAATTTAATATTGGTTTCTTAGTTTTGGCAAACGTAGCATGGTTGTGTAACATGTTAACTTTAAGGGAAGCTGGATAAGATAACTCTCTTTACTTTTTTTGCAGCTTTTCTGTAGATCTAAAATTATTCCAAAAGTAAAAAGTTTATTACATAAAAGAAAGAAGTCACAAAACTCTTATTTTAAGACTTACATGGCAAATTAAGTGGCCATGATTAAACAAGTCATATTTTTTCTATGTATGTATGTATTTATTTTTAAAATTGGTTAATTTATACATATATATTTTTAAATTTTACTTCAAGTTCTGGGATACACGTGCAGAATGTGCAGGTTTGTTACATAGGTATAGAAGTGTCATGGTGGTTTGCTGTGCCTATCAACCTGTCATCTAGGTTTTAAGCGCCGCATACATTAGGTATTTGTCCTAATGCTCTCCCTCCCCTTGCCCCCCACTTCCCTACAGGCCCCAGTGTGTGATGTTCCCCTCCCTGTGTCCATGTGTTCTCATTGTTTAACTCCCACTTATGAGTGAGAACATGCAGTGTTTGGTTTTCTGTTCCTGTGTTAGTTTGCTGAGAATGATGGCTTCTAGCTTCATCCATGTCCCTGCAAAGGACATGAACTATATTTACTTTTTTTTTTTTTTTTTTTTTTTTTGAGACGGAGTTTCACTCTTGTTGCCCAGGCTGGGCAATGGTGCAATCTTAGCTCACCACAACCTCTGCCTCCTGCTTCAAGTGATTCTCCTCCTTCAGCCTCCCGAGTAGCTGGGATTACAGGTATGTGCCACCACGCCTGGCTAATTTTTAGTAGAGACGAGGTTTCTCCATATTGGTCAGGCTGGTCTTGAACTCCCAGCCTCAGGTGATCCACCTGCCTTGGCCTCCCAAAGTGCTGGGATTACAGGCGTGAGCTACCATGCCTGGCCTATATTTAATTTTAATTGACAAAAAAATTGTATGTTAAAGGTATACAAAATGATGTTTTGATATATGTGTACAATGTAGAATGTTTAAATGGAGCTAATTAATATATGCGCCACCTCACATACTTATTATTGTCTTGTGATGAGAACTTTTAATATTTACTCCCTTAGTGATTTTTAAGTATACAATACATTGTTGTTAAGTACAGTCACCATGTTGTACAATAGAGCTCTTTCAGTCATTCCTCCTGTCTGGCTGAAAATTTGTGTCCTCTGACCATTATCTCCCCATTTCCTCTTCTCCCTAGCCCGTGGAACCACCATTCTGAGCTCTACTCTTAGAAGGTTTTTAGATTTCATATGTATGTGAGATCACGTGATATCTTCCTTCCTCCCTCCCTTCTTCCTTCCTTCCTCTCTTTCTCTCTTTTCTTTTCTTTCTTTCTTTCTCTTTCTTTCATCTCTCTTTCCTTCCTTCCTTCCTTCCTTCCTTTCTCTTTCATCTCTCCTTCCTTCCTTTCTTCCTTCCTTTCTCCCTCTTTCTTTCCTTTCTTTCTTTCTTTCTTTCTTTCTTTCTTTCTTTCTTTCTTTCTTTCTTTCTTTCTGTCTTCCTCCTTCCTTCCTTCCTTCCTTCTTTCAGACAAGGTCTCACTCTGTCATTCAGGCTGGAGTGCAGTAGCGTGATCATAGCTCACTGCAGCCTTGAACTCCTGGGTTCAAGCGATCTTTCTGCCTCAGCACCCTCCAAGTAGCTGGGACCACAGGCTATATCACCATGCCTGACTAATTTTTTAAATTCTTTTTTTTTTTTTGTAGAGACAGGGTCTCCCTATGTTGCCCAAGCTGGTCTCAAACTACTGGGCTCAAATGATCCTTCCTCCTTGGCCTCCCAAAATGTTGGATTGCAGGTGTGAGCCACTGCACCTGGTTCATTATTTGTCTTTCTGTGCTTAGCTTATTTCGTAAAGAAGTCAATATTAAATATTAAAAGTTATTATAAAGATATATTAGCAAGACAGTATGGTAGGGACATAAATATAAACACACATACCAACAGAACGTGACAAAAGAACAAAACCAGCCGCATGCATACTCGATGGAGACAAAGGTAACACTGCAGAATGGTGAAGGAAGAACAGTCATTTTAATGACAGTGTTGGCTTAATTGAGTATTCATGTTCAAAAAAGAAATTTGAGCCTTATTTCACATCTCATAGACACACACTATAACTTCCTTGTGGAGTTTAAATCTAAATGCAATAAGTGAGCAATAAAAATTTTAGAATATATTCTAACAGATTATATTAATGATCTTGGTGTAGGAACAGATTTTTTAAAACACTATATAGGAAACTTTAAACATAAAAAAGATTGATAAGTTAGACTACACTAAAATATTGAATATATCTTCAATGAAATACAATGTTTAAATAATGAAAACATAAATCACAGAGTAGGAGAGAATATTTTAAGTATGGCAGCGAAGGTCCTATGCCTAGATGATATAAAGTGCTTCTAAAAGCCAGTAAGAAAAAGACTCAATTAAAACATTGGGAAAACGTTTGGATAGGCACTTCATAATAAAAGAGTATTCAAATGATCAATGCTCACATTAAAAGTGGTTCAACATCGTTAATCATCAGGAAACTGCAAAGTAAACCAACCAAGAGATAACACTGTATACTCATCAAGAGGCCTACATTTTTTATTTTATTTGCTTACATTTTTACTTTAGATTCAGGGGGTACATATACAGGTTTGTTACAGGGGTATATTGCATGATGCTGAGGTTTGGGCTTCTATTGATCCCGTCATCCATGTAGTGAACATACTGCACGATAGGAAGTTTTTAGCCCTTCTCCCCTCTTTTTCCTCTTTTGGAGTCCCCAGTGTCTATTGTTCCCATCTTTATGCTCACATATACCCACAATATAGCTCCCACTTATAAGAGAACACGTGACTTTTGGTTTTCTGTTGATGCATTAATTCACTTAGGATGGTGGCCTCCGACTGCATCCATGTTGCTGCAAGGGATATTATTTTATTCTTTTCTATGGCTGCATAGTATTCCGTGGTGTATAGGTACCACATTTTCTTTATCCGATCCAGAGTTGACGGGCACCTGGATTCCATGTCGTTGCTATTATGAATAGCACTGCAATGAACATATAAGCTCATGTGTCTTTTCAGTAAAATGGCTTATTTTCCTTTGGGCATACACCCAGTAATAAAATTGCTGGATCAAATGGTACCTCAAATCTTAGTTCTTTGAGAAATCTCCAAACTGCTCTCCATAGTAGCTGGAGTAATTTACATTCCCACCAACAATGTATAAAATTTCCCCTTTCTTTACAACCTCACCAACATCTGTTATTTTTTGACTTTTAATATTGGCCATTCTGACTGATGTGAGATGATATCTCATTGTGGTTTTGATTTGCATTTCTCTAGTGATTAATGATGTTGAACTTTTTTTTTCATCTGTTTGCTGGCCACTTATATGTCTTCTTTTGAGAAGTATCTGTTCACGTCCTTTGCCCACTTTTTAATGGGGTTATTTGTTTTTTGCTTGTTGATTTGTTTAAGTTGCTTATAGATGCTGCTTTGTTGGATGTACAGTTTGCAAATATTTTCTCTCATTCTGTAGGTTGTCTGTTTACTGTGTTGATGTTTTTTTGTTGTTGTGCAAAATCTCTTTAGTTTAATTAAATCCTACTCACCAATTTTTGTTTCTGTAACAGTTGCTTTTGGGGACTTGGCCAAAAATTCTTTGCCAAGGCCATGCTAAAGAAAGGTATTTTCTATGTTTTATTCTAGCATTTTTACAGTTTCAGGTCTTACAATTAAGTCTTTAATCCCCCTGAGTTAATTTTTGTATATGGGCTAAGTGTCTAGTTTCATTCTTCTGCATATTATTAGGCAGTTTTCCCTGCACCATTTGTTGAATATGGAGTCTTTTCCCCATTACTTGTTTCTGTTGACTTTGTCAAAGATCAGTTGGTTGTAAGCGTGTGACCTTATTTCTGGGTTCTCTATACTGTCTCATTGGTCTATGTGTCTCTTTTTGTACCAGTACCATGCTGTTTTGGTTACTGTAGCCTTGTGGAATAGTTTAAAGACTTTACCAAAAAACTCCTAGACCTGGTAAATGACTTCAGTAAAGCTTCAGGATACAAAATCAGCATACACAAATCAGTAGCATTTCTATATACCAATAGTTTTTAAGCTGAGAGCCAAATCAAGAGTGAAATCCCATTCAAAATAGCACCACCCCCCAACAAATTAAAATACTTAGGAATACATCTAACCAAGGAGGTGAAAAATCTCTACAAGGAGAACTACAAAACACTACTCAAAGAAATCATAGATGACACAGACCAATGGAAAAACATTCCATGCTGGTGTGTTGAAAGAATCAATATTGTTAAAATGTCCATACTATAGATTCAGCATTATTTCTATCAAATTACCAATGCAATTTTTCACAGAATTAGAAAAACTGTTCTAATATTCATATGGAACCCAAAAAGAGCCAAAGTCATTCTAAGAAAAATAAAACCAGAGGCATCACATTACTTAACTTCATGATGGCTAAAATTTAAGGATTGACAGAAACACATTATATTACTGGTGTAGGTATAAATTATTACCATTAATTTGGAAAACTATTGACAGTATGTCAGTTTTGAACAAAATCATACCCTATGAGTTAGCAACTCCACTTTTGGGTACACACCCAGAACATGATTATCAAAAGGCATCCAAGTTTTATTTCATAAGCACCTAAGGATGTGGATCAAAATGCAAATCTGCTACACAAAATTAGTAGCCAGAGGGTTCTTGGTGAGTCTGGAAGCAAAGCACAGCATTGCTTTTTATTACTCAGCCGTCATGGCCCAGTTGCCTTTGGCAGGTGAGGCCAGCTGGCCAGTAGCTCAGATGGAGCAGGTATGAGGGGGTAAGAGCAGTGGTCCATCTGTCACTGGAGAAGCCTAGTCACCTGGGCAGAATATCTTGAACCTAGGATAAGTTCATCCATGGTAGACCAACTCTGTGATGGAGTTATGAGATGGGGAAGGAGGGTCTGGCACCATGCAACAGGATTTCCCCCAAAGCTCAGCACTCCAAGGAGCACATCAGCATCAGGAATGTCTGCTGGAAGCCAGCGGCTGTGGAGGAGGGGCAGTAGCCACTGAGCCTAGGTTCAGAGCTTCAATCCCCTTCAGTCCTCTTGACTGGCAAGAGAACAGCAGAGTCTATTAGAGAGGAATTACCATTCCAAGCAAGAATTTAGGCCACATCTTTCAGAATGAGACCATTGAGTTGAGGTCCACTTAGCAGGGAAAGTGGCTTCAGGTTGTGGTTGACTGTTTAATTACACCCTGCTGTTCACTCTCTTCACCATTGTATGCAAAGTACAGCATCTCTGACAAGCAAGGAACACTGGCTTGCCCCACAGTGGCTGGCTGGGGTTGATGAAATGAGCAGCGAAGTAGCAGTGTGCCCAGTCCAAGCAGAGACTACCTCTAGCAGGGGCATGACATTCCCCAAGAGAGGGCATCTCCTTTAGCCTGGACCTTGGAGCAAAAGCAACCCATGGATCAGACCAATAGACAACATGCAGCCCTCATCTAACCCAAGTGGAATATAGCTGTTGGTATAAGCCCCCGAGATTTTGAGGTTGTCCCCACAGGAAAGCAAACTAGCATAACACTGAATTGCTGAGCAAGTGGGTGGTTAATTAATAGCTCTCTTTCCCAACTAGAGCTTCCCTGAAAGTCCGAGGAGGCCTGGAGCATGCAGGGAGAGGACAAGCAGCCTCGGAGAGAAAGAGGGGAGGTACAAGTGACCTGGATGCAACACGGCCTGGCCCAGGAGGAATTGGATACTCTTAAGGGATATTTCACACAAGTCATATGAATCTGGAAGACTACCCCAGATCCATATAGGTATATAGGACAAGGCCAGACTACTCTCTATCCCCAACATGTCTCTCAACTGGAGAGTACTAATAAATACTGCCAATTCTTACTACCCAATTCCTGTTTTAATCAGTTATAAAATACAATTTAGTATATTGCCGTGGATTTTTATATTGGTAATATTTTCCTAAGGTGGCTTGCCAATTATCCCAGCCCCATTTGTTGAATAGGGTGTCCTTTCCCCACTTTATGTTTTTGTTTGCTTTGTTGAAGATCAGTTGGCTGTAAGTATTTGGCTTTATTTCTGGGTTCTCTATTCTGTTCCATTGGTCTATATGCCTGTTTTTATACCAGTACCATGCTGTTTTGGTGACTATGGCCTTAGGGTATATCAGTTGATACCTCCAGATTTGTTCTTTTTGCTTAGTCTTTCTTTGGCTACGTGGGCTCTTTTTTGGTTCCATATGAATTTTAGGATTGTTTTTTCTAGTTCTGTGAAGAACGATGGTATGTTTTGATGGGAATTGCATTGAATTTGTAGATTGCTTTTGGCAATACGGTCATTTTCACAACATTGATTCTACCCATCCACGAGCGTGGGATGTGTTTTCATTTGTTTATGTCATCTGTGATTTCTTTCAGCAGTGTTTTGTAGCTTTTCTTGTAGAGGTCTTTTACCTCCTTGGTTAGGTATATTCCTAAGTTTTTTTTTTTGTTTTGTTTTCAGCTATTGTAAAAGGGGATGAGTTCTTGATTTGATTCTCAGGTTGGTTGCTGTTGGTGTATAGTAGAGCTACCGATTTGTGTACAATAAATTTGTATCCTAAAACTTTGCTCAATTCATTTATCAGTTCTAGGAGCTTTTTGGAGAAGTCTTTGGGGTTTTCTAGGTATATAATCATATCATCAGCAAACAACAACAGTTTGACTTCCTCTTTAGCCATTTGGATGCCCTTTATTTCCTTCTCTTGTCTGATTACTTTGGCTAGGACTTTCAGTACTGTGGTGAATAGAAGTGGTGAAAGTGGGCATCCTTGTCTTGTTCCAGTTCTCAGGAGGAATGCTTTCAGCTCATCCCCCTTCAGTATTATGTTGGCTGTGGGTTTGTTGTAGATGGCTTTTGTTACCTTGTGTCCCTTCTATGCTGATTTTGCTGAGGGCTTTAATCATTAAGGGATGCTTAATGTCAAATGCTTTTTCTGCGTCTATCGAGATAATCATGTAATTTTTGTTTTTAATCCTGTTTATGTGGTGTATTGCATTTATTGACTTGCATAGTGTTAGTGGCTCTTTCTGCATACTTGAGAATATCTAGTTTTATGTCTCGTTTGAATCTGGGTAGGTTACTTAACCATGATGACAGTTCATTATTATATTTTATTTTAAAAATGTATTTTTTAAATTTTAAAATATTTAATTGACAAAGATTGAATATTTTTGGTGTGCAACATGATGATTTGACATATGTATGCATTGTGTAGTGATTACCAAAATCAAATTAATTAACACATCCATCACCACCCATGCTGTATATGAGAACCCCAGAACTGATTCGTCTTGTAACTGAAAGCTTGTATTCTTTGTCCAGCCTCTCACCCAGTTTCCCCTCTCCCCCACCCCTGGCATCACCATTTAACTCTCTGCTTCTATGAGTTTGACACTTTTATTTATTTATTTATTTTTGAGACAGATTTTTGCTCTTGTCGCCCAGGCTAGAGTGCAATGGCACAGTCTGAGCTCACTGTAACCTCTGCCTCCCGGGTTCAAGTGATTCTCCTGCCTCAACCTCCCGAGTAGCTGGGATTACAGGCATGGCATGTGCCACCACACCCAGCTAATTTTGTAATTTTAGTAGGGATGGGGTTTCACCATGTTGGTCAGGCTCCTCTTGAACTCCTGACCTCAGGTGATCCACCTGCCTCGGCCTCCCAAAGTGCTGGGATTACAGGTGTGAGCCACCATGCCCTGCCCAGTTTGACACTTTTAGATTCCACACATAAGTGAGATCATGCAGTATTTGTCTGTCTGTGTCTTTCTATGCTTATTTTATGTAACATGTCCTCCAGGTTCATCTGTGTTGTTGCAAATGGCAGGATTTTCTTTTTATGGCTGAATAATAGTCCACTTTATACTTCAAATTCTTCCTATCTTTCAGAACCAGATCCAATGCCATCTCTTCCGCAAAGCCTTCTTTGATCTTGAAGTTTGGCAGAGGAAGTTCTCCCCACTGTGAGGTTTAATTATATTGATTTCCTCCTGGCCATGGGTCTGTTTGTAATAGGGATTTATGCAGGAGATAGATAAGGTTTCTCATGCAGCTTGTCAGCTGGTATCATAGAGTGTTTTCTGTAGTTATTATTCTATAACTATTTATTTATGTTTTATAAGTCCTATGAAATATCACTTAAAGGAAAATTCTCTCAGCCTTGTTCCCAAATTCTGTGTGATCACAAAGACACTATTGCTTTCTAGGCCTTGCTTTCATGGAACTGAACCTAAATAGTGTACCTTTTTTAGGTATCTCCAGGGTCTTTCTTTAACTATTTTTGCTCAAGTAAAAGTGAATAGCAAAAATGGAGTATTTTAAACCTGAAAAAAAAAAAAAAAACAGAAAGGAAGTGAGGTGGCTTGACTTCCTCCTAAGTTTATAGTAAGTATATTTTCTCATGGGAAGAAAAAAACACACTGATGATTAGAAACACTTTGCTTTTTGTTCAGCCACAACCTAGCTATTTCCCACAAAGTTAATCCACTGTTACCAGAATAGGGAAGCATCTGTACACATAGAGAGAAATGGAACCTAAATATTTCTGGAAACCTCAAGTCACTTACACATTCCACAAGTTGCCTCATATCGAGAAACACAGAATTTGTTCAAACATTTCAATACTTCACCAGATTGAGTTTGCAAACAAAAACATTTTGGAATTGTGGCAAAGGGAGTGGCTGTCATGGCAGAGGTGAGCTCAGACATGTGGATTAGTATTCAGACGATAATTTGGCTCCAGAAATCATCACCACGGGGCACACAACCCTGTAGTCAGAAAGGACCTCATGAATCACCCCATAGATTACCCTAAAATTTAAAGATTTTCTCCAGAATGAACCTAGTAAAGAAGACTATTCTAAGAGGCAGCTTATCTCATTCTGAAAACATCTTTGTTGTTTCTTTCTTTCTTTTCTTTTTTTTTTTTTTTTTTTTTTGAGATGGAGTCTAGCTCTGTCCCCCAGGCTGGAGTGCAGTGGCGCAATCTCGGCTCACTGCAAGCTCTGCCTCCTGGGTTCACGCCATTCTCCTGCCTCAGCATCCCGAGTAGCTGGGACTACAGGCGCCCGCCACCACGACTGGTTAATTTTTTGTAGTTTTAGCAGAGACGGGGTTTCACCGTGTTAGCCAGGATGGTCTTGATCTCCTGACCTTGTGATCCTCCTGCCTTGGCCTCCCAAAGTGCCGGGATTACAGGCATCAGCCACTGCGCCTGGCCTGTTTATCTTTATTTCTTTTTTTTTTTCTTTTATTATTATACTTTAAGTTTTAGGGTACATGTGCACATTGTGCAGGTTATTTACATATGTATACATGTGCCATGCTGGTGCGCTGCACCCACTAACTTGTCATCTAGCATTAGGTATATCTCCCAATGCTATCCCTCCCCCCTCCTCCCACCCCACAACAGTCCCCAGAGTGTGATGTTCCCCTTCCTGTGTCCATGTGATCTCATTGTTCAATTCCCACCTGTAAGTGAGAATATGCGGTGTTTGGTTTTTTGTTCTTGCGATAGTTTACTGAGAATGATGATTTCCAGTTTCATCCATGTCCCTGCAAAGGACATGAACTCATCATTTTTTATGGCTGCATAGTATTCCATGGTGTATATGTGCCACATTTTCTTAATCCAGTCTATCATTGTTGGACATTTGGCTTGGTTCCAAGTCTTTGCTATTGTGAATAATGCCGCAATAAACATACGTGTGCATGTGTCTTTATAGCAGCATGATTTATAGTCCTTTGGGTATATACCCAGTAATGGGATAGCTGGGTCAAATGGTATTTCTAGTTCTAGATCCCTGAGGAATCGCCACACTGACTTCCACAATGGTTGAACTGGTTTACAGTCCCACCAACAGTGTAAAAGTGTTCCTATTTCTCCACATCCTCTCCAGCACCTGTTGTTTCCTGACTTTTTAATGATTGCCATTTTAACTGGTGTGAGATGGTATCTCATTGTGGTTTTGATTTGCATTTCTCTGATGGCCAGTGATGATGAGCATTTTTTCATGTGTTTTTTGGCTGCATAAATGTCTTCTTTTGAGAACTGTCTGTTCATGTCGTTTGCCCACTTTTTGATGGGGTTGTTTGTTTTTTTCTTGTAAATTTGTTTGAGTTCATTGTAGATTCTGGATATTAGCCCTTTGTCAGATGAGTAGCTTGCGAAAATTTTCTCTCATTTTGTAGGTTGCCTGTTCACTCTAATGGTAGTTTGTTTTGCTGTGCAGAAGCTCTTTAGTTTAATTAGATCCCATTTGTCAATTTTGGCTTTTGTTGCCATTGCTTTTGGTGTTTTAGACATGAAGTCCTTGCCCATGCCTATGTCCTGAATGGTAATGCCTAGGTTTTCTTCTAGGGCTTTTATGGTTTTAGGTCTAACATTTAAGTCTTTAATCCATCTTGAATTGATTTTTGTATAAGGTGTAAGGAAGGGATCCAGTTTCAGCTTTCTACATATGGCTAGCCAGTTTTCCCAGCACCATTCATTAAATAGGGAATCCTTTCCCCATTGCTTGTTTTTCTCAGGTTTGTCAAAGATCAGATAGTTTTAGATATGCGGCGTTATTTCTGAGGGCTCTGTTCTGTTCCATTGATCTATATCTCTGTTTTGGTACCAGTACCATGCTGTTTTGGTTACTGTAGCCTTGTAGTATAGTTTGAAGTCAGGTAGCGTGACGCCTCCAGCTTTGTTCTTTTGGCTTAGGATTGACTTGGTGATGCAGGCTCTTTTTTGGTTCCATATGAACTTTAAAGTAGTTTTTTCCAATTCTGTGAAGAAAGTCATTGATAGCCTGATGGGGATGGCATTGAATCTGTAAATTACCTTGGGTAGTATGGCCATTTTCACGATATTGATTCTTCCTACCCATAAGCATGGAATGTTCTTCCATTTGTTTGTATCCTCTTTTATTTCCTTGAGCAGTGGTTTGTAGTTCTCCTTGAAGAGGTCCTTCACATCCCTTGTAAGGTGGATTCCTAGGTATTTTATTCTCTTTGAAGCAATTGTGAATGGGAGTTCACTCATGATTTGGCTCTCTGTTTGTCTGTTGTTGCTGTATAAGAATGCTTGTGATTTTTGTACATTGATTTTGTATCCTGAGACTTTGCTGAAGTTGCTTATCAGCTTAAGGAGATTTTGGGCTGAGACAGTGGGGTTTTCTAGATATACAATCATGTCATCTGCAAACAGGGACAATTTGACTTCCTCTTTTCCTAATTGAATACCCTTTCTTTCTTTCTCCTGCCTAATTGCCCTGGCCAGAACTTCCAACACTATGTTGAATAGGAGTGGTGAGAGAGGGCATCCCTGTCTTGTGCCAGTTTTCAAAGGGAATGCTTCCAGTTTTTGCCCATTCAGTATGATATTGGCTGTGGGTTTGTCATAGATAGCTCTTATTATTTTGAAATATACGTCCCATCAATACCTAATTTATTGAGAGTTTTTAGCATGAAGGGTTGTTGAATTTTGTCAAAGGCCTTTTCTGCATCTATTGAGATAATCATGTGGTTTTTGTCTTTGGCTCTGTTTATATGCTGGATTACATTTATTGATTTGCGTATATTGAACCAGCCTTGCATCCCAGGGATGAAGCCCACTTGATCATGGTGGATAAGCTTTTTGATGTGCTGCTGGATTCGGTCTGCCAGTATTTTATTGAGGATTTTTGCATCAATGTTCATCAAGGATATTGGTCTAAAATTCTCTTTTTTGGTTGTGTCTCTGCCTGGCTTTGGTATCAGAATGATGCTGGCCTCATAAAATGAGTTAGGGAGGATTCCCTCTTTTTCTATTGATTGGAATAGTTTCAGAAGGAATGGTACCAGTTCCTCCTTGTACCTCTGGTAGAATTCGCCTGTGAATCCGTCTGGTCCTGGACTCTTTTTGGTTGGTAAGCTATTGATTATTGCCACAATTTCAGCTCCTGTTATTGTCTATTCAGAGATTCAACTTCTTCCTGGTTTAGTCTTGGGAGAGTGTATGTGTCGAGGAATGTATCCATTTCTTCTAGATTTTCTAGTTTATTTGCGTAGAGGTGTTTGTAGTATTCTCTGATGGTAGTTTGTATTTCTGTGGGATCGGTGGTGAGATCCCCTTTATCATTTTTTATTGCATCTATTTGATTCTTCTCTCTTTTTTTCTTTATTAGTCTTGCTAGCGGTCTATCAATTTTGTTGATCTTTTCAAAAAACTAGCTCCTGGATTCATTAATTCTTTGAAGGGTTTTTTGTGTCTCTATTTCCTTCAGTTCTGCTCTGATTTTAGTTATTTCTTGCCTTCTGCTAGCTTTTGAATGTGTTTGCTCTTGCTTTTCTAGTTCTTTTAATTGCGATGTTAGGGTGTCAATTTTGGATCTTTCCTGCTTTCTCTTGTGGGCATTTAGTGCTATAAATTTCCCTGTACACACTGCTTTGAATGCGTCGCAGAGATTCTGGTATGTTGTGTCTTTGTTCTCGTTGGTTTCAAAGAACATCTTTATTTCTGCCTTCATTTCGTTATGTACCCAGTAGTCATTCAGGAGCAGGTTGTTCAGTTTCCATGTAGTTGAGCGGTTTTGAGTGAGATTCTTAATCCTGAGTTCTAGTTTCATTGCACTGTGGTCTGAGAGACAGTTTGTTATAATTTCTGTTCTTTTACATTTGCTGAGGAGAGCTTTACTTCCAAGTATGTGGTCAATTTTGGAATAGGTGTGGTGTGGTGCTGAAAAAAATGTATATTCTGTTGATTTGGGGTGGAGAGTTCTGTAGATGTCTATTAGGTCTGCTTGGTGCAGAGCTGAGTTGAATTCCTGGGTATCCTTGTTGACTTTCTGTCTCGTTGATCTGTCTAATGTTGACAGTGGGGTGTTAAAGTCTCCCATTATTAATGTGTGGGAGTCTAAGTCTCTTTGTAGGTCACTCAGGACTTGCTTTATGAATCTGGGTGCTCCTGTGTTGGGTGCATATATATTTAGGATAGTTAGCTCTTCTTGTTGAATTGATCCCTTTACCATTATGTAATGGCCTTCTTTGTCTCTTTTGATCTTTGTTGGTTTAAAGTCTGTTTTATCAGAGACTAGGATTGCAACCCCTGCCTTTTTTTGTTTTCCATTTGCTTGGTAGATTTTCCTCCATCCTTTTATTTTGAGCCTATGTGTGTCTCTGCACGTGAGATGGGTTTGCTGAATACAGCACACTGATGGATCTTGACTCTTTATCCAATTTGCCAGTCTGCGTCTTTTAATTGGAGCATTTAGTCCATTTACATTTAAAGTTAATATTGTTATGTGTGAATTTGATCCTGTCATTATGATGTTAGCTGGTTATTTTGCTCGTTAGTTGATGCAGTTTCTTCCTAGTCTCGATGGTCTTTACATTTTGGCATGATTTTGCAGCGGCTGGTACCGGTTGTTCCTTTCCATATTTAGCGCTTCCTTCAGGAGCTCTTTTAGGGCAGGCCTGGTGGTGACAAAATCTCTCAGCATTTGCTTGTCTGTAAAGTATTTTATTTCTCCTTCACTTATGAAGCTTAGTTTGGCTGGATATGAAATTCTGGGTTGAAAATTCTTTTCTTTAAGAATGTTGAATATTGGCCCCCACTCTCTTCTGGCTTGTAGGGTTTCTGCCGAGAGATCCGCTGTTAGTCTGATGGGCTTCCCTTTGAGGGTAACCCGACCTTTCTCTCTGGCTGCCCTTAACATTTTTTCCTTCATTTCAACTTTGGTGAATCTGAGAATTATGTGTCTTGGAGTTGCTCTTCTCGAGGAATATCTTTGTGGCGTTCTCTGTATTTCCTGAATCTGAACGTTGGCCTGCCTTGCTAGATTGGGGAAGTTCTCCTGGATAATATCCTGCAGAGTGTTTTCCAACTTGGTTCCATTCTCCCCATCACTTTCAGGTACACCAATCAGACGTAGATTTGGTCTTTTCACATAGTCCCATATTTCTTGGAGGCTTTGCTCATTTCTTTTTATTCTTTTTTCTCTAAACTTCCCTTCTCACTTCATTTCATTCATTTCATCTTCCATTGCTGATACCCTTTCTTCCAGTTGATCGCGTCGGCTCCTGAGGCTTCTGCATTCTTCACGTAGTTCTCGAGCCTTGGTTTTCAGCTCCATCAGCTCCTTTAAGCACTTCTCTGTATTGGTTATTCTAGTTATACATTCTTCTAAATTTTTTTCAAAGTTTTCAACTTCTTTGCCTTTGGTTTGAATGTCCTCCTGTAGCTCAGAGTAATTTGATCGTCTGAAGCCTTCTTCTCTCAGCTCGTCAAAGTCATTCTCCGTCCAGCTTTGTTCCATTGCTGGTGAGGAACTGTGTTCCTTTGGAGGAGGAGAGGCGCTCTGCTTTTTAGAGTTTCCAGTTTTTCTGTTCTGTTTTTTCCCCATCTTTGTGGTTTTATCTACTTTTGGTCTTTGACAATGGCGATGTACAGATGGGTTTTTGGTGTGGATGTCCTTTCTGTTTGTTAGTTTTCCTTCTAACAAACAGGACCCTCAGCTGCAGGTCTGCTGGAGTACCCTGCAGTGTGAGGTGTCAGTGTGCCCCTGCTGGGGGGTGCCTCCCAGTTAGGCTGCTCGGGGGTCAGGGGTCAGGGACGCACTTGAGGAGGCAGTCTGCCCGTTCTTAGATCTCCAGCTGCGTGCTGGGAGAACGACTGCTCTCTTCAAAGCTGTCAGACAGGGACATTTAAGTCTGCAGAGGTTACTGCTGTCTTTTTGTTTGTCTGTGCCCTGCCCCCAGAGGTGTAGCCTACAGAGGCAGGCAGGCAGGCCTCCTTGAGCTGTGGTGGGCTCCACCCAGTTCGAGCTTCCCAGCTGCTTTGTTTACCTAATCAAGCCTGGGCAATGGCGGGCGCCCCTCCCCCAGCCTCGCTGCCGCCTTGCAGTTTGATCTCAGACTGCTGTGCTAGCAATCAGCGAGACTCCGTGGTCGTAGGACCCTCCGAGCCAGGTGCAGGATATAATCTCCTGGTGCGCCGTTTTTTAAGCCCGTAGGAAAAGCGCAGTATTCGGGTGGGAGTGGCCTGATTTTCCAGGTGCTGTCCGTCACCCCTTTCTTTGACTAGGAAAGGGAACTCCCTGACCCCTTGCGCTTCCCGAGTGAGGCAGTGCCTCGCCCTGCTTCGGCTGGCGCACGGTGCACGCACCCACTGACCTGCGCCCACTGTCTGGCACTCCCTAGTGAGATGAACCTGGTACCTCAGATGGAAATGCAGAAATCACCTGTCTTCTGCGTTGCTCACGCTGGGAGCTGTAGACCGGAGCTGTTCCTATTCGGCCATCTTGGCTCCTCTCTCTATCTTTATTTCTTATAACTTGTTTTAATCATCCTGTTTGGGACTCGTAGCTCTGACATTTGGTGATATTAAGAACACAGGGATTACTTATTCACAGGCTGTGATATCACATAGTGGAAAACCTTTATTATTTATGACTCCTGGGATAAATATTCCAGGTTTCTACACACAAGATGATTTTCATGTTTTCTGCCATCTGTATTATACCCTCTTTGTCAATATCATCCTTAAAATGAGCTGCCCTGCTCCCAGCAAAATGACTCATCTAGCAATGCTTATATGAGATTCCTGAATGCATTACTATGACAGGGTCACATCTCAATTTCATTTTTCTCTTTATAAAAGGAATTTATAATCTTTCCCAGATTATAAATTGTCAATTAACAGAACTAATAAAAATTATTTTAAAAGTATGTATATAAGTAACTGCTACAAGCATTTTCAACAATGATGAACATGAGAAAAGCTATCCTATTCTCTGGAGTTAAATATTTATTTTGAAATATTAAGATATTTCTAATTTTTCAAATCCATTGATAATATATCATTATCTGATGGGAAAATTTTCAATAGATATAAATGTATTTAGAATGTAAAAATGAATTCAGAATGGAATAATAATTCTACTTATAGTAGTATTCACAGAGAAAGTAGAACTATTGCCACCTTTTAATTGGGTGGTAGATTTCAATTGTTCTCACTGTTTTGGCAGCCTTGTCACAGGATTCCTTATGTGAGGTTTTATTTGCCTAAATCTCATTCCTTCCTCACATGAGTCATCACCAAGCCAGGAATCTTTTGTACCTTGCAAGCGACTTTCTGGAATACAGGCTATCACACTTTTTCCTAATAAATTTTATTTCATTTTTCTGTAGCTCCTCATTCTTATCTGTCAATGTCATTTTACAAGTCTTGAAGCTGTCTTCTACAGCAGAGCTGCAAATCTGTTTCCACTTGAGCTTCTGATAAACATACTAAACAATATATGCTGATGACCCAACATTCAGAATCACCTTTCAATTTGACACAGACCTGGTAGTAATACTCTTTAGAGATCTAGTTTAGGATCTCTAAACCCAGGAAATCACTTGGGTTGATCTCTAAACCCAGGCAAATTCTCTTTACCCAGGAAATTCACTAATCTATCAAGATACAGACACAGTGTCAAGTACTCGGCTGAAGTAGAGATACATACCACACTCTGTTCTAAAGGGCAATAACAGTTTTTTTTCCCCATTAGAACGGACTTACTCCTGGTAAACCTGGAGCTGTAAAGCTGATACGTAGGAATCATTCAACAAAGTGTGCGCATTAGTATTATTGTTATCAGTTTGTATTAATCAATACACTATCCTCTAAATGCTCCCAAATTCATTGTTTAAAAACTAGATAAGGGGTTGGGTTAAGATAATAAGTCCTTATTTTCTGGAACGAGGAAACTAGTTAAGGTTAACTTCAGTTTGGTCATCTGGTACCACAGAAAAATCTAACACCACAGAGACACTGGGTCATATGCAGAGATTTATTCTTAATATTTCCTAACTGAAAAACAGCTCATTAGGCACATCTGGAGACCTTGGAGCTGTCCTAGGTACAAGGGTGGGGTGGCAGAGAAAAGCTTAATGTAGACTCTCTACTCTCAAACGACTCATTCTGGTGAATAGACACTAGTTAACTATGCAGGTAAAGTTTTCTTCATTCTTGTATCTCAACATCTGACACAGACCCTGGCTTGGTAACGGGAACTCACATGTGTGTGATGAAGGTAAGGAGCACTCCGAAGAGAGCCTGGTGATGCAGAACTAGCAGGCATGTGGTGCATCCCAATTCCCCTAGTGCTTCAAAGCCCTTACAAAGCAGAACCGTGGCCCCGATGTGAGGCACACAGGCTGGGGACACAATTCCTTTTCAAAGAGAAGCAACTGAATGCTCAGAAGTAGAGTGACTTGTGAAGGGTCACTGGGAAGAACGTGGCAAAGCTGAAATGAACACTCAGATCTGCAGACTATAAGTCATTTGCAGGGCCAGGCATGGTGGCTCATGTCTATTATCCCAGTGCTTTGGGAGGCCAAAGCAGGAGGATCTCTTGTGGCCAGGAGTTTGAGACTGGCCTGGGAAACATAGCAAGACCTGTCTCTACAAAAAATATAATAGAAAATTCACCAGGCATTGTGCTGTGTGCCTATAGTCCTAGCCACTGAGGAAGCTCAGGCTGGAGGATTGCTTGAGCCCAGAAGTTTGAGGCTGAACTGAGCTATGATCATAGCACTGCACTCCAGCCTGGGTGACAGAGTGAAATCCCACCTCTAAAAAGAGGGGAAAAAATAGCTTTTTTTTTTTTTTTTTTCCTGAGATGGAGTTTTGCTCTGTCGCCCAGGCTGGAGTGCAACGGCACGATCTTGGCTCACTGAAACTTTTGCCTCCCGGGTTCAAGGAATTCTCCTGCCTCAGCCTTTCGAGTAGCTGAGATTACAGGCACCCACCAGCACACCAGGTTAATTTTTTTTTTTTGATAGAGACGGGGTTTCACCATGTTGTTCAGGCTGGTCTTGAACTCCTGACCTCAGGTCATCCGCCTGCCTTGGCCTCCCAAAGTGCTGGGATTACAGGAGTGAGCCACTGCACCTGGCTGGAAAAAATAGTCTTAACTATAGTCCCAGCTACTTGGGAGGCAGAGGTGGTAGGATCGCTTGAGCCCGGGAGGTCGAGGATGAAGTGAGCTGAGATCGCACCACTGCACTCCAGCCTGGGAGGCAAAGTGAAAACCTATTTAAAAAAAAAGTGGTGACTTCAAATCACTCTCTTTCAGCATTAGAGTAAGGTAGGAAGTCTGCATATTTTTAGATTCTCATGATTTTTCTCATGGAAGGGGTGATCATTTTTGATCACTGCCATTGCATCATGACAACAAAGCTGCTTCTGTGTGTCCTAGAATACAAAATGCAAATGGAATCCAGCCTGGTAAAAATGTGGAAGGAGAGCAAGAAGCCCTTTGGTGAGCATAGCCAGGCCACCCATTTAGGTTGTGTTGGTGCACATCCTTGCAGGCCCCATGCACATCACAACTTCCACAGACTCACATGTGCTTTACAACAGTTCTCTAGAAGATGGTAGTAGGAGATCTTATTCTAACAAAACAGTGTAATATGACAGCATCCCAAGAGATAGAAGTAACATGTCTTGAGAAAGAAGTGCCTCTTTTCTAATCTTCATGGAGACAGCTCATGGACTGTGATTGCTTTGCATCCAGTCTCTCCAGATGACCTATTGCTCTCAAATATCACTAATGACTGACTACAAGCCAACAAGAGAGAGGGTTGAGTTTCATGTATCTTGTGCAGAGTAGGTGCTGAGTTAATATTTCTCGAATTCAGAGTTGTGCTAGGTCTCCCAAGAATTTCATAATGTAATGCTGAAGAGCATGGGCTTTGGGGTCAGGCAAGCTAAGGTTCAAACTTTGACTACTGCTTAGGATACTAGAATAAGTTCTACATCTTCATTGTCCTCATGGAAAGATTCATGGTCCTCATGGGTAAAATGTGATGAATAAAATCTGCAGGACTGGGAGGAGTAAAGGATATAAATAATATTGCATTCCATGCCTGGTACGTAGTTGGTGCTGTCGACAGTAGCTAGAGAGAGAGAAATGAATGATGGTAAAGAGTGCAGGCTACTCTACCTGTACCCATGTTCATCATAGCACTATCCACAACAGCCAGAATATGGAATCAACCTCCGTGTCCATCGACAGGTGAAGAAAATGTGTTATAAATACACGGTTGAGTACTATTCAGCCTTAAGAAACAAGGAAATCCTGTCATTTGCAACACCATAGATGAACCTGGAGGACATTATGCTAAGCGAAATAAGCTGGGTGCCAAAAGACAGCTACTTTATGATCTCACTTATATACAGAGGCTAAAAATGTCAAACTCACAGAGGCAGAGAGTGGGATGGTGCTTACCAGAGGCTGGGGCAGGGGAAGGACTGAGAAGAGGTTGGCCAGGGATACACAATTTCAGTTAGGAGGAGAAACTTCAAGAAATCTGTTGCACAGCATGGTGACCACAGCTAAACACAGTGTCTTGTATTCTTGAGCACTTCTAAGAGAGTAGTTTTAAGTGTTCTTACCACAAATAACTGGCAAGTAGGTGAGGCAATGCATATGTTACTTAGTTCAGTTTAGCCATTCCATAGTGTACGCATACTGTATATCAAAACACTATGTTCTTCTTAGGACAGGCGATGAGGACAAAAAAAGAAAAAACATTATGTCATATACCATAAATATATACAGTTCGTGTCCGTCAATTAAAAAAAAAATTATGGCTGGGTGCAGTGGCTCACGCCTGTAATCCCAGCACTTCAGGAGGCCGAGATGGGCGAATCACCTGAGGTTGCGAGTTTGAGACCAGCCTGACCAACATGGAGAAACCCCGTCTCTACTAAAAATACAAAATTAGCCGGGCGTGGTGGTGCACAACTATAATCCCAGCTACTTGGGAGGCTGAGGCAGGAGAATCACTTGAACCTGGGAGGCGGAGGTGGGGTGAGCCGAGATCGCACTATTGCACTCCAGCCTGGGCGACAGAGCGAGACTCCTTCTCAATAAATAAATAAATAAATAAGTAAAAATTTACAAACAGAGCACAGACTGTGGAGTCCAGCTGCCTGGAGTCAAGGCCAAGCTTGTCTCTACTTAGCTGTGTGGCATTTACACAGGTCCCTGAAGCTCTCCATGCCGCATTTTCTCTTCTGTAAAAGTCTTTTGGGGAGGTAAATGACAGAACACATGTATGGGGGTCGTTGCTGCTGGCACCTAATATTTCTGATCCTTAGGCACAGCCTGCTCCCCTTCAAATCAGGCCTGGCCTTGGGATTGTGCTTTGGCTTGTGGTATCTGTTTGTTCACTTCTGGCTGGAGCTTCAGGAGACAGCGTGTGATTTGATATTTCTCTTTATCTGCCAGGTAGTGCAAAATGACATACAGCACAGCCTGGCCAGTCCAAAACTGACACATAGTACCATAAAATCTTCTGGGACTTTGTCGGTTTAGGTCCCAGAAAATATTGATGATATTTTATTATTGCAATATGGCCTCCCCCATCTTTTTTTTTTTGTGACAGAGTCTCACTCTGTCACCCAGGCTAGAGTGCAGTGGCGTGATCTTGGCTCACTGCAAGCTCCACCTCCCGGGTTCAAGTGATTCTCCCGCTTTAGACTCCAGAGTAGCTGGGATTACAGGAGCACACTGCCACACCTGGCTAATTTTTTAGTGTTTTTATTAGAGATGGGGTTTCACCATGTTGGCCAGACTGGTCTCGAACTCCTGACCTCAGGCAATCCACCTGCCTCGGCCTCCCAAAGTGCTGGGATTACAGAAGTGAGCCAGCACGCCCGGCCAGCCTCCCCCATCTTAAGGAAAACAGAATCTAAAGTGCCCAAACTCGTGTCTGGCCCATAGTTGGTACTCAGCAAATGTTTATTATTGTTATAATAATAATGATTATTCCTGTCATCATTCCTAATGATGTTCATATTTGAACAGCCCCAGCTCTGCCTAGCTACACCTTGGCCATTGTTGGACTTCATGATTTTAAGATCTCTCTTCTCTAGAAGAAACAGTTTAGTATTTGGCACAAGAGAAACACAGAAAACTACTTCAAACATCTATTGACTGACTGTGGATGCATCTGAAAGTGATTCATCTCTGAGTCTTTATTTCATTATCTGTACAATGGAGATGAATCCTAATGACTGAGAAGTTTGGTCACAAGCAAACTTCTTTTGGCTGCAGTGCCTGGGACAAGGTCAGCACTAGCCACTCCTGTCCGTGCTATCTCCTTTGCAGCACCAATCCCAGCTCCTCCAGCCTTCACATCCTAGTCTCTCACCAGCTATAAGACTTTTCTTTCTCCTAATTGTTGGCTGTTCCACAGGGAGATGGAGAGGAGCTTGCTCACTTGTTAATTTTGCTATTGATAGCTTGAGGAAAAAATTACATCTAGTAGGAGACTCTAATCAGAATATCTGTGGAATTTAGGTAGCTCCATCATTTCTAGTCCACAAATGTAGCTATGAAACATTGGAATCCTTTATGGTTTTAGAACGACCTAATGCATTTGGTGTCTGTGGCTATGTGTAGCTCAACAATGTTGTAGCCTGTACTCACACTTAGCTATACCAGGTGATCATTTTCCCACTGTCTTGGCTTTTCTGGGAAGACCTGCTCAATGCTGCTACGGGCACACGCAGGTGGACAGGTCACGACCTAGGAGTCACTGCTCTCAGCCAAATGTCACATGTAATTGTGTCCCAACATCCTCCTGAAAGGAGCCTTTCAAATAACTGAAAAAAACTAATTAAATACGTATAGCATGAATCATTTCTGGAAGATAACTAAACCCAAGCAGTTACGCCAGTTGGTCTTCATCATAGTTCCTTAATTTAATAGTAATCTTCATAGGAAATTGTGGTATCACGTGAGGTGGATCTGGCAAGCTTTTTCATCCGGTTCCAGATGGGGAACTTAATTGATCTCAAATTTGCTCACTGAGCTTTAAAGTGTGGAAAAAGACCCAGAGCCCTGACTTTCCAGCCAAGTCTCAGGTCCCCACCACTGGGCCACATACCCTTCCCAGGGGCCAGCAGAGGAAATAGAACTCAATTTGTGTTAAAGGTTTACAAACCTGTTAATGCTTTTTGTTCAGTATTTCAAAATTTAGAGAACATGGTGCTGCACATTTTAAGGAATATTACTTTTCTTCCTTCCCTCCTGCATCCTGTTTTCTCTCGGTGCTATTATGGTTCACATTGGTTGGCAATACATTGCAGCAAGAAAGGTATTAAAAGCTTGAGGTGGTAAAACTATAAAGTTACCAGCTTTCCATGCTAATTCGTGTGAAAACATGATGCGCTCCACATCTTTCATGGTGCAATAACATAGGTGAGTCAACATCAGGCACGTGAGTTTGTTCAAGCAAGTCATTTGAAGTCAGAATGGTAACTTGTGGAGGCGGATCTGTGACATGCTGGGAAGAAGTCAGGTTTAGTATACCATATTGCAGTTTATTATCCATGAAGTAGATTACCCAAAAAACTTAGCCATTTTGCAGTATGTATAAAACGTGCCTTTATTCAGCAATTCAGTTTCTAAGAATTCCTTCTAAATAAATAAGGATGTGTACAGATATATAGATGTAAAGATGGTTATTGTAATTTCTTTAGGATAATCAAATCATGGTACATCTGAACTGAATCATCCTGCATTCATTAAAACAGCAGTGCTGGGATTTCATCATTTATATAAATATGGAAAATTCATTTAAGTACTAAGCAGGTTGCAGAGCAGCAAAGATGTCATTATTTTTACTTTTGAGCAAGTGAAGATGGAGAGACAGACCCACAGTCAGAAGCACATATTTCCAGGTATCCGTAATTTTGTAATTTTCATTTTCCTTTTACCTATATTTCATAATTATTCTGTATGTAACGTGGGTTATTTGCATCATCAAAATGCCTTTCAAAATAATGTGTAAAAACAGTATTAATTGCCTTTTTAAAAAATTATTATTATACTTTAAGTTTTAGGGTACATGTGCACAATGTGCAGGTTAGTTACATATGTATACATGTGCCATGCTGGTGTGCTGCACCCATTAACTCGTCATTTAGCATTAGGTATATCTCCTAATGCTATCCCTCCCCCCTCCCCCGACCCCACAACAGTCCCCAGAGTGTGATGTTCCCCTTCCTGTGTCCATGTGTTCTCATTGTTCAATTCCCATCTATGAGTGAGAACATGTGGTGTTTGTTTTTTTGTCCTTGCGATAGTTTACTGAGAATGATGATTTCCAATTTCATCCATGTCCCTACAAAGGACAAGAACTTATCATTTTTTATGGCTGCATAGTATTCCATGGTGTATATGTGCCACATTTTCTTAATCCAGTCTATCATTGTTGGACATTTGGGTTGGTTCCAAGTCTTTGCTATTGTGAATAAAAAATATGGAACGCTTCACGAATTTGCGTGTCATCCTTGCTCAGGGGCCATGCTAATCTTCTCTGTATCGTTCCAATTTTAGTATATGTGCTGCCGAAGCGAGCACTAATTGCCTTTTTTTTCTTGGACTGAGTTTGCTAACATCTGTGACATAAGGTTAAAGATGCACCATTTAGTGTCATTTTGCCCCCAACTCACTCTGTGACAACTTTTGGTGCCATGAATTTCCAGAGGGTGGGATGCACGTCTTGCTAACTGCAGCATCACCCCAACAGAGCAGCTCATGGTTATTGGCCTGAAATGGGAATTTTGATTAGGAACTAAGGAAAGGGCATCTCATTTCCTAGCTGTGAGCTTCTGGACAGTGGGGCTGTGTCTTTTGTCATCTTTGGGCTCCTGTTCTCCTTTCCACTGAAACATGGGCCAGTGGCTACCTGGTAGCAGTCACTCAGAAGTGTGATCCAGATCTCATTGTGGGTGGGGAGATCGAGGCACATAAAGATGAAGTGGCCTGTCCCCAGGCGCATAGCACCTGCCCCTGCTCCACTCACAGATACTGGGCGTTCTGTGCTAACAGGGGCACCTTCTGGGCAAGAGGATGAGGGGAGCACTGAACACCTCTCTCAAGAGAAATTTTTTTTCTTCTGTCACACATGCATACAAACAACAACCGATGAGCTTGTGGTTTGTCTTCAAGGTTCAGGAAGACTCAACTTTTCCAGCAGAAAGGACAATGATGCCTCAACAGAGCCGGATGACTCTCGATGGCCATGCCACTTAACAAAGCGTGGCCACCCACTTGTTCACCTGCAGCCTGAGGAAAGGAACAGCTGCAACACCTGCCAGGGACTTAGGGGATGAAGCCCTGGAGGCTGATCAGATATCCTCCTCTGGAGGTGGAGCCACATGGCTAATACGCCACTGGACACAGATGTGTGCAGTTTTGTGTTTGCTGTGGGCTGTGATGCAAATCGCATTTTGTAGTCCCCATCTTTGGAGATGCTCCAGACAGTCCCTCGGAGAAAGACAGAAATGGATCCCTTTGTTCTTTCTGTTCTTTCCAGGCAACCTGCCTCTGAGGGGAAGAGGGCCCAGACATAGGATGCTGGTAAGCAACTACTGTAATTGTCAGCGTAAGGGGCTGGAACTCAGGTTCCATCCTGCACACTTGCACAAGCCCACCAATGGGATCAAAGATGAAGGGTGGCAGCGATTGGAGAGGTCAGGATAAGAAGATTCAAGATGCCAGAAATCTGCAACATGAGATACAGCCCAGGCTCTGGGCTCGTTCCTCCAGGGCTGCGTCGCTGCGTAGCTGATGTGGCCTGTGAGCTGGGCCTCAAAGGACATTGCATTTAAAGCAGAGGAGAGGAGGAAATTTTTGGGAGATAAGATGGGATTTACAGAGACACCAAAAGAGCAAAAGAAAATAATTCCTGATGGTCTGAGCACATAGAGAGTCACCGTGGAGGAGACTGGACATTGGTACATATCCTACAATGCCTGCCCCATGGCTCTGGCCTCATGCCATGCCATGCAACATGGCACCTGGCATCTCAGTCAACAGATGTCCCAGATCTCAGTCGTTGGCATTTATTACCAAATTATTCTGCCATCTTATATTCAAGTCCTTCCAAAGCCTTTCTTGTTGTGGGAGGGGGAGAATCTTATTTTTTAAATTTTATTTTAGTTATTTTATGTATATAAGTTGTACATCATGATGGATTTTTTAAATACATTTAATTGTGTATGTTTAAGGTAAGCATCATGATGTTTATATATATATATGTGTATATATATATATATAGTAAATTGGTTAATATAGTGAAGCAAATTAATGTACCCATGTTTTGTGTGTGGGGCTGAAGTATCTACAATCAACTCATTTAGCAAAAATCCTGAATACAAGACACTGTTAGTATTGGCGGTCCTCATGTTTTACATTAGATCTCTAGACTTGTCCGCCCTCCTTATCTGCGACTTTGTAACCCTTGACCTACTTCTCTGCAATTCCTTCCTGCCACACTGCCCCTGGTAACCACGGTGTAATTCTCTATTTCTGTATATTTGAATTTGTTTAAAAGATTTTACATATGAGTGAGATTATGCAATATTTTTCCTTCTGCATCTGACATATTTACTTAGCATAATGTCTTGCAATTCCATCCATGTTGTGGCAAATGGCAGGATCTCCTTTTTTGAGGCTGAAGGATATTCCTTTGTACATATATATCACAGTTTCTTTACCCATTTGCCTGCCAATGAACATTTAGGTTGTTTCTTATCTTAGATATTGAGAATAATGCTGGAATGGACATGACAGTGAAGATATCTCCCTGAGTGCTGATTTCCTTTCCTTTGGATGCATACCCAGAGGAGGAATTGCTACATCTTATGGTACTTCTAACTTTAATTTCTTTAGGAAGCTCCACTTGCTGGTGTCAGGTGATAACGCATAATGGTTTTGATTTGCATTTCCCTGAGGATTAGTGACATTGAGCATCTTTTCATTAACCTGTGGGTCATTTTGATGTCTTCTTTGGATAAATAACTATTCAGATAATTTGCCCATTTTTTAATTGGGTTATATGTTTTTTGCTATTGAGCTGTGTGAACATTTTATAAATTTTGGATATTAAACCTTATCAAATATATGTCTTGCAATTATTTTTCCAATCTATAGGTTACTTTTTCATTTTGTTGATTCTTTTCTTTGCTGTGCAGAAGCTTTTCAGTTTGACATATTCCCATTTATTTATTTTTGCTTTTGTAGCCTTTTGGTGTGATATTCAAAAATTATTGCCAAGGGCAATGTCAAGGACCTGTTCTCCTATGTTTTCTCCTTGGAGTTTTATGGTTTCAGATTTTACATTTAGGTCTTGTATCCATTTTGAGTTGATTTTTGTGTATGGTACAAGGGCCCAGTTTTATTCTTTTGCGCATGCAAATCCAGTTTCCCCAGCATCATTTATTGAAGAGATTATCCTTTTCCCATTTTGTCTTCTTGGTGCCTTTGTCAAAAATTAGTTTACTGTATATATATATATATATATATATATATATATATATATATATATATATTTATTTATTTATTTATTTTGGGGCTCTCTCTTTTGTTCCACTGGTCTGTGGTCTGATTTTATGCCAGTATCATAGTGTTTTGATTGTTATAGCTTTGCAATCTAATTTAACTCAGGAAGTGTGATAACTCCAATGTCATTTTCTCTTCTCAAAATTACTTTTATTATTTAGTTTTTTTATGGTTCCATACAAATTTCAGGATTTTTTAAATTTCTGTGAAGAATGCCATCGGGATTTTGATAAGGATGCCATTGAATCTGCATATTCCTTTGGGTAATATGGACATTTTAACAACATCAAGTTTTCAGATCCATGAATATGGGTTATCTTTCCACGTATTTGTGTCTTCTATTAATTTTATCAATGGTTTATAATTTTCAGTGTACATGTCTTTTACTTCCATGGTTAAACTTATTCCTAACTGTATTTTTGATGCTTTCATAAATACAATCGTTTCCTTGATTTCTTTTTCACGTAGGTTGTTATTTGTGCACATAAATGCAACTGATTTTGTATCCTTTAACTTTACCAAGTTTGTTTTTTAGTTCTAACATTTTTTTTTTTTTGGTGGAGTCTTTGGGGTTTACTAAATATGGGATCATGCCATCCATAGAGATAATCTGAGTTTTTTCTTTCTGATTTAAATGCCTTTTATTTCTTTTTCTTGTCTAATTGCTCTTGCTAGTATTTCCAGTACCACGCTGAATAGAAGCAGCAAGAGTGGGCATCCTTGCCTTGTACCAGATCTTAGCGGAAAAGCTTTAATTTTTTTCCCATTGACTATGATGTTAACTGTGGCTTTTTCATAGCCTTTTTTATGATGACAAACTTTCCATTTATACCTAAACTGTTGAGAGTTTAAATCAAGAAACAATGTTGAACTTCGTTGAATGCTTTTTCTGCATCAATTGAGATGATCATGTGATTTTTATCTTTCAGTCTGTTAATGTATCACATTGATTAATTAGTATATGTTAAATGAGGGTCCATGTCAGTGATAAATTTCACTTGATCATGATGTATAATATTGTGATGTGTTGTTGAATTTGGTTTGCTAATATTTTATTGTGTTTTTTTCATCAATATTTTCAGCGATATTGGCCTGTAGTTTTCTTTTCTTACAGTATCTGTCTGGCTTAGGTATCAGGGTGATCCTGCACTCATAGAATGTGTTAGGAAGTATTCCCTCTAGGTCTATTTTTTGGAAGAATTTAGGAAATGTTGGTATTAATTTGTCATTGAATGTTTGAAGGAATTTAGTTGCAAAACCATTTGATTCTGGGCTTTTTGTTGTTGTCGTACTTGTTATGAAATTTTTAATTACTACTCTGATCTTTTTATTTGTTATTGGTCTGTGTAGGCTTTTTATTTCTTCCTGATTCAATTTTGGTAGGTTAAATTTTTCTTGGAGTTTGTCTGTTTCCCTTAGGTTATCCAATTTGTTGGCATAATATTGTTCACAATAGTCCTTTATGATCCTTTTTATTTCTGAGGCATCTGTTGTAATGTCCTTCCTTTTATTTCTGGTTTTATTTATTTGAGGCTTTTCTCTTTTTTTTTTTTTTACGTTTACCTCAGGGTCTGTCGATTTTGTTTGTTTGTTTTTAAACTAACTCTTAGTTTTATTGATTTCTTCTATGGTTTTTTATTCTATTTTGATTTATTTCTGTTCTGATATTTGTTATTCCCTTCCTTCTTGTAACTTTGGGCTTGCTTTGTTCATTTTTTAGCTCCTTGAGGTGTAATGTTAGGCTATTTATTTGGGGCCATCTTCTCTTTTAATGTAGGTATCTATTGATCAGTACTCTTAAGAATCTTAACTTTGGTGGTGCATACATGAACTTAACATGGGTGGTAAATTTATCTAGAACTAAACGCGCCTAAATACATACACAGACACACAGATAAGTATAAGTAACACTGGAGAAATCTGAACAAAATCAGTGAATTGTATCCATGTCAATATTCTGGTGTGATATACTAAAATGGTTATTGCTGGGGGAAGGTGAGTTAAATGTACCTAGGATTTCCCTGTATTATTGTTTGCAACTGCATATAAATCAACAGTTATCTCAATAATAAGTTCAATTAAAAAACCAAAATTTTATGCATATATCAATATGACATGCTTAAAAGAAGACTTGTAAATTTGCCTTTGCAGAAGGAGGGAAAGGTCGTGAGTGATTCCCACTTCTCTTGGAAAGGCCCATAGTTAGCCCATATTCTCTGAGCCCACATGCAGTGTGCTATTCACATCCCAATAATGCCGATTGATAAATGACACACAGTTTTTATACTTTTTACTCGAGACTTTTACAAGGATAAGCTTAGCTGAATTGTACAATAACATTGTAAATTAAGCTATTTGAACTTTATTTTACAAGAAAGCAAAAGTGTTGCAAAATGCCTTGCTAAATGCCCACAGATGGTGAATGATAAGGAGTTAAACATAGCTGTTTGCTCCAAGTCCAGAGCTCCAAGCTGCTTGTACTGTCTCAGCCCCATTCTTTTTTTTTTTTTTTTTTTTTTTTTTTTTTGAGACAGAGTCTTGCTCTGTCACCCAGGCTGGAGTACAGTGGTGCAATCTTGGCTCACTGCAACCTCCATCTCCCGGGTTCGAAAAATTCTCCTGTCTCAGCCTCCTGAGTAGCTGGGATTACAGGCATGTCCACCATGCCTGGCTAATTTTTGTATTTTTAGTAGAGAGAGGGTTTCACCATGTTGGGCAGGCTGGTCTCAAACTCCTGACCTCATGATCTGTCCTCCTTGGCCTCACAAAGTGCTGGGCCACACCCAGCCCAGCCCCATTCTTAACAAGAGATCCTATTGCCCAGATTCAAAGGCTCTGTGGGAAACAAGGATACCATTTACAGTACTGGTGAGAATACAGAACGTTTCTCTTTCTTAAGCCTTGTATAGTCACCACCCCCACATTCATGCCTGCCGCCAGCCTTGGTTGTTGATAATGCCATGAACACTAGGCTCAGGCCATAGAGCTGTGCGGGCTCTAAGCAATGCCCACTCCTGAGATGGGGCTTATCAGCTGCAGAGACCTCCTTGTCCGGGTTTGGAAAATTCCAAGGGTCAGAGTGCAACTGAACTTTTTCTTTTGCAATTTGCACCTGTGGGTCCTAGTGCTACCTCTGGAGTTAGCACTTCTTTCGTATGCCAGTTCTCCCAGGGTCTGCTGGCAGTGTGCTGGAAGTGGCTGGTGCTGCGGGGCAGCTGTGGGCAGAGGACCAGGGGAGCCACTCCTCCTGGTACACTGGGAGATGGAGGTGACAGCCTGAGCTATATGGGTTCCCTTAGCAGCTGACACATTCTCATCTCAACCCAACAAGGATGAAAGATCTACCTTTGGGGAAAGGTGATGGAATCATAGCAATGATGTTCTAGGAATCCAGTTTCTTCATATTTGAGAAAATGACTTACATGTGCAAAAATGTCTATGCTGGAAATAATACAGCTTTATACAATATAGCACTCTGATTTGAAGAACCTTGCCCTGCATTCTCTTGTGTGAACCTGCCCACAGCCATGTGACACGAGCCAGGCAGCACTCTTGCATTTAGAACTTGGCAGAGATAAAAATGAGGCTCCACACCTAATGCTTTCCTTCAGTACTGGATTCAGCCGCTTCACTTATTTTTTTCTGCCAAAACACCACTGTATTTTCAGCCTCCCAGGTACGGGGACGAATTTAAGGCTGCCTGCCCAGTAGACAGTTTAGTGTGGGGTAAATAGCACCATTCTAGCTTCATGGCTTCCCCGAGCCCATCCTGCTCTGCCCCCGGCTGGCCGCCTGTCGTTCCAGCCTCGCCCTGTTTCCCTCCGTCCCCTCTTTAGCACTTGTTCTCTTGGTCCTCATCTTTCTTCCAGGAGGGCATGTCCTGGGTCCCTGTGCCTAGGATCTGTTTCCCTTTCCTGCACTGCCCTTTCTCCTGGCTCTTCTTTTCCGTCGCCCTCCCCCTCCTACCAGCTTGCTCCTTGCCTTAGACACAGACATTGACAGGTCCAGCGAAGAGCGCCTTTGCTGCAGCCCAGTGTGTCCAGATCTTCCCGCACCTGTGCCGCCTGGCGCTGCTGAGGCAGGGACTCCCGTCTCCCCAGGAGCTACCTGGAGGAGGCTCAGAATCCATCCTAAGGAGTTTGATGACATATGTGCCAGATCGTGTAGAGGTGTCCAGGTATGCCCCACCATGTGGACCGTAACACAGACACGCGGGATGGATGGACGCGTCCCCCCTTGGAAGTGTCCAGAGAGTGCCAAGGGCAGGCTCTCCATCCTCGCTGGGAGCATAGCCAGCGCCACACACAGAGGCCAGGTCTCAGCTCAGCCTGGGAGCGCCCGGTTCTTTTTACTACTCTGTCTGCCTCCCTTTCTGAGTGTAACAGTTCCTCTCCTTCCTTCTTCACCTCTTCCAATCTGTCCCAAACACCAACTTCCCCAGGGATTCACGTCCCAAATCCTTAACCACCACATGGGACAAGCATCAACCCCGACACGAATCAAGCAGAATCCGTACCAACCAGGACCCCAGAGGTCCCTTCAGGACCTCAGGGAGTAGGGCTGGGTCGGGGGTGTCTTGAGGAAAGCCAGGGTGACCCGAGGCCCTGGGGGAATCTCAGTCTTGTAAAAAAGCGGCTTGGCCACAGCTGTGGTTACCACTCATCTCTCATGAGCGCTCTCATCATGCCTCCCTACTTTCCTCCTTCCGCGAGTCTGCAGGAAGGGTTTTCTAGGCCCCTTTGCCCATTTCCCATCCACTCGGCCTCAGCACAGCCCGTAGCGGCCACCAGAGGGCGCCCCTCTCCTGCAGCTCCGCATCCCCGCACAGCTGAAGTCCAGCCAAGCCCTGGCCTTGGAAGACCCTTCTGCTTTGTAACCTGACAGAGGCGCGTGGAGGTGGGGGGGCCCTCAGAGCTGCAGAATGGACAAAAACTCAAAAAGGGTGTGAATTTCGCCATGAGGTCCGGGTTCCTGGGGCTTCGCTGTTGTTCTGTTTATTTTACCCGAACCCTCCTATACCATCTGTATGAGAAAATATTCTCAAATATTGAATCATGTAGGACTTTTTTTTTCTTTTAAAGGATTTGATATGTTAATGGGTTAATTTGGGCAGAGATACCTCCATCTCCAATCCCCTTCTGTCAATAACAGCTCTAGTTACCATGAGAACTTTTGGGCTTTTCTTAAACAGCCCATTCTCCTGTTCAATCTTTTTGGTAATCAAAATAGCCTCCAAAGGGCATTCTTTTAAAATCCCATAAGATCCTTCATCACTTTTGTCACCGTAGAAATAATAAACACATAAATAACCCTCCAAAGGCAAAAAATTTATCAAAAATGAGATATCAGAAATATAAAAATTCAGTGGCTCTTGGTCAGCTGGTGCTGGAAGACCCGTGGCTTACAGAAGAGAGAAGGGACCTCTGAAGTTCTGCACAGTTGTTGAAAAGCCAGATGCAAAATCTGTACCTAAGACTGGTGCGTGAGAGACTCACGTTCCTCCATTTCGAATCTGGTTAACTTGCTATGATTGAGAAGCTCGCTCACAAATCCTCACCCTCTCATTCCTATCCTTTCTGGATTGAGTGAAAGATTTTCAGGTTGTGAAGGCTGAAGAAAATGGCTGCTGACTTCACAACCTGTTTCAGCCAAATTGCAAAGCCCCAAAGGGTCAGTAAAATTCTTGCTGGGCTTCATCAGACATTACATTTCATAGGGGCACGGGAGGAGTGTGCTCTTCTGTCTAATGAAATGTGGGCCTTCAGCCTCACTTCCACTGTGATTCTTGAAAAACATTTATTTCCTCACTAACGGTTCAGTGTTCAGCAACCTGGGAGGTTTGCCCTAGTACTATTCTACAAGGTCACAGGTATACTTTGCAAGGTTCTGCCTCTCTTTCTCTCGGAGAGCTTATTCTCTCTTGTGGCCTAAACCTCACCTCTGTCTGCACATGACACTCAAATCAGTTTTTTTCTGCTTTATGCTTGTGTCTCCAGAGCTGTTTCAATGACTGTATTCGGAGTCTCTGCTTGCAGCGTGCTCTGCATGAGAACAGGCACCAAGCCTGCCTATAATTGGAAGATCTGCCTGAATTTCCATAGTGAAGGTCTACACTGCCTCCCAGCCCATTCATTCCCTTCATCATTTCATTCCAGTAGTTTTCTAAAGTGTGGCCACTATGTTGTTGATTATGGCAACCCAGCATCCACACAGGACAACAGGGGGCCCAGGGCCAGTCCTGGTTGCTGCTTATATTTTGGCCCCAGGGATCCATCTGATTTTGTCATTGAAGTGCTGGCACATCCATCCCCACTGATGTTTGTCAAATGATTTCCCAGCTCAGATTGGAATCTCAAAGGTAATTTTCACAAAATTGGAAACAGCTCCTCTGATATGTCCCTGAAAACAGTTTTTGTTGCCCATATGGAGGATGTGACAGGACATCACTAGGAAGATGGACAGACTCAGCCTGCAACATCCCCTTTCCACTGCCAAAGTTGTTAGCAATCCAAACAGACTGTCACCTTGAGGCTCAAAGATCATCTTACCCCCAAACACTCTGACGACCTCTCTCCCTGTGTGCCTTGATGCAGGTACTGAGTCTTGCAGCAGAGCAGTGCCAGGCCCTGTGCTGAGGCCTGCCTGCCAGCAGGATTCGCTCCTTCCAGTAACAGGCACTGATTGAGTCCTCCCTGTATCACAGGCATCGGGGAGGAGTGGCAGGTCCAGCTGTCTATGAGCCAGACACCGTCTCTCTGTCTTCAGCCCAGCTGGATATGGAGAACATTCAACAAATAATTGCACATGTAGTTAATAATTACATTTGTGATAAATACCAGCAAGGAGAAGGATGTGTTGTCATAGAATATGCAACAAGATGGTCTCTGGGACTGGATGGGGGTGGAGAATCAAGAAGTGTATCTTGATGGATGGGCTCAGAGGGGCTTGCAGAAGAGGGACACCAGTGTTCAGGGTCATTTGGTGGCAACGCAGGATTGGCTGGAGCTGCGGTGCTCGTGTTCACCTTGCCAGCTACCATTTCACATCCTGCAGAGGAGGCAGGAGGCAGCCGTGGAGATGGTTTTTCACAAGACAGCAAGGAGATTAAGATGGTGGAGAGGAGGACTAGCTTAATGCTCCCACTTGGACGGACAGAGCAGTGTGTGGAGACTCACATTGTGAACTTCTGCTCCAAGAAGTACCACAGGAATCTACCAAGAAAGTCAAGAGAATCCACAGACCCTTTGAAGGAACTGGATCCCTGCTACAGGCTCCCTGAGATGCCAAAAAACTATGAGTCTGCTTATTTTCTCAGTGGGGAGGCTGGTGGTCTGGGGCAAGTTCTCAGCCCTGGTCACCAGCTGCCTGGAAGTAGACTCAGTGCTGTTGCCGGGGCACAGTGGAAGTAATACTGGCCTCTAGGACTGCCGGCTGCATGGGAGTGGGGTGAGGCCTATGATTGCCGGTTTTCCCCCACTTCCCTGGCAACCTGTGTAATGCAGCAGAGACAGCCATAATCTCCCTGGAAATATAACTCCATTGGCCTGGGGGCCACACCCCCACAGCAGCCACAGCAAGCCCTGCCCCAGGAAAGTCTGAGCTCAGACATGCCTATCCCTGTCCCCACCTGGTAGTCTTTCTCTACCCTCCCTGGTAGCTGAAGAAAAAGGCCATAGTCTCTTGGGAGCTCTGTGGCCCTGCCCAACACCTGAGAAACCTGAATGCTTAACCAGGTGACCCTAGGCCAAGTTTGCATCCTCCCTCATGCACCTCATGCACCTCATGCACTCTTGAAAGCACCACCTCCTGGCTGGAGGCCAACCAACACAAAATCAGCACAAAGCCAGCACACTAAACAAAAATACAACTAAGGACCCTCACAGAGTCCACGTCACTCCCCTGTTGCCTCCACCAGAGCAGGTGTTGGTATCCACAGCTGAAGACCTGAAGACAGATCACATCATAGGACTCTTTGCAGACACTCTCCAGTACCAGCCTGAGCCTGGTAGCTCTGCTGAGTGGCAAAAAATAATCACAGCGGTTTGGCTCTCAGGAATTCCCATCCCTACGGGAAGGAGGAGAAAACCACATAAAGGGAGCACCCTGTGGGAAAAAAGAATCTGAACAGCAGCCCTTGAGTCCCAGATCTTCCCTCTGACATAGTCTACCCAAATGAGAAGGAACCAGGAAAACAATTCGGGTAATATGACAAAACAGGCTTCTCTAACACCCCCAAAAAATCACACCAGTTTAACAGCAATGGATATAAACCAAGATGAAATCACTGAATTGGCAGACAAAGAATCAGAAAGTTGATTATTAAACTATCAAGGAGACACCAGAGAAAGGTGAAGTCCAACTTAAAGAAATCAAAAACATGATATAGGACATAAAGGGAAAAATCTTCAGTGAAATAGATAGCATAAATAAAAAACAATCACAACTTCTGGAAATCAAGGACACACTTATAGAAATGCAAAATCCACTGGAAAGTCTCAGCAATAGAACTGAACAAGCAGAAGAAAGAACTTCAGAGCTCGAAGACGAGGTTTTCGAATTAACCCCATCCACCAAAGACAAAGAATAAAGAATTTTAAAAAATGAACAAAGCTGCCAGGAAGTTTGGGACTATGTTAAGTGTCCAAACCTAAGAATAATTGGTGTACCTGAGGAAGAAGAGAAATCTAAAAGTCTGTAAAATATATTTGAGGGAATAATTGAGAAAAACTTTCATGGCCTTGCTAGAGATCTAGACATCCAAATACAAGAAGCTCAAAGAACACCTGGGCAATTCATCACAAAAATATCATCACCTAGACGCATAGTCATCAGGTTATCAAAAGTCAAGATAAAGGAAAGAATCTCAAGAGCTGTGAGGCAAAAGCATTAGGTAACCTATAAAGGAAAACCTATCAGATTAACAGCAGATTTCTCAGCAAAAACCCTGCAAGCTAGAAGGGATAGGAGTCCTATTTTTAGCCTCCTTGAACAAAACAATTATCAGCCAAGAATTTTGTATCCGGCGAAACTAAGCTTCAGAAATGAAGAAAAGATAAAGTCTTTTTCAGACGAACAAATGCTGAGAGAATCTACCACTACCAAGCTGGCACTACAAGAACTGCTAAAAGGAGCTCTAAATCTTGAAACACATCCTCAAAATACACCAAAATAGAACCCCCTTAAAGCATAAATTTCACAGGACCTGTATATCAATAGCACAATGAAAAAAACAACAAAGTATTCAAGTAACAAATAGCGTGATGAATAGAATACTACCTTACTTCTCAATACTAACGTTGAATGTAAATGGCCTAAATGCTCCACTTAAAAGATACAGAATGGGGCCGGGTGCGGTGGCTCATGCCTGTAATCCCAGCACTTTAGGAGGCCGAGGCGGGCGGATCATGAGGTCAGGAGATCGAGACCATCCTGGCTAACACGGTGAAACCCCATCTCTACTAAAAATACAAAAAAATAGAAAAAAATTAGCCGGGCGTGTTGTTGGGCGCCCTCAGCCTGTGAGAGGCTGAGGCAGGAGAACGGTGTGAACCCAGGAGGCGGAGGTTGCACTGAGCCGAGATCATGCCACTGCACTCCAGCTTGGGCGACAGAGCGAGACTCTGTCTCAAAAAAAAAAAAAAAAAAAAGATACAGAATGGGCCCAGTGCAGTGGCTCATGCCTGTAATCCCAGCACTTTGGGAGGCCAAGACAGGTGTATCACCTGAGGTCAGGAGTTCGAGAACAGCCTGGCCAACATGGTGAAAACCCAAATACAAAAAAATTAGCTGGTCATGTGGGTGCATGCCTGTAATCTCAGCTACTCAGGAGACTGAGGTGGGAGAATTACTGGAACCCAGGATGGAGATTACAGTGAGCTGAGATCATGCCACTGCACCCCAGCCTGGGTGACAGAGTGAGACACCATCTCAAAACAAACAAACAAACAAAAAGGAATGGCAGAATGGATACAAATTTACCAACCAAGTTTCTGCTGTCTTCAGGAGACTCAGCTAACACATAAGCACTCACATAAACTTAAGGTAAAGGGGTGGAAAAAGATATTCCGTGCAAATAGAGACCAAAAGTGAGTAGGAGTAACTATTTTTATATCAGACAAAACAAACATTAAAGCAACAGCAGTTAAAAAAGACAGAAGGCAGTTTGTGGGGAAGAGGGGGCTTAGGGAGCACATAGCACTGGGCAGACCTGGTGGGGGCAGGAGGGCTGGAGAGTGAGGCTTGGAAGTTTCCTAATTCCATGGGCCAGGGTCCTGCCAGTGTTTATCTCTACCTTTCAAAATCTGTACTATCATTGGAGTCAAATGTACATTTGCACACAAAAACTAAACAAAGAAATGAAAACAAAAGTCTGCCCCATGTCAAACCAACATCTGGGATGCCTGCTCAAAGCCAGCTCTTGTTTCTGTTTCTTCTTCTGTTCCTCTGGAGGATCTTCTATCCCTCATTTCTTGATTTAGATACTTTCTATTATTCCTTGCCTCTTCTCTCTTTCCACTCCCTCTCAATTTTTCTTAGTTATGGTCTGATTTTTACTTCTTTTGCCTTTAAAACTTTTTATGAGTTGTGTGAGCATATTTTTCTGGTTGCACCAATTTGACAGTCTCTCTTGTCTCCCTTTTATCTGAGATGAGGAAATATTTTTCCCTGTGCTTCCCTTCTGCTAGTTTCCGGAGCTGTACCTGACTTTCACATTTATGACGTTTTAACTCTTACACTCCTATTCCTTAATCCCAAGTCTCCTGGGCTTGCTCTAGATGTTGACTGAAAACTAAGAAGCAGCCTTCACAATATTAGGAGGATTGTCACTGCAAACAGGAGTGTAGTGCACTTGGCTGCAGATAGAAGGACCTGGGATTCCCAGACTGATACATCTAAGAAGCACATACTAAAATTCAAAGTCAAGTCAAATGAAGTCTCAAACACTTTTGTAGCCTATCTAAAGGTATAAAGCAGGGATTCGCAAATATTTTCTGTACAGAATCAAATAGCAGATATTTAGGCTTTGGGGCCATAGGGTGTCTGTCACAGCCACTACCCTCTGCTGTTGCAGAGTGGAAGCAGCCATAGAAACTGCAGGATAAAATAAGTGTCATGAGTTCCAACAAAACTGATTTACAAAAAGAGGCCACTGCCAAACCCTGGTCCAATGCAGAGGATCAAAAACCCCTGGAGGGCTTGCTGAAGGCAGATTGCTGGGTGCCATCCACAGTTCCTGATTCAGCAGGTCTGGGGTGGCCTAAGGATGTGTATTTCTAACAAGTTTCCAGGAGGTGTCCATGCTGCTAGCCCATGGCATGTGCTTGTTGCTTGGCACTAAAGCATGACTCTCTTCTACATATTTGTGAGTTTCCTAGAATTCCCAACATTTTCCCTTTGTTTTAAACTTGTCCTCTGACTTATCACCAAGATTTTCCACCATCGTGATGCTTTTGCTTTCACAAGTCTGCTTTCTTCTTAAACGTTTCTCCCTAGCAACATTTGCACCTGCACTCCCCTGACCTTGCACTGTGGTAGACCAGTTGCTCTCTAAGTCTGCTGCTCAGTTGTCATCTGAGATAGTCCTTTATTGTCTTGAGGATGGGGCTATGTCTCCTTTTGTCTAGGATTTTTATTGGTTTTACTGCAGAATATCATCAAGGATTTATCTTTTTCACTGAAGATGCATAAAGGGTAAACATTCTGAGGCCTAGGATGACTGAAAATGTGTTTATTTGGCATCGACACTCAGTATAATTTTTTTTTACCAGGTGTAGAATTCTAAGTTGAAAATAATTTCCTCTGTGGACTTTGAAGTTACTGCCTCATTGTATTCCAGTGTTACTAATGAGAAATCTGATGCGAGTTTGACTGTGATTTCTTTACAGATGCCCTGTTTTGTTCCTTCTCTTCTAAAACATCACAATGATGCATTTAGGGGTGGGTGATTTTTTTATATCTCCTGATCAACCGTCGGTGACTTTTTAAGTCGAGATGCATGCAGCACCTCCTCATAGCTCTGGAAAATGTTCTCCTAATAGGCTATTCTTTGATCATTTCATTTTTATCAGTTTCTGTATTTTCTCTTTATGTAACTCTTTGGACTTCCTGGATTTAAATGCTCTTATTAAACTTTTTTTCTCATATCTCTCTTCATGTTTTCTCTTTTTATGTACATGCTGACAGTTGTCCTTCAAGTTTTCTTTCAGACATCGTGTCTTTATTGTAATGATTATATTTCTAATATTTAAGAATATTTTATTTTCTGATTTCCTCTTTTTCATTGACATATGCCCTTGTTTAATGGGTGCAATATTGTCCAGCTTCTCTTTAAGATACAAGTTAGAATATTTTAAAAGTGTACTACATTTGATGAATTTTTGAATTTTTGCCATCTTTCTCCTGAGTCAATTATTCTGTTTATGCATCTTGGCCTATTATGAATAGAATGTTTGTGTCTCCCCCAGATCCACAGGTTTAAGCCATAATGCCCGGTGTGGCTATATTTGGAGGTGGGGGAGGGGGGTCTATAAAGAACTAAAGTTAATAAGATCTTAAGGGTGGGGCTTTGATCCGAAGGGATTTGTGTTCTTATAAGAAGATACACCCCAGTGCTCTCTCACAGCATCTCTCTGTCTCTTTTCATGCAAGCCCCAAGGAAAGACCATGTGAAGACACATGGAGAAGGTGGCTGTCTGCAAGCCAGGAAAAGAGCCCTCACCAGGAACATGTTGAGAGAAGCAGTCACACAAACGTAGTCTTTTGACCTCTGTACAGTTGCATAGGAGTGTGCCTTGGGTTAGGAACATTTTCTTACAAAGAGATAAAGAGCTTTCACAGCCTGCGCTGTCCATTACCCTTTATGGGGAACCTCTTTCTCTGTTCTGGACTGGAGGCGTACTTCTTCGTTCTACTAAAGCATGTGCATCATATGGCACCTGAACGACCCCACTGCTGGGAACAGGGGCCTTTGTCTATAGCATGAGTGTGTGGAACATCTCCCTGTGCTGGCTGTGGGGTGAGACCCACTGGCCATGAGGGATCAACAGTCGAAACTGAAGCTGCTCTTGCTCTGTGTCTTCTCTATGTGCATAAAGCGTTGTTCCATCCAGTGCCTGCATGAGTCGTGCCTGAAAATCATGTGGTGGGTTGACGTCTTGGGATTACTGCTCCTGGAGGCAGGCATTGTTATGCTTTCTGTTCTCCACTGTTTAGTGGGACTCTGCTGCTGGAGGTGGTCACAGGTGTCACTTGCTTGACTTGGACTTCCAGCCTCCAGAAACTTAATCTTGAACTTGCATCCTCCATCACTGTGAGAAAAAATTTCTGTTGTTTGAAGCACTCAATCTATGACATTTTGTGATGTCAACCTGAGCAGACTAAGACATGACCCCTCTTTTGTATGTAATTAGGTTTATTTAATATTGAATGGACTTTGTTGATCCTCAGGTTTATTCCCCTACCCCTGGATGACAGACTGCAGACTGCTGCCCCCATACAAACATGAGGGTAGCTTTATTTGTAAGAGCTGACATCCACATAGGGAGCCCTAACACTCCCTCTGCAGTCCAGTGACAATTATGTTGACTGTCAGTGAATGTCCAAGTCAGTGTGTGTTCAAGGGGCAGCCAGCTGACATTTGCCTGCAATGTGGATGTGGCAGCACATCCTGCCAGTGTGGCAGAGGGGGGACCCTGGCCTCAGCATGGGAATGTTCCCTGGAAGGCTCAGTCCTTTCATCATTCAGGTTATCATGGCGTCATCATTCGTGTAATGTACTGTGAGGCCATGTGGCCCTCACTCATATATACCTGACATGTGACACAAATTCACTGTTTGTTTTATTATAGAATTTTTTTCACTTAATACAAAGTGGAAAACTTATAGAAAGCACAAGCATATTTCTGTGTGTTCTCAGTGTCTTTGGGCCATAGTTTCTGCAGAATATCTTGGAATTGGTTCACTTGGAGCATAATGCCAGAGCAGCATTTTCCTAACAGATATCTCAGGGTTGGTGAGGCACCTCCCCTTGTCAGAGAAAGAGCACTGGACACTGTTAGAGGCAGCAAGACAGATTTCACTCAGACTACTGCAGTAGGGCAGAGAGGCTCCAGTATGAATCAGTTTAATTCCAAATAAGACAAAGGTGACTGGGGATTTTCAAAGGGAGATCTGATAGGGCACACAACGAGATTATGGGAAGTAAAAAAAGGGGGACCAGAAAAGAGACTGGGGGCTATAAGTAGGAAGCTACAGAGTGGAGTTGCAGAGGATTACTGAAAATGGTTTGGCCTTGTGGGTTGGGACAATTTACATCTGGCAGTTCAGGAGCATTGCATTTTCTTGAGCAGAGACTCACACAAGAGCTGTGTCACTTTTAGGCACATGACTAGTGCAGGTAGAAGCCAGGCTGAAGTGTGGCCAAGGATCTCAGCACTGCATGTGGGCAAGTCCTTTGGGTCATTGGGGAGTTCACAGTTCACACCCCAACCCAAATAAAACATTTGGAAACAAAAACATTTGGAAATCACGCAAGGTCTATCTTCCCACTTTCCCACCTGTGGACATATAGGAAGTTTTGCATGAAAGAAACTTTGTTTTCTGTCATGCAACATTTCTCAAACATTCTTGGTATCCTACACGAAATCTATTTATATCCAACATAACTAATGTTCTGAGGAACCCACTTTATGAAACAGGATTTTGTACTGCTATTAGTGGTGAGTCACAATAAGAAGGGAAAGATACCCAAGCTCGCATTGTGAGAGGTCATACAGAGATGGGTCCAAATGGAATCAGGAGTTGAAAGGCATAGAGATGTCCCTAGAAACTGGAGGAGACCACCAAGTTGTTCTAAAGCCAGGAGAAGAATCTAACATTGGCCTGAAAGCTAAAGCCTACCTGTGGGTACAAATTGGACAAAGGATACTTTGCTGGACAGTCAGAAATTCAGCTGTGGAGCACCAGGCTGGCAGTGAGCTCTGCCCTCAGGCACGCCGCATAGGCAGCACCAGGACTGAGGACATCTGAGGCTGAGAACGGATGTAAGAACCATCTTGGGTGTTGTGAGATGAATTGCATCCCCCCCAAATTCAGATGTTGAAGTTCTAACCACCCCTTTGGTGCCTCAAAATTCAGAACGTGACTGGATTTGGAGCTAGAGTGTTTAAAAAGGCAATTAAGGTTAAACGAGGTCATATGCCTGGGTCCTAATTCAATATGACTTCCGTCCTTAAGAGGAGATTAGGATGCAGTCCTGCACAAAGGGAAGAACAGGCAGAGACAAAGGAAGATAGCAGCCATCTACACATCAAAGAGACAGGCCTCAGGAGAAAGCAACTCTGCTGACACCTCGATCTTAGACTTCTAGCTTCTAGAATTGCGAGAAAATAAACTTCTGTCACTTAAACCACTCTGTCTGTGGTATTTTGTTATGGCAGCCCTAATAAACTAATACACTAGGGGCACAGAGCAGGTGGGGAAGCCAGATGCAATCGGTCAAAAGAAAAAAAAACTATTTAGTAGCCAAAGAAGACAGGTGCAAATAAGCAAGCCACGGTTAGAGTCTACAACAGTTAGCTTAACTCTGAGCCTAACCCTAGCTGGCCAAGAGACACAGACCATCATGACAAGGGACTGGGGGACTGGACTTTCCAGGAGGACTGGAACACAGGACAAAGCAGTGGGCAGGACCCAGCTCCCCTATCAGACAGGGAAGAATCAGAGACTTGTAGCCACAGGGAGCTCTTCAAAATTCATGCTGGAGCTGGAACCAATCTCAAGATATGAATTGAGTTGAGAGATGTGAGATATTTAAGATGCTGATCATAAAGTTATCATGTCTGAGCCTGGAGCAGAGAGTACCGGTGACATGAAGCAATCCCAGTTGTTTTAGATGATTTAAATCTATGACAATTAGCCTTATCTCTGTGTTCATCACAACATTTGGACATGACCATGGCGAAGAAATTACTGCCAGTTGTACTTAATGGGCTCAAATTCAAGCTGAAGTTTTAAAACATGAAAATAAGAAGATTTTATTAATATATAAATTGTAATGTTTTCAAGGGAGAGTTAGCATCACAGTCCCTTTGCAAAATGTTGTCTAGGGAAGCTCAATTTAAGTGTTTCTCATTGGGCCAATGGAGACTTAACAGAAAACACATCTTGACAATAGATTTGGTCTGTTGAAATGATGACGTTTGTTGGCCAAGGACTGAGGATTCATGCTGTGCACTGCCAAGTCCTATGCTCTTCTTCAACTCTGCTACTGCCTGCTTTTCATTGTCGTCATTGGTTCTTCTTCCAGAGTACAAAGAAGAAAAGAACATAGGGCAAAAAGTGCTATTTGTGACTTTTTAGCACACATAAAGTAATTATAAGTAGGCATGAAAGCAAGGCATCCCAGAGTTTGGAAAGTTTAATAAACACACTTTAGTTAAAGTGTAGGTAAGTGGGTAAGTATGCAAAGTTAGACTTAAAAAAACAGACCGTGCAAAAACAAGACAAAATTGCATTTTAATTGATGATATTGATCTACCTGAAGAAGTAATGTGTCACTTAGAAGAAAAGAGTCCAGCGTGGATTACAAGAAGACATAATCAGAGATGCAAGTTGAAGGTCATTTAAGAAAACATGTCAGTGAAGTTCCTTCCAGGCCTGTGCTTGGAGGCCATACACATTCACTGAGTGAACTTACATATAAGACCTCTAACTAATTCCCATTGCTGTGAATCTATATGCACCACAAAACTTTCGGATTCTCATTTGACTTCCCTTAAGTCAGAATAAACTTTCAGTTTTGTGGTAGATAATTTTATTATAAAATAAAGAATTATTTTGCTTCATATATTGGTTTCCTGTCTGCTTGTTATTGTGGATTTTCTTCAGTGATGGCCCTCAGCCTCTACTGAGGCACAAACAAAACCAAGTTTTGCTATGGCAAAGGAGGTGGCGACTGTGAAATGCTCTAGTGCAACTCAGGACTGCTGGGGAGGCACCGGTTTGGAGCAGGCATGCAGGCATCCCTCTGCTGGTACCCTCTCACCTGACCTGGGCCTGCAATCCAGAACAACGCTTTTGGGAAGAAAAACTGATGTCTGGAACTGATAGGGAACCTGAAGAACTTATGTGGTTTATTATTGTGTCTGTGCCTTGAACTCTTTTTAGCAAATAAAATCTAATTGAGTTTAATTGAATTGAACATGGATACATTACATAGATAACATTTTCTAAGGCTACAGCTGCCATAGATAGTGATCGCTTTGATGTATCCAGGCAAAGTAAATAAAAAGCCTTTTGGAAAGGACTCACCATTCTAGACGCCACAAAGAACATGTGTAATTCATGGGAGGAGGTCAAAATATCAACATTAACAGGAGATTGGAAGAAGTGTATTCCAACCCTAAGGATGATTTTGAGGGGTTCAAGGCTTCAGTGGGAGAAGTAACTGCAGTTGTGGTGAAAATAGCAAGAAAACTAGAATTAGAAGTGGAGAATTGCTGCATCTCTTGATAAACTTGAATGGATGAGGAGTTTCTTCTTATGAGTTACCAAAGAAAGTGATTAGTTAAGATGGAATCTACTCATGGTGAAGATACCATGAACACCATTGAAATGACTACAAAGGATTTAAAATATTACATAAATTTAGTTAGTAAAGAAGTGGCAGGGTTTGAGAGGATTGACTTCAATTCTGATTGAAGTTCTACAGTGGATAAAATGCTATTAAAGGAAACTTGCTTAAGGAAAGAGCCCAGGGAGGGATAACTTAAGCCAGCATTTGAGTTGAGGAGACAGAATTGGGACAGAGTTGGCTCAGGGGAACCAACGTAGCTAGAGTTCATGGGACAGAGTACGAGGGAAGAGACAACGAGAGAGAGAGAGGAAGAAGAAGAGGCAGAGCAAAAGGAAGAGGAAGAGAAGAGAGGAAGAGAGGAAAGAAGAGAGAGACATTGAACTCCAGATATCTGCAAAGATGTCACTTGAGTCTCCAGGTTAGTATTGATAAGTGCATGTGTATGAAAATATCCAAGACCAAAGTACAGTCTAATGAAGTAGGCATAATAATTTCCAGGGATCACATGGAACTAGGGATATTTTGTTTCTATCAGCCAGAAAGGCAAACTGTTAAAATGCATGACACATTGGGTACAGTAATCGGAAATATATTGGCTCAGTAACAGAAAAAAAAAATAGCCCTTGATTAAAGGTTTGATCTATCCCACGTAAGAAAGATTAAAAGCAAAGCTAGAAAAGATCAGATTTGTTTCTAAATAACTTATCTGCGTCCTAAAACAAAACTAAAAAATTTTTTTAAATACAGTAATGTATTAACACATACTGAAACTCAATACATACAGAGAAACGAAGATAAGAATAAGAAGTCCAAGTGCAGCGGCTCATACCTGTAATCCAAGCACTTGGGGAGGCCAAGGCAGGGGATCACTTGAGGCCACGAATTTGGGACCAGCGTGGGCAACACAGCAGAACCCTGTCTTTACAAAAAAAAAATAATAATTTTTTTCCTTTTTGGTAGAGACAGGGTTTTACTGTGTTTTTTCGGGGAGAAGAAAAACTGATGTCTGGAACTGGCAGGGAACCTGAAGAGTTTATGTGGTTTACCATTGTGTCTGTGCCTTGGACTCTTTTTAGCAAGTAAAATCTAATTGAGTTTAATTGAATGTGTTCCCAAATAAAAGGCAGAGATTTTCAGATTGGGCAGAGAAAGTAAAACCAACATCAAAAAATTAACCTTCAGTCCCAGCTTACTCGGGAGGCTAAGGTGGGAGGATCACTTGAGCCCAGAAGTTCAAGGTTACAGTGAGCTATAATTGCACCACTGCACTGTAGCTTGGGTGACAGAGCAAGACCCCATCTCTAAAAAAAGAAAAAAGAAAAAGAAATCAGCTGGACATGGTGGCTCATGCCTGTAATCCCAACCCTTTGGGAAACCAAGGCATGCGGATCACCTGAGGTCGGGAGTTCAAGACCAGCCTGACCAACATGGAGAAACCCCGTCTGTACTAAAAATACAAAACTAGGTGGGTGTGGTGGCGCATGCCTTTAATCCCAGCTACTTGGGAGGCTGAGGCAGGAGAATCACTTGAACCTGGGAGGCAGGCAGATGTTGCGGTGAGCTGAGATTGCGCCATTGCACTCCAGCCTGGGCAACAAAAGCGAAACTCCATCTCAAAAAAAAAAAAAAAAAAAAAAAAAGAAAGAAAGAAAAAGAAAAACAACAGTGAAATAGTGGAAACAATAAGCCAGAAGATAGTGGAAAAACATCTTTCAAGTACTGAAGGAAAAATCTGGCAACCTAGAATTCTGCACCCAACAAAAATAGAAAAACCAGAAATTGACTTTCTCCATAAAAGCAGATAGGAATGTGCATCTACCTAAATGAATGAAGAACACTGGAAATGGAGATGTGTGTGTTAATATTTGGGTGAATACAATGACATTTTTATATTTTGAAATCACTCTGAAAATAGATGATTAAAGCAAAGTAACCATGTATTTTAATTTTAAAACAAATTCAGAAGTAAAATGTGACAACAATCATGCAATAATGGGAGAGGAAAATGTAAGTATACAGTTGTAAAGCTCTTATACGAGATTTGAAGTGGTAATATTATTTGAAATCAGACTTTCATAAGTCAAGATGCACATTATAAACTAAGAGCAAATAGCCATGAGTGAAAAAATAACTAAGAAGATAAATTAAAAGTATGAAAGGTGCTCAGTTGACCCAAGTGAAGGCAGAAAAATATAAGAAAGGAGAACAAAGAACAGATGGGAAACTATATTAATATCAAGGTATATTTCAGGACAAGGGATGGTGCCAAGAAAAAAGAGGGTCTTTCATAATGATTACAGGAGCAATTCATCAAAACAATATAATAACCCTAAATGTTATGCTCCTAATAACATAACTTCAAAATACATGAAGGAAAAAAATCTGAGAATTACAAGAAGAAACAAATTCACATTTATAGTTGGAGATCTCAACATCCCACTGACAATAATCAGTGAGAAGTAGATAGAAAATCAGTAAAAATATAGCCAACTTAAGCAACATTACCATAATCCTGACCTAATAGACATTTATAGAATACTCCATCATACATATTCCTTTCAAGTGAACATGCACTATTTACCAAAATAGACTATATCATAAACCACAGAAAAATTCTCAATAAAAAAGGACTGAAATCATCCACAATTCTTCTGACAACAATTATATTAAATTAGAAATGAGTAACATGAAAATCTGAAAAATCTTCAAATATTTGCAAATAATAAACATGACAGCAGAAATCAATGAAATAGAATAACAATCAGAAATAAAACTAAAATCCACTTTTTAAAAAGCAGTAATAAAATTAGTTCATTATTATCAGGAATTAAAAAGGGACATCACTACAAATCCTACAACTATTAAAAAGATGATTTTTAAAGTATTATAAACACCTCATTACGGTAAGTGTGGTAACTTAGATAAAGTGGACATATTTCTTGGAATATCCAAATTATCGAAGCTCTGAGTAGCTCTGTATCTATTTTTAAAATTGCATTCATAGTTAAAATATTCGCACAATAAAAATTTCAGACGTACCTGGCTCCACTGATTATTTCTACATTCAAGGAAGAAACAATAACAATTCTCAAAGTTTAGATAAAGAAAAAGGGATCAAATCATTAGTCTGGGTTCCTACCTCAAGAAACTGAAAAAAGGAGAGCAAAATACATTCAAGGTAAGCAAAAGAAAGGAAATAATAAAGATAAAAGCAGGAATTTATAACACTAAAAATATAAAAACAATGGAAGAAAACCAATAAATCAAAAGCAGCTTTTTTGAAAAGAAAATAAAAAATGATAAACATCTAGCAAGTTGACAAAGATATAAAAGAGAGAGACGTGTCACCAGTATGAGGAAGGAAACAGGAGTTATTACTGCAGATCATGTAGCCATTAAAAGAATAAGGGAATATTATGAACAACTTCACACTCATAAATTCAACAACTGAGAAGAAATGGATCAATTTCTCAAAAGTCACAAGCTATGAAACTCAATCAAGAAGAAATAGAAAATCTGATTAGTCTTACAATCATTAAATTAATTGAATACATAATAAAAATCTCCCGCAATGAGATGTTCAGGCCCCGATGGTTTTACTAGAGAATTCCACCAAACATTTAGGAGAGAATTGACACAAATTTTATGCAATCACTTCCAGAAAATAGAAGAGAAGGAAACACTAACTCATTTATGAAGTTAGTATTACCCTAATACAAAATTAAACAAAGAGTACAAAAAACCCCCAAACTATGGACCAATATCTCCCATAAACTTGGATGCAAAAATCCTCAAAAGTATTAGCAAATCAAATCCAAATGCATAGAAAGAATTACACGTTTGACCAAGTGGGATATATTCCAGAGATATATATCTGGTTCAATATCTGAAAATCAATTAATATAATAATTATATCAATAGGCTAAAGAAAAATCATATAATCATATAGATATCCTCAGAAAAATATGACACAATCCAACACTCATTCAAAAGACACGCCTATCACTCGGGAAATTGCAGTTCTGTGCCAGGAACCAGGGACAAAAACCAAATATATTTCATCTTGTGTATCCATAGGTTCTGCATCTGTGGATCCAACCTATCATGAATCAAAAATATTTTAAAAAAATGGAGTTCGTATTGAACATATACAGACTTTTATCATTATTGCAAATAATACTGTATAAGTATAATAATTATTTACATAGTGTTTACATGGTACTAGGCAATATAACTAATAATAGAGATGATTTAAAGTATATGGGAGGAGGCGCATAAGTTATATGCTAATACTATGCCATTTTATATCAGAGACTTGAACACCTGGGGATTCTGATTGTCAGTGGGAGGTTCTGGAACTCTGCCCCATTGATATCGAGGGATAACTGTACATGAAGTTGACGCTTGAACAATGTGAGCATCAGGAGCTCCCCTCCCCGACATATATGTGGATTTTTGTGCAGTCAAAAATCCACATACGACTTTTGACTCCCCAAAGCTTAACTACTAATACCCTGTTGAGTGGAAGACCTACTGATCACACAAACAGGTGAGTGAAAAAATCTTTGTATGTTATATGTATTATGTACTGTATTCTTACAATAAAATAAGCTAGAGAAAAGAAAATGTTATTAGGAAAATCGTAAGGAAGATAAAATATATTTACTATTCATTAAGTGGAAGTGAGTCATCATAAAGGCCTTCATTATCATTGTCTCCATGTTGAGTGAGCTGAGGAGGAAGAGGAAGGGAAGGGTTTGGTCTTGCTGTCTCGGGGTGGCAGAAGAAAATCCACATATAAATAGATTTGCACAGTTCAAACCCATGTTGTTCAAGGGTCAATTGTATGCATATTTTATTAGATACACAATAAGGGATATTATGTAGCTACAATAATCAAGACAATGTTTATTAGCAAATAATAGATACACAGATAGATGGAACAGGATAAAGAACCCAAAAATAAACCCACACAAATAAGCCCAACTGACTAATAAAGGAATTCATTTCAACAGAGATGATAAAGCAATTTAATGGAGGAAGGATCGTCTTTTTAACAAGTGACGCTGGAACAATTTGGCATTCATAAGCCAAAAAACGAACATTGTCCTAAACATCACAGCCTACACAAAAGACTAACTCAAAGTGCATCACACACACAAATGCAAAACATAAATTAGAAAACCTTTTTAAAAAGACAAATGAAAATCTTCCACGATATATGGCTAGGCAAAAACTTCTTAGACTTGGCACAGAAATCATGATCTAGAAAGGGGAAGAAAAAATTGATAATAGGACTTCACCAAAACTTTTGCTCTGTGAAAGCCTATGTGAAAAGAATAAAAACCTGGGAGAAAATATTTATAAACCACGTATCTAAACAATGACTTGTATCTATAATGTATATAGAACACTTAACACTCAACAGTTAAAAATCAATCCAATGAGAAATTAGCAAAATATATTTCACTAAGTAGGACAGACAGATGATGAACATATGAAAAGACGTGCAATATCATTAGCCGTTAGAGAAATGCACATTAAAATCCCAGTGAAATATCACTATACACCTGTCAAAATGGCTAAAACAAACAGGCAAACTAACAGTGATGACACCAAATCCTGGCAAAAATGCCACATAACTGGATAACTCATAGATTTTTGGTGGAAATATAAAATGGGACAATAGTATGTACAGCCTCTCTGGGAAAGGTTCAGCAGAAACACTTCTTACAAAACACTTACAGTATACTTATTATACAACCCAGGAATTACACTCTTGGGCATTTATCCCAGAGAAATGAAAACTTATGTTCACAAAAAACCAGTATGTGAATATTCACAGCAGTTTTGTTTATAATAATTGAAAACTGGAAACAGCTCAAATGTCCCTCAGTGGGCAAATGGTACAACTGTGGTACATGCATATGGAACACTCAGAAATAAAAAGGAACAAACTATTAATATGCTTAACAACTTTGGTGAACTCCAGGAATTTGTGCCCACCAAAAAAAAGAAAAATAAAGCCAATCGTAAGAAGTTACATGTGATATGATTCCATTAATATAGCACTCTCGAAATGACAAAATTATAGAGTTGGAAGACAGATTAATGATTGCCAAGGGCTCAAGATACAGGGAGAGGCTGTGACTATGAAGGTTAGTAAAGAATTGTTGATGGGTCTGTTTGTATCTTGACTGTGGCGGTGGTCACACAAATCTATAAGTAAGGTAAAATTTCATAGAAATAAATATCCACACACAGACAAATGAGTGCATGTAAAGCAGGTGAAATTTGAATAGAGGCAATGGATTGCATCAATGCCAGTGTCCCACTTTTGATACTGTACTCTTGTCATGCAATATGTTACCACTGAGTGAAATTGGGGGAAGAGTTTATGGGATGTGATTATTTCTTAGAACTGCATGTGAATCTATAATTATCGTAAAATAAAGAGTAAAAAATGTATAAATACCTCATATACTGGTGCTTAGTCTACCACTAAAATTTGGAGATGACTCAGAAGTTGTCTCCAGAACCTGAACTGAGCAGCCTAGCTGGGGTCTCAGGTGAAGGAGCCCTGCTCAAGGGGCTGGATTACCCCCATAAACTCAGGCTTAAGGTACAGCAAAGCCAGCCTTGGTGGAGAAGTGTGGGGTTGAAATATTTTGATAATTGATATTTTAATAGAAGCATTTCAGTAGTCATTATGAGGGGGGAAAGAGGAAAATCAGTAAATAAATGTAGAAGGAATGAACAAAATAGAAAAATCACCATAGTGTAAACTAGTAAAATAAGGGATTCAGATAAGGATCATCAAGAGATGCTGAAAAGCAGTAAAGGCAGGGTAATAAGGAACACGATATTCCTGCAGTCTCATAACATCACCCCATGGAGTGCTTGCGGACTGGAAAGGGTAAACATACCTTAGATAACGGAGCACCGTTACACATTTAGCTATGCAATACAATTAACATCACTAACAGAAACTTCCTAATATTATGTGCCTCTTGGTGCAAGGTGGTATGAAATACACAGAAGCCGTATTCTTGCCAAAAATATTTAGTACAAATCTAAACAAGCTTTTAAATCTAGTTTCTCAGTTGTATGAAATATGGAAAATAGAAGATTCAACCATGAATCCAGAATACAAAATATTCCACAAGCTCAGTTCCCTCAATAAATCAATACCACGACAAAAGAAAAAAGGAGAGGGCTTTCTTTATTGAAGAGACGCAATAACAAAATGTAATATGCGAATGTAGACTGTATTCTTGTTTTAATAAAATTATAAAAGTCATTTTTGAAGCACTTGGAGAAATTTGAATATGGACTGTGTACGAGATGATAGTGGGGATTAGTTTAATTTTCTTCGCTTTGATTATGGGGGTGTCATTTTATAGCAGGATATTTCCATTTTAAGGAGATATATAATGGACATTTTTTAGTGGTGAAATGTCATATTGACAGTATCTTCCTTCTGAAAGAAAAAGTATGGAAGAGACAAAAATAGATCAGAAAGAGCTTTTCCCCAGTGTCTCAGAGACGTTTTCTACCTGGACTGGATGTTGTGTACTGGATGCGCTCCGAATGTGACTTCAAAGGGAACGTAGTTGGGTGCTTACTAAGTGCCAGTCTTCTTACACAGCAGGCTTTTAGGGATTATCTCGTTTAGTCCGCACAGCAATCCTCTCAGTTGAAATGCAGTAGATTGTCTATTAAGATTATCTGAAATAAGAATCTTCTCGGGCAGATGAATTGGTTCTGAGAGTCAGGAGAGTGCATCAGGAAGTGAGATCATGGAAAAGTGGCTTTCTTAAGAAGGGAGTGAAGCTTCAAACATGGATTCACTTTTGGACATGTAGCGAATCGAAGATTTGGATTCCTTAACCGAGAATGCTTTTAAGAAATTGAACTTCCTGGCCGGGCGCCGTGGCTCACGCCTGTAATCCCAGCACTTTGGGAGGCCGAGGCGGGCAGATCACGAGGTCAGGAGATCGAGACCATCCTGGCGAACACGGTGAAACCCCGTCTCTACTGAAAAATACAACAAATTAGCCGGGCGTGGTGGCAGGCGCCTGTAGTCCCAGCTACTTGGGAGGCTGAGGCAGGAGAATGGCGTGAACCCGGGAGGCGGAGCTTGCAGTGAGCCGAGATGGCGCCACTGCACTCCGGCCTGGGTGAAAGAGCGGGACTCCGTCTCAAAAAAAAAAAAAAAAAAAAAAAAAAAAAAGAAAGAAAAGAAATTGAACTTTCTTCCCGAGGACCAAATAGATTCATTTTGCCTTAACGAGATGTTAATACTTTGTGACTCAAGTGAGTTTATAAGTATTATATGTATTTCTACACAAAATGCAAATTTGAATAATAAAAATTTAGGAAATTTTTCCTGTATTCACTTTACATCCCTTAACTTCACATTCAGTTTTGAATGAGTAACAATAATGTGTGCAGAGCCTACCAAAGATGCAGAAAGGGAAAGCTCAGAACAAGCAGAAATAAAAGCTGTAACTTCTGAAAAAACTGAATTAATAGGCTGGGCGCGGTGGCTCACGCCTGTAATCCCAGCACTTTGGGAGGCTGAGGCGGGCAGATCACAAGGTCAGGAGATCGAGACCATCCTGGCTAACACGGTGAAACCCCGTTTCTACTAAAAGTACAAAAAATTAGCCAGGCGTGGTGGCGGGCGCCTGTAGTCCCAGCTACTCGGGAGGCTAAGGCTGGAGAATGGCATGAACCCAGGAGGTGGAGCTTGCAGTGAGCCGAGATCGGGCCGTTGCACTCCAGCCTGGGGGACAGAGGGAGACTCTGCCTCAAACAAACAAACAAATAAAAACAACAACAAAAAAAACTGAATTAATAGCAAGTGTATTTCCTGATGCTGTTGTAGACCCAAAGAATACTAACGAACTGCTCCCTAATAGTTAGGCAGAACTTTTAGGCTTACATAGCATCAAGTAGTCTTTTCTAGGTATCTAAACGCTACAACCCCTAAAGACATGAATGGAATGGAGAAGAACCCAGTAGCTGCAGACATTGGACACAGTATACATTCTTCTTTGAATCTGTGTGATATTTTGAACTCTGTGTTGAGCTCTTCACATCTTGAATTAAATGAGGAAATTAATTGTGTTGATATACCTAATGCTAAATGACGAGTTAATGGGTGCAGCACACCAGCATGGCACATGTATACATATGTAACCTGCACATTGTGCACATGTACCCTAAAATTTAAAGTATAATAAAAAAAGAAAGAAAAAAATGAAAGATTTCCAAAGGATTATGTGAAATTTTATTTTATTGTTTAAATTATTTTATTTTATTTTATTGTTTAAATTATTTTATTTTATTTTATTGTTTAAATTATTTTATTTTATTTTATTTTATTTATTTTATTTATTTTATGTTATTTGAGACTGAGTCTCTGTTGCCCAGGCTGGAGTGCAGTAGCACGATCACGCCTCACTGCAACCTCTGCCTTCTGGGTTCAAGCGATTCTCCTTCCTCAGCCTCCCAAGTAGCTGGGACTACAGGCATGCACCACCAAGCCCGGCTAATTTTTATATTTTTAGTAGAGACAGGGTTTCACCATGTTGGGCAGGCTGGTCTCGAACTCCTGACCTCAGGTGATTCGTATGCCTCGGCCTCCCAAAGTGCTGGGATTACAGGTATGAGCCACTGCGCCGGGCCAGATTATGTGAAATTTTAGATAAACACAGAAGAATTTATGAATGACGATGAACAGGAAATGGAGAAAATTCTAATATCATGCGGTACTTTGTCAGCCAGAGTCAGTGACAATTATTAGGCTGATATGTTGACTGCCATGCCAGGGATGATCAAATCTCTTACCATCCACTGTCTGGAGGTGCCAACACCTGCTGAACTGGCTTTCCAGATCAATGAATTACAGTCAGACACTGTGTAATAATGTTTCAGTCAGTGACAAACCGCGTATACGACAGTGATCCCATGGATTATAACAGAGCTGAAAAATTCCTATAGCCTCTTGAAGTTGTAGCCATCGTAACATAGTGCAGTGTTTTCCTCCCATGTTTGCGGTGATGCTGTGAAAATAAACCTATTGCACTACCAGTCTTATAAAACGGTAGCACGTAGAATTATGTACAGTATTAATGCTTGATAATGGCAATAACTATGTTGCTGGTTTATGTATTTACTATACCATAGGTTTTATTGTTATTTTAGAATGTATGTTTCTACTTATAAAAAAGGTTAACTGTAAAACAGCCTCAGGCAGGTTGTCAGGAGTTATTCCAGAAGAAGGCACTGTTATCTTAGGAAGTGACAGCTCCATGCGTGTTACTGCCCCTGAAGACCTTCCAGTGGGACAAGTTGTGGAGGTGGAAGACAGTGACACTGATGCTCCTGACCCTGGGTAGGCCTCGGCTAATGTGTGGGCTCATGTTTTAATTTTTAACAAAAAAGTTTAAAAAGTCGAAAGAGTAAAAATTAAATTAAAAAAGCTTATAGGATAAGAATATAAAGAAAGAATTTTTTTTATAGCTGGACAATCTGTGTTTTAAACTAAGTATTATTACACAGTAGTCAAAAAGTAAAAAACAAAAACAAAAAAATACTAAAACGCTCATAGGGTAAAAAAGTTACAATAAGCCAAGGTTAATTTATTACTGAGGAAAAATATATTTTCTTATAAATTTAGTGTTGCCTAAGTGCACAGTATTTATAAAGTCTACGGTAGTGTACCGTAATGTCCTAGCCTTCACATTCACTCACCACTCACTCACTGACTCACCCAACGCCACCTCCAGTCCTGCAAGCTCCATTAGTGGTACCTGCCCTAAACAGGTGTACCATGTGTGTCTTTTATACTGTATTTTTTACTGCACTCTTTGTATGTTTAGACATGTTTAGATACAAACATACTTACCGTTGTGTTACAGTTGCCTACAGTATTCAGTACAGTTACATGCTGTGCAGGTTTGTAGCCCAGGAGCAGTAGGCTGTACCACAGAGCCCAGGCGTGTAGTAGGTTATGCCATCTAGGTTTGTGTAAGTGTACTTAGTGATGTTCGCACAGTGATGAAATTACCTAACAACGCATTTTTCAGAACATATTCCTATCATTAAGAAACACATGATATTTGGCCATGTTGGAATGGATTTTAGGGTCTCTAACAGTTGAGGATAGTCTAGTTCATGTAGATTTGAACCTGACAAAAGTGACTTATGAGAAATTGCAAGAATTCTTGGCAGGTTTCTTTTTATGAAGAACTCCCTTTGTGCTCATTTTGTCACCTTTACTTTTGTCACCTTTACTTTCTATAACAAAATAAACCATGTTACATGAAATAATTCTATTGAATTTTGATTTTGAGAGAGAACTTTCACCAGTTAACACGTTGCTGATTTTGTTTTCCTCTAAGTTTTTAGATTAATATCAGATTAGGCAAATTATACCATTAGTGATGAAACTTAATGTGAATGATTGTTTCTGAGGGGAAAAACCTCGAAACAGTGAGATTTTTACTCTCTCAGTTAAATAATGCAATGCTGATTGATTGAGTTTTAAAAACAGTTTTTATTTTTTAAAGCAGCAGCCGAATTCTCTTAAGTGGAGGGATCGCATAGGTGTCCTGGAGCTCCACCATGGTGAGTGGAGTCACACTTTACAATTTTATTTATCCAGCTTTATTTGTTGACTTACATTTAATAAGAATGATTTTGTCACAATTCTAAAAGGCGAAATGATTTCTAGAAAAAATAATATAAATATATTTACTAATATACCCGTCCTTTGCCAATCTCTTGTCCTGCACATGTGTTTAGAAGTAACAAAAACAAGCTGTGTCCTATGGCAAGCTTACGGGAGGCCCTCCCCTGGTTGGGCATGTTGGACTTGATCATACTGAACAAAATTCATCTCAGAGAACAAGAAATTACTGCAGACTTTAGCAGCACCCGAAGTGTTACTCTGTCTAATTGGATCATCGGAATAGTCAAGTTTTTAAAAGTGTCACTCACGCCGGGCGCGGTGGCTCACGCCTGTAATCCCAGCACTTTGGGAGGCTGAGGCGGGCGGATCACTAGGTCAGGAGATCGAGACCATCCTGGCTAACACGGTGAAACCCCGTCTCTACTAAAAATACAAAAAAGTAGCTGGGCATGGTGGCGGGCGCCTGTAGTCCCAGCTACTCGGGAGGCTGAGGCAGGAGAATGGTGTGAACGCGGGAGGCGGAGCTTGCAGTGAGCCGAGATCGCACCACACCACTCCAGCCTGAGCGATAGAGTGAGACTCCGCCTCAAAAAAAAAAAAAAAAAAAAAGTGTCACTCACAGAAATAGCTAACAGAAGAAATTGCCTTACAGGAAAAATCACGACTTAAGAAGGAAGTCACTTATCTTTGTAATAGAATGTGTCATCAGACTGAAGAAGCAGCAGCTCTCCAAGTTACTCCTCGCCATTAACCAAAATTTGGAGGTGTACACTTTCAAGGACCACAGTTATTTCTTAGAACATACAGTGCAATTTTAAAACTGTGTTCTTGAAAGGAATCGTTTACAAAAAGTTATAGCACAGGAGTTTTTCATGAAAATGCAAATGTCACTTCTGCTGAATGGAAGGCTAAAGAGAAAAGGCAAAGAAAGAGACTCAAGACATACGAAGTGGGCCCGGTCGTGGTGGCTCATGCCTGTAATCCCAGCACTTTGGGAGGCCGAAGCAGGCGGATCACCTGAGGTCAGGAGTTTGCGATTAGCCTGGCCAACATAGTGAAACCCTGTCTCCACTAAAAATACAAAAATTAGTGGGGCGTGGTGGTGGGCACCTGTAGTCCCAGCTACTTAGGAGGCTGAGGCAGGAGAATCGCCTGAACCTAGGGACAGAGGTTGCAGTGAGCCAAGATTGCGCCACTGCCCTCTAGCCTTGGCAACAGAGCAAGACTCTGTCTTAAAAAAAAAAAAAAAAAGTGGACCATTTCTAGGCATTGGATGGTTGCAGAGGAGATGCCCTCATGCACCTACAGAAGTGGAGGGCATGCCCACCAGGTCAGTCCCCATAAGTAGACGTGCAAAGCTCATCACGCCTCCCTGTTGTCACCAAATGTCTCAGACCTCCATGGGCTGCATGTGGACAAAGCTAGAGAATATTTTATGACAATGCTACAGCAAAAACCTGAAGATTTAAGCAAAATGCCTCTCTGTGATTATGGGGGTTGAAAAGCATAGCCAGGGAGCAGCCACTGTCATCAGACCAGCTGCTGCCATAAAATGCCTCACAGCCACAACTTCTGGATCTCTGAAGTTAAACCAGACTTTAGCTCTGAAGTCGGGCTAAAGTAAAAGACACTTCCTTAACTTAGAACTGTGAAGAATTTAATAGAGAAACAAGGCTGAACACATCTGAATTTTGAAGAGCTATTTATGACTTCATGTCGTATATGACAAATTTTATTATCGTTCTCTTTAAAATCGAGCAATTGATTCTCATCATCCAAAGGGTGAACCTGTTTTTAATAAATGAATTAACTATGAGACTGCTCATTAAAATGTAATATTGCAACTATCTATGGAAGAATAGATTATACAATTTTCAGCCAGCATAAGAAAAACAAAAAGATTTTATTTGAACTATTAAAAAAAGTAATTTTCCTGTCAACTCTGTACTTTTTTATATACATTTTTATAACTTTGCTTTAAAAATTTCTTGTGAAACGATTTGCAAATTACATATAGTATAATAGTAAAATAAAATACTTTGGCCAAAAAAAGGATATTTACTAATATGCAATGTAGCCACACTTTAGAAGCTTATACAGACTTTATAATTGTCCTTGAAGGCCAGAAGTTTGTTTTGTCAGTCACTCTGCTTCCTTGGGTTCCACTGGCTTGGAGGGGCTCTCACCAGCATCTTCCATTGTCCCTGAAAGGGTTGTAGAGGTGTGCATTAGTTTCCTGGGGCTGTCATAACAAAATACTGTATAGTGAGTGTGGCTTGACCAACAGAAATGTATGGTCTCACAGTTCTGGAAGCAGGAAGTCCAAAATCAAGGTGGTGGCAGGGTTGGTTCTTCTGAGGGCTGTGAGGGAAAGATCTGTTCCTGGCCTCTCTCCTTGGCTTGTAGATGGCTGAGCTATAGTTTTGTTATTTTTTCCCTCCAAATCCCATGTTGAAATGTGATCCCCAATGTTGGAGGTGGGGCCTGGAGGGAGGTGTTTGGGTCATGGGGGCGGATCCCTCATGGAATGGCTTGGTGCCCTCCCTGTGGTGATGAGTGAGTTCTTTCTCTGTGAGTTCATGCAGGAGCTGGTTGTTTAAAGGAGCCTGGTGCCTCCTCCCTCTCTCTCTTACTCTTTCACTCACCATGTGACATGCCTGCTCCCCCTTCACCTTCCACCATGAGTAAAAGCTTCCTGAGGGCTCACCAGAGGCAGATGCCAGCACTATGTTTCTTGTACAGTGTGCAGAACAATGAGCCAAAATAAACCTCTTTTATTTGTAAATTACCTAGTCTCAGGTATTCCTTTATAGCAACACAAAACAGACTAGTACAGCTGCCTTCTCCCTCTGTCTCTTCAGATCATCTTCCCTGTATGTATGTACATCTCTGTGTCCAAATTTCCCCTTTTTATAAGGACACCAGGTCATATTGGATTAAGGCCCACCCTAATGACCTTATTAATTTCCCTTTTTATAAGGACACCAGTCATTGGGTTAGGGTCCATCCTAATGACCTCACTTGAAATCCTGCCTCCAGATGAGATCATGCTCTGAGGTATTAGGGATTAGGATTTAACATGAAAGTGAGGGGGATGCAATTCAGCCCATCACAGGGTGGATTCCCCTTCTGGGGCTGTGTTACTCAAACCATCCCAGGAAGGGTAACAGGGCCAGAGGAGCTGAAGAATTGTGAGCCCTTGTTTACCAGGCTTGGGGGGTTCTGTCTTGCACTACTACCCTGAAAACCCTACTGGTTGCCAATTGAATTTATCAGGGAACTCCAGTGCCCAGTGACAAAGGCTGGAAATCTTTTCTCCTAAAGATCTTTAAGGGTGCACCTGCCCTCACAGTCCCTCTGGCTCTGAGCTTGTGGCTCTATCTGTTCCCTATGCCCATATGAATGAGTTCTGCCTCAATCCCTGCTCCCCACTGTGGGGAACCAAGTACCAACCTCAACTTGCTGGGCAGATGCTACGTGACAGTCTAAGTGCTAAGCTCTTTACAGACATGGTCTCATTTTATCTTCCTCATAAGCCAAAGAGGTAAAGAATGACATCACTGTTTTACAGATGAGAAGGCCACATTGTGAAGAAATTAAGTGATTTGCCCGAGGTTTGTGTTGATCATTTCATTAAATGAAGTATCATATCTATCATACTTTTTCATTTATTAGAAACAAAATACCACTCATGGTAAGAACAAAGATGTGGAGGAGCAGTAGAAGAACAGAGAAGTAGGAGTGGAATTTCATGAGTCCCCAAACCGAAGACCAATACCTATGATTAGAAATACAGGGGACTCCATGTTCATAGTGGCGTTATTCACAATAGCCAAAAAGTGAAGTCACCCAGGTGTCCTTGTGTGGATGAATGGATAAGCAAAATGTGGTCCATGTGTATAATGAAACATTACCCAACCTCGGAAAGGAAGGACATCTTCTATACGCCAGAACATGGATGAACCTCGAGGACATTATGCTGAGTGAAATAAGCCAGGCACAAAAGAACAGACACTGTGTGATTCCACTTACATGAGGTGTCTGGAGTGCTCAGTCTCATGGAGACAGAAAATAGAATGGTGGTTGCCAGGGGATAAGGAGTTGGGGATAGCATGTTTGCATTTAATAGGTACAAAATTTCATTTTAAGAAGATGAAAGTTTTATAGATGGTTGGTGGTGATAGTTGCACAAAAAGGTGAATGCATTTAATGCCACTGGACTATATACTTAGAAATGACTAAGATGATGAGTTTTTATGTGTATTCACAACTTAAAAATAATTTTTAAAAAAGAAAGGAAAGGCACTGACCCCAACCCACACACTCAACAGTTTTTGAATCCAGATTTTCTGGCAATGATATAAAATGTCTTTTGATCCAATCACTCAGGAAGGTCAAGAGAAAACCCTGCATTTTTATTGGGAAGAATAGCCTCGAAGCAGGAGCATCGTTTAGAACCTGTCTGTGTGCATCTTCAGTAAACATTCGAGTAATAAATCACTGTTGCACTTGAAGGAAGGTCTCCAGGTTCTGGTGGTAGGTGTGGGGTTGGCAAGAGTGCAGCTTTAAGGTGTGAGCTCCGGGATTTCTCACTGAGGATAAGTTCATCTTTCTACCAGTTCTGCACAGTTGAGTCTAAGCACAGGTGGTGGTGGGGAGGTAAACATGGAGATGACCAAGGAAACACACTCTGACCCATCCCTGATTGCAAAATGAAAGGGTGTTGGATCCAGAATGTGGTTGGTACTTGATAGGTGCACTGTCCCTGACAAAAACGGGGCAGAGGGGTGACCTACACACTCCTATTTCTCATCTCCAGTTTGTTCCTTATCAACTACCACTTTCTCTTCCTGCCTCTCCTGAGTCTTGAAGTTTGTAAAGTCTGGTCTGGCTTACTCCTCATAGGTATCCAGCATTTAGTTTTGAAACATATCAACACTTGTACAAATGGCAGTTAGGGTGACTGTTATGAAAAGGAAATCTAATACACTATTCCTCCACTTGAAATCCTCCATGTCTCCCCATTCCCTGAGGCACATGATTGAAGCCCGAAGAACGCATGCCCCACCTGCTCCCTGCCCATTGGTCCAGCTGCCACGCAGACAAGGTCTGGCACCAGATCCATAGTCAGCAGTGCTGGCCCTGCAGCCTCTGCTAACGGGGCTCACCAGCCTGCAGCCTCGGCTCCTCCATACTCACCTGCCCACCACTACTAGCTCAGCCTACAACCTTAGCCAACTCCTTAGCCTCCAGGAAGACCTCCAGGTGGTTCCTCAACTTAGGTGTCTCTTCTAACCTTAATCCTGGAAGTTGACTTGCTGGTTGCATTATGATTCCTAAGCCCCAGCTGTGGAGGGAGAGTCCCTGGAAGATGGGACAATGTCTTTGCCCCTGAACTTCCATCCCTGGCATAGTGCCAGCTTTTTCATGGCATTCAGTAAGCACTGCATGTGAAATGCATTGTGCCAAGTTATTTTGCCTCGTTTAACTCTTGAAAAGCAGGCTTCTGTGCAGACCAGGCTCAAATCCATGCTTCCAGGTGCCCTGTGCGGTGCCACCACAGTGTAGCACACAGACCTGCACGTGCCTACATGGCATTGATTCCAGGCCTTGGTTTCCTCTTTGGGAAGATAAAGTAACTGTACTAAATGCAGAGAGAAATTAGTTAACTTTATCACTTGCTTTTAGAATGATTCTTGAAATATGAAGAAAAAATATAAATTTCTGGCTTATTTTGGCTTTTCTTTTCCTAGAGTAACTGAATTTTTAAAAATCAAGCAATGCAGGAAGGAATAAAAACAAATTCAGGTTTACATATATGAGACTGGCAGCACAATACAACTAACCTCTGCTAGTTGGTGACTAACAGTTGGAAATCCATCCTGGAAGTTCCCAAGCACATCAGTGTTGCAGAGGACCTTGAAAGCATAGCAAATGGGTGAGCACACATTATTAAACTTTTATTAGGTTGTCAGCCTTGTGTATCTCTTTCAAAAACGTGTAGCTCATAAAAACATTCTTCACTTATCTTCAGCTGATTTGATGCAATTTTCTTCAATGGTGCTTAGTTATATTTAATCCCTGTGCCATACTTATGTCCAAAAAAATGGGAAATAATGCAAAGCAGGCCATATTCTAAAATGAAAAGCATTAAATTAAGGTTCTAGGTTCCCTCAAAAAGAGCAAAGCAGAGTGGACCTCACCTTATATAGCATCTATCTCTAAACTTTGCATTTTATTTTGAAACTCTGCAAAGCAATAAAAAACTCATTAACTTTTATAGCCAGTCAGAAAGGTAGTAATAGCATCTGTAGCAATGGAGATGTAATTAGGCTTTTATTTAAATGTGGCAGGGAGTTTGTTCTCATTATACGAAATAAATGAACAACCACAAATCACCAGTGGATTCATGCTCCCTATGGTGCTGGTGCAAGTGGTCCAGGAACTTGCCCAGTGCTGCTTCCTTATGTGGCAACAGAGCCTGTGAGCCCCAGAGCCAGGGCTGGATGGAAACCAGCTTTCTGAAGGTTGAATAGTCACAGCAATTATATTAACGATTATAATCATGACAGAAAAGATTCTCCGTCCACATTGTTGTGTTAAAACAGAAAAAGAAAAAAAAAGTGTTGCAGATCATCAATGCAATTCTTAACTTGGTCATAGAAAAACACCGAATTTGATCATCCTCTTGTCTCTGCTGTAGCTAAGCTCCTTTCCTGGCCTCCAATTCCTGTTTCCTTCCCAATACAGCAACTTCCTTCTATCTGTATTATCTCCTTGCCCATTTAGATAGCCTCAGAAAAACATGGGGAAGAACCAATTTGAAAGGTCTCAGTGGGTTTCATCAGGTTCCTAACAGATAATAAATGCTGAGCTAAGGACCCTAGGTTCTTCCAAAAAATGATGATATTAAAGCTCTACATCCTCTTTTTGAAAGTATGTAAAACTACTTTAGTGGTTTTGATTCATTTTAATCTTATGTCAGCTACATTATTATGTAAGGGAAATTCAAAGATGAGGATAGAAATTTACTCAGAAAAAGTATAAATTGATTTCTGTTTAAAGATGATTTTCCGGCCGGGCGCGGTGGCTCACGCCTGTAATCCCAGCACTTTGGGAGGCCGAGGCGGGCGGATCACGAGGTCAGGAGATCGAGACCATCCTGGCTAACACGGTGAAACCCCGTCTCTACTAAAAATACAAAAAATTAGCCGGGCGAGGTGGCAGGCGCCTGTAGTCCCAGCTACTTGGGAGGCTGAGGCAGGAGAATGACGTGAACCCCAGGGGGCGGAGACTGCAGTGAGCCGAGATTGCGCCACTGCACTCCAGCCTGGGCGACAGCGAGACTCTGTTTCAAAAAAAAAAAAAAAAAAAAAAGATGATTTTCCTTAATCTCATCTCTCAAAACCCACAAATATATATGTATTACTAGGTATGTGTGTGTATATATATATATATAAAATATATATATATGCACACATGTGCATATATATTTTTTGTTGTTGATTTGTTTGTGTATATGTATATGAATGTATACACATATGTGTATATACACACATATTTATACACTCATGTATATGCACACAAATCAACAATAAAAAATAGAGGGCAAAAAATCCAATTTATATATAACAAGAAAATGGCTATATTCTCAAAACATCTTGACTGGAGCTCGAGAGCCAATAAAAAGTTGATCTCTGCCACCTGAGACCTTGGGCCAGGATACACGTGCTCTTAAAAGGGCAGGTTCCGTGTTCACTTGTATGTTCCGGCCCCAGCTGCTTTCCCTGATGGAAGAGGGCCAGAGGCACACAGCGGGAAAGTGGAGAAGCTGGAAGGGCTTAAGAGTCTAAGTCTGGGGAAGGTGAAGGAGTGTCCCCAGGGCGAAGAAAGAGCAGGTTTGTTGGAGGGCACTCAAGAACACACCCACGTGAAAGCCGTAGATAGGCTTTCCCTATCCCGCATCCCGCCACACTCCCATCCCACCCCTCGGCAGTACTAGCTCAGCCAATGGGGCTACTGACTGTCCCTTCTCCAAGATGAGTCATATTGAGAAGAACGGCCTGGGCCCATGGAGAACAACTGCCATCAAACAATCAATTGGCAGCATCCATCAAATACCTGATGGAGGGAAAAAAGGAAAGACAGAGGCACATCGGGGCAGATATCACGAAAGACAGTTTTCAAGGACACAGAGAGGGATTCTCACCAACAGTGCTTCATTCTGCACAAAGATTCTATGCAGCAGGCAGCATTTTCTGCACCTGAAACGAGAACTGTCACGGAAGAGTCAGGATATTCAAGTAAGAGGCCGTGTGACAGTGGGAGAGGATGTGAACAGAGCTGTCAGAGTCCATTAGGACATGGAAAGGAGGAAGAACACTGCAGAAATAAAAAATCCATATGAAGCGACAACAAAGGAAAAACAAGACAGATGATATCATGAGGTCTTGACAAATAGACCTGGGAAAATCTCATAAACTACGTATTAAAGAGAACCAGGGAACTTAAAAATGCTTTTAGCAAAACAATGGCCAGGAGAGGGCAAGATAGACAAGGACAGCTCGGCTCTCAGCAGGCGCTTCTAACCCTCTCACTGTCCCCGCCGCCAGCCCTGGGGGAAGAACACTGTGTTTTTGTTTTTGTTTTTACTACAGATTCTTAAATATTTTAAATTTTGAACCATAGATATATGTTTCCATTTTAGCATTAATCAATAAAATGGCTGTTGGAAACTCAGTGAAGAACAATACAAGAAATGTGATAAACCCCACAATGGGTATATGACCATCTTTGATCAATTTTACAACTGCTACTGCTCACCCCTCAATGCCCATCAGTCTCTCACAGGAATGCACCAAGAGAAGAGAATCTCCAGCAGGAGGCCCAGAGGTGGAAGAGGCAGGGATGCGAAGAAGCAGAGGAGGCTGGAAGGAACCGGGCGAGAAGTGGGGACAGCGGGAGTGTAAGTGAGAGCCAGTGAGGCCGCTCACGCAGGGCACCCGGCCAGGTGAAAACTTTTAGAATTTGCTTCAAAAGTCAGTGAAGTGCTCTAAGCAGCACAGTGTCAAAATCAGATTTAAAGTTGTCAAAGGGCATTTTTAATGCAAAAAGCAACAGACTGGGCAAAAGTGTTTTTAATATGTGTAACCAAAAAAAGAGAGTTAAAAACTAGTATTTTTTTTCAAAATGTTCCCAGAAATAACATAAATAAAATTAGTTAGAAAACAAAGCAGACAATTAAAAGAAAAAGAGATACAATTAGTCGATAAATCTATGAAAAAATGGTCACTGTATCGTAAGGCCTGAAATTTCATTTCCCACCTTAACGCCTTCGACCCTCACAAGGCCCCAAGGGTCTAATCCTAAGTCCTTATGCTCACACCAGACGTGTACCCCCGCCAGTGGGAAAGGCTCCTTGCCTGGCCAGTTCCCCATTAGCTGGACTAGCTTCACTTAACCTGATCCTCACTCTAATGGGCTTCGCTTCCCTGCCAGCTCATGAAATTATTCAAAAAAGCTAGTCACATCCTCACATGGGGCCTGGAGGCACCTCAGCATCTTGTTAGTTCAAAGCCTGCCTCCTTTTCACTAGAGTCCCTGCAGGCTCTCTGTGTTCCCATGTGCAAGTCCCTTATGGCCCTGTGTAAAATGCAATGTCCTCCTCCCCGAGGCCTTGAGCATATGTAAGCAACAAACCGCTATGAGCTTATCTGTCCAGTCCCGCAGGGTGGATGCAAGTGGTCAGAACAGTCACCTCATTTGTAATCAGAGAAACATTAACTGAAGCAGCAATGATACGGAATATTTTTACCCAATGGATTCATAAAATTATGAACCAGTATTAACTACCTGTGTTGGCAGTGGTTTGCATGGGAATATATATTGATGGTTTTTCAGGGGATATCTATTAAAATATACAAATCCTGTGACCTCTGATTTACCTTCTAGAAACATTTACTTAGATGCACTGTTGGTAACAGAGAAAAAATTGGATAGAGCTTAAATAGCTACTAAAAGACAATGGTTAAATGAGTTTTGATATGACAACTGATAGGCAATTTTGTGGACTGGCTCATTTCCAATCTTCTTCCCTTGTGTCTCCCTGGACTGCAGAGACCAGAAAGCCAGAAACTACATTTGCTAAGCTCCCTGGATTACAGGCATGACTTAGCTCTGCCAATGAGATGTACTTATGTGTGATTTGACTTTGGATCTGTTTTAGGTGAGATAGAAATAGCATAAAGCAGTGTTTTAAAAAATACTTTATTGTTTAGAATGGTGTTAAATTTACAGAAAAATTGCGAAGCTACAGAGATCTTGCATATGCCAGCATAACCTTTTCCCCCTATTATTAACATCTTACATTCTTAAAGTTAATGGATCAATAGTGATATATGATTGTTATTAAGTAAATACCACAGTTTATTCAGATTTCCATTTATTTATTTAGAGACAAAGTTTCGCTCTTGTTGCCCAGGCTGGAGTGCAATGGCACGATCTTGGCTCACTGCAACCTCTGCCTCCCGGGTTCAAGCGATTCTCCTGCCTCAGCCTTCTGAGTAGCTGGGATTACAGGCATGCGCCACCACGCCCGGCTAATTTTGTATTTTTAGTAGAGACGGAGTTTCTCCAGGTTGGTCAGGCTGGTCTCGAACTCCCAACCTCAGATGATCTGCCCGCCTCGACCTCCCAAAGTGCTGGGATTACAGGCGTGAGCCACAGCCCCTGGCCCAGATTTCCTTATTTTTTGTAGAACTTCTTTTTCTGTTCCAGGTGTCTGTTCATAACTCCACACTGCACTTACCTCTCACGGCTCCTTAGGCTCTCTTGGTGGTGACAGATTCTCTGAGTTTTCTTGTTTTTGATGACACTGATAAATTTGAGGAGTAACGGTCATACTTGGTAAGATGTCCCTCGAATGGAATTGATGTGAATTCTTTCTCTGATTAGGCAGGTGCCAGCATGGCCCACCACTGCTGATGTGGACCTTGGTCACCTGGCTCCGGGAGTCTTTGTCAGGCTTCTTCACGTAAAGTTGCTCTTTTTTTCCCACTTTCCACACCGTACTCTTTGGAACGAAGCACCTCGTGCTTAAGGAGTGGGGATTTAAGCCCACTAGGATAGTTTCAGCACTCAAAAAACGTATGCTTTCAGAAAGACAAGCATCACATGTTTTCACTTATTTGTGGGATCTAAAAATCAAAACACATGGAGATAGAGAGTAGAAGGATGGTTACCAGAGGCTGGGAAGGGGAGTGGGGTGGGGGGTGGAGGGGATGTGGTGAAAGTTAATGGGTACAAAAAATAGAATAAATGAATAAAGCCTAGCATCCGATGGCACAACAGGGTGACTATAATCAATAATTCAATTGTATATTTTAAAATAACTAAAATAGTATAATTGGATTGTGTGTAACACAAAGGATAAATGCTTGAGGGGATGGATACCCCATTCCCCATGATGCAATTGTTATTTATTGCATGCCTGTATCAAAACATCTCATACGCCTCATAAATATATATACCTACTATGTACCAACAAAAATAAAAAATAGAAATCCTGCGCTTTACCTATTTACCCCTCCCATCCCCTCTGGCAACAACTATTTTTACTGACTCCATAGTTTTGCATTTCTTTGAACCTCATATAGCTGGAATCATATGCTATGTAGCCTTTTCAAATTGGCTTCTTTCACTTAGTAATATGCATTTAAAATTTAACCATGTCTTTTCATGGCTTGATAGCTCATTTCTTTTTATGGCTGAATAACAGTCACTTGTGTGGATGCTCTCTACTTTGTTTACCTCGGTTGCTTTCAGTTTTGGAGTTTATGAATGAAGCTGCTAAAACACACTTTCATGCAGCTTTTGGTGTGAATATAAGTTTTCAAATCAATTCTTACTAGGAACTTGATTGCTAAATCACATAGTAAGACTATGTTTAGCTTTGCAAGAAACTGCCTAACTATCTTCCAATGACTGCACCATTTTTCATTCACACCAGCAGCAAAAGAGAGTTCCTCCATACTGAATCCTCTCCAGCATGCGGTGGTGCAATTTTTGCAGATTTTATCTACTCTAATGCATGTCTACCTGTATGTGGTTTCAATTTGCAATTCCCAATTGGGAAATGATTTCAAAAATTATTTTAGGTTGCCATTTGTATATTTTCTTTGCTGAGTTTTCTGTTCAGATCTTTTAACTTCATTTTAATTGAGTTGTTTGCTTTCTTATTGTTTAACTGTAAAAGTTCTTTGTAAGCTTCAGATATAAGTTCTTTATCAGACATATGTTTTGCAAATATTTTCTCCAAGTCTGAGGCTTATTTTTTTATTATCTTGCAATGTCTTTGGCAGAGCATAAGCTTTTAATTTTAATACAGTTTAACTTACCTATTTTTCTTTCATCCACCATGTTTTTGATGTTGTGTTGAAAAACTCATTGCCAAACCCAAGGTTACCTACATTTTCTCTATTTTCCTCTAAAAGTTTCAAAGTGTTGCTATTTACATTTAGGTTTATGATTCATTTTGAGTTACTTTTTTTCTTTCTTTCAGCTATATTGAACTATAACTGACAAATAAAAATAATATACATTCAAGATGTACAATGTGATGTGCATATACTATACACGTTCATTGTGTAATGGTTACCACCATCAAATTAATCAACCTATCCATCACCACAGAGTTACCCTTTGTGTGTGTGTGTGTTGTGATAACACTTAAGATACTTTTTCTTAGCAAATTTCTAGTAAATAATATTATTAACTATAATTATCATGTGGTACATTAGATACTCAGCAATTATTTATCTTATAACTGAAAGTGTGTACCCTTAAATCAACATCTCCCCATTTTTCCCACCCCTCAGACACTGGCATGCACTGTTCCACTCCTTGCTTCTATGAGTTGCACTTTTTAGATTCATATATGTCAGATCATACAGTATTTGCCTTTCTGTATCTGGCTTATTCCACATAGCATAATGTCTTCCAGATTCACTTATGTTGTCACAAATGGCAGGATTTTCTTCTTTTATTATGGCTGGATAATATTTCATTGTATATATGTGTGTATATATGCATCATATATATGTATATACATGCATCATATATATGTATATACATACATCATATATATGTGTATATATACATCATATATATGTATATATACACATTGTATATATGTGTGTATATATACATCATATATATATGTATATATACACATCATATATATGTGTATATAGACAATAGTTTCTTGATCCACTCATCTGTCAATGGACACAGGTTATTCCATGTCTTCCCTATTGTAAATAATGCTGCAATAAACATGAGGGTGTAGATAGCACTTCAAGATATTTTATTTCCTTTCACTATCCTTTTCCTTTTCTTTGGATATGTACCTAGGTATAGGATTGTTGGATTATATAGTAGTTCTATTTTTAATAGTTTGCAGAACTAACAATGTTTTCTATATAAATTGACTATATCAATTTATATACCCACTGACAGTGTACAAGGATTCTCTTTTCTCCACATCCGCACCAACACCTGTTAGTTCTTGTCGTTTGGATAATAGCCATCCTTACAGGTGTGAGGTGATGTCTCAGTCTCACTGTGGTTCTGATTTGCATTTCCCTGATGATTCATGATGTTGAGCAGCTTTTCATACACCCGTTGGACAGTTGTATGTCTTCTTTGAAAAAATGTCTGTTCAGGGCATTTGCCCATTTTTCAATACGTTACTATCATCATCATCATTATTATTATTAATTTGCTATTGAGTTGTATGTGTATTCAGTATTTTGAATATTAACCCATTATCAGATATATAGTTTTTAAATATGTGCTCCCATTCTGTAGCTTGGCTTTTTGTTTTGTTGATTGTTTTCTTTGCTGTGCACAAGATTTTTAGTGTGATGTATTCCCATTTATTTATTTTTGCTTTCATGCTATGTGCTTTTGGTGTTATATCCAAAAAATATTGCCAAGGCCAATGTACAGAAACTTTTTCTCTCTTTTTTCTTCTAGGAATTTCACGGTTTCAAGTCTTACATGTAAGTTTTCTTTTTTTTTTTTTGAGATGAAGTTTCCCTCTTGTTGCCCAGGCTGGAGTGCCATGGTGTGATCTCAGCTCACCACAACCTCTGCCTCCTAGGTTCAAGTGATTCTCCTGCCTTAGCCTCCTGAGTAGCTGGGATTACAGGCATTACAGGCATGCACCACCACGCCTGGCTAATTTTTTTTTTTCTTTTAGTAGAGATGGGGTTTCACCATGTTGGTCAGGCTAGTCTCGAACTCCCAACCTCAGGTTATCCACCTGCCTCGGCCTCCCAAGATGCTGGGATTACAGGCATGAGCCACTGCGCCTGGCCCATATAAGTTGTTAATCCTATTTCAAGTTAACTTTTGCATTTGGTATAAAATAATGGTTCAATTTTATTCTTTTGCATGTGGTTATGGAGTTTTCCCATCATTTATTAAAGAGAGTATCCTTTACCCATCGTGTATTCTTAGGACTCTTCTCAAAGGCATTTAATTTGGGGCTCTCTATTCTGTTCTAAGAGCCTGTTTTTATGCTAGTATCATACTGTTTTTATTTACTGTACCTTGGCAATATAGTTTGAAATCAGGAAGTATAATTCTTAACAGCTTTGTTGCTCTTTCTCAAAATTGCTTTGCCTATTCAGAGTCTTTTGTGATTCTGTACAAATTTTAAGATTGTTTCTTCTATTTCTGTGAAAAATGTCATTGGATTTTTGATAGGGATTACATCAAATCTGTATATCACTTTGGGTAGTATGGATCTATTTGCGATGTTAATTCTTTCAATTAGTGAACATGAGCTATCTTTCCAGTTATGTGTGTCTCCTTTAATTTCTTTCATCAGTGTTTTATACATTTCAGCATACATATCTAGATATTTCACATGCATGATTAAATGCATTTCTAACTATTTTATCGTTTTTGATGCTATTGTAAATGGGACTGTTTTCTTAATTTTTTGGATAGTTGGTTGTTGATGTATAGAAAACCCACTGACTTTTGTATGTTGATTTTGTATCCTGAAACTTTACTGAATTTAGTTATTAGTTCTAACAGTTTTTTCATGGAGTCTTTAGAGTTTTCAATATTTAAGATCATGTCATCTTCAAACCGAGATAATTTAATGTCTTTCTTTCCAATTTGGGTTCCTTTTACTTACTTTTCTCTCTTAATTGCTGTGGCTAAGACTTCCAGTACTATGTTGAACAGAAGTGGCAAGAGTGGGCATCTTTTTCTTGTACCTGAGTTTAAAAGAAAAGCTTTCAGCTATCATCACTGAGTATGATGTTAGCTGTGGGATGGTCATATACGGCCTTTCTTGTATTGAGGCACAGTTCTTCCATATGTCATTTGTGAAGTTTGTATCATGAATTTATGTTGAATTTTGTAAAATGCTTTTATTGAATCTATGGAGGTGATCATATGATTGTTATCCTTTATTCTGTTAATGTGGTATATCGCAATTATTGTTTTGCACATTATGAAACATCCTTGCATCCCAGGATAAATCCTACTTGATTATAGTGTATGATCCTTTAAATGTGTTGTTGAATTTGGTTTGCTAACATTTTGTTGAGGAGTTTTGCATCTATGTTCATCAGTGATTTTGTCCTGTAATGTTCTTTTCTTGTAGTGTTCTTAGTTAGCTTTGGTATAAAGATAATGCTGGCCTGATAAAATTAGTTTGGAAGTCCTTCCCACTCTTCAACTTTTTGGAAGATTTTGAGGAGAATTGCCATGAATTCTTCTTCAAATATTTGATAGAATTCACCTTGAAGCCATCTAGTCCTGAGATTTTCTTTTCTTTGAGGTTTTAGATTACAGGTTTAATCTCCTTTCTCATTATTGTTCTGTTCATATTTTCTCTTTCTTCATGATTAACTTTTTGCAGGTTGTACATTTCTAGGAATTTATTCATTTCTTCTAGGTTATTCAATTTGTTGGTGTATAGTTGTTCATAGTGGTCTCTTATGATCCTTTGTATTTCTGTGGTATCAGTGGTAATGCCTCCTCTTTCGTTACGTTTTCTTTATTGTGAGCCATCTTTTTTGTTCTTGGTTACTCTAACTACAGTTTTCTCAACTTTGCTTATCTTTTCAAAAACGCGACTTTAGTTTTGTTGATATTTCCTATTGTGTTTCTAGTCTCTATTTTATTTCTTTTTATTCTAATATATATTTTTTAATTTTCTGACTTTGGACTGAGTTTGTGCTGCTTTTCTGGTTTTTTTTTGGGCTAAGTAGCTTGTATATTTGAGATTATTCTTATTTCTTAATATAGGCATTTATTGCTATAACGTTTGTTCTTAAAACTGTGTTTCCTGCATCCCATACGTTTTGGTATGTTGTGTTTCTATTTTTACTTGTCTCAAGATACTTTAAAATTTCTCTTTTGATTTCTTATTTGAGCCATTGATTTCAGGAGTATGCTGTTTAATTTGTACATATTTGTGAATTTCCCAAAATCTCTTGTGTTATTGATTTCTAATTTCATACAACTGTGGTCAGAAAAGATACTTGATATGATTTCAACACTCTTAAATTTGCTAAGAATTGTCTTATATCCCAGCATATGATCTATCTTAAAGAATGTTCCATGTGCTCTGGAGAAGAGTAAGTATGCTACTGCTGTTAGACAGAAGGTCAAGACCTTCTGTTGGGTCCCTAGGCTAATGGGATTACTTCTGAGATTGCAGTCAAGTGGAGTCAGAGCTGAGTTACAACTGCTGCTGGGCCCACAGTGGGGACCATGTTTAGTGGGCCTCTTCCCAGGTGCTCAAGCTGGCATGGATTATACCTCCATGACTTTGGTCAGTAGGGCTGGTGATGGGACAAGTGTCTGTCTACTCAGGGTCCATAGTTGGTTGTTACCAGGTGTGTATACCGGTGCGGATCCTTCTAGGTCCTTGGGATAGCTCCTCCTGGGTCACTGGGTAAGTCCCTGGGCAGGCATGACTGCACAGGTAAGAGTGACTGGAGAAGAGTTACAGGGCCATTTTGGAGTCTACTGTGGTATCAAGGTAAACAAGCCTGCCTCCCTGGGTGTGAAAGATTGAGCATGCCTCCTGGGGGGTCTTTGAGTGGGAAAAACTGCTCTCAGCTCACAGATGAGAAGGCCTAGAGCCAAGTTACAAAACTATTACAGGACCTTCTGTGGGTCTGAGATTGGTAGACCTTCTCTGAATGCACAGATAGATGTATCTCCTGGCAAGACTGTGCTTGGGCAAGAATGCTCTCAAAACACAATTGAGAGGGTCTATGGCTGAGTTACAGGACTGCTTCAGAGTTCACTGCCCAGGCTGAGGTCAGCGAGCCCATCACCAGAGGGAGCAGTGCCCGTGACTCCACCCCAGTCCTTTGGCAGATGACTGTGGTAGCAGGATCAAGGCCAAACAGGCTTATAGCCGAGCCCACAAGGAGATGAGGCTGATTCCAGACCTATTGCCTGCACCAACAGTCAGCAAGCCTGCCACCTAGATGCAGGCCTCCCCTTTCCTCAACCTCCTAGGTTTTAAGCCAGACCAGGGTTTCACAACCTCCCACCTGGATCCCAAAGGCTCTTTTGTCTAAATAAATCTCTCAATGTATTTAAATATTCTTTGATTCCTGTCATCAGAGTTTAGTAGTTTCCTGCATATAGATTTTGTACATATTATGTTAGCTGTTTACCTAAGAATGTCATTTTTGGTGCCATTGTAAATGTTTTTGTGAGTATAATTTTGAATTTCAAATGTCCATAGTTGGTGTATGGAAAACAAATGACTGTTGAATATTGACCTTTTATCCTGTGATCTTGCTGTAATCACATCAATACCAGGACTTTGTTTTGACCATTTCTTAGGATTTTATACATAAATAATCATGTCATCTGTGTATGCAATAGACTGAATAATAATTACCAAAGCTAACCAAGTCCTAATATTTGGAACCAGTGAATATTATGTTACGTGGCAAAAGGGATATTGCACATGTGGTTAAAAGATGGGGAGATTGTCTGAGATTGTCCAGAGTGCCTGAAATATAATTGCAAGTGTCCTTATAAAAGGGATGCAGAAGTAACTTTGATTATGGGTAGGAGAAGGCAATGTGATGAGAGAAATGGTGATTGGAGTGATGCGGCCACACTTCAGGGGATGCAAGCAGCCACCAGAAGCAGAAAGAAGCAAGGAACAGACTCCACTCTGCAAGTGACCAACCCCAATAACACCTTGATTTTAGTCCTATGTCTTAGTCTGTTTTGGGTTGCTATAACAAAATACCACAAACTGAGTAATTTATAAAGAAAAGAAATTATATTTCTCACAGTTCTGGAGACTTGGAAGTACAATATCAAGGTGACAGTATCTGGTAAGGGCCTTCTGGCTATGTCACCCATGGCAGAAGGCAAAAGGTGAGAGATGGTGAGAGAGCTAAGAGGGAAGCCAAACTCATCATTTCATCAGGAACCCACTCCCACAATAACTAACCCACTGCCACAATAATGGCACTAATTCATTCATAAGGGAAGAACCCTGATGACCTAATCACCTCCTAAAGTTCCCACCTCAGCATTGTTGCATTGGGGAATAAGTTTCCAACACATGAACTTTGGGGTACACATTCAAGTCATGACACCCTATATGACTAATTTTGGACTTTTAGCCTCCAGAAATGTAATAGAATAAGGATGTATCATTTTAAACCATGGACTTTGTCATAATTTGCTACATCAGCAATAAGAAACTAACACAATCAATAAAGACAGATTTATTTCTTCCCTCTGTACCTACACAATTTTTACTTCCTTTCTTGTCTTATTGTATTAGCTATGACTTATAGTATAATGTTAAATGGGAGTGGGGGGAAAAGATCTCCCTGCCTTGTCCCTGAACTTAGGGGGAAAGCTTCCAGTTTCTTACCACGAAGTAGTATGATGTTAGCTGTAGGTTTTTTGCAGATGTTCCTTGTCAAGTTGAAGCTGTTATCCTCTATTCCTATTTGCTGAAAGTTTATATCAAGGATGGGTACTGGACTTTGTCTAGTGCTTTTTCTGCATCAATAGATATTGTATTAGTTCATTCACACACTGCTATAAAGAACTACCTTAGACTGGGTAATTTATGAAGAAAAGAGATTTCGTTGACTCACAGTTCTGCAGACCTAACAGAAAGCATGGCTGGGAGGCCTCAGGAAACTTAAAAACATGGCAGAAGGAGAAGGGGAAGCAGGCACGTCTTACCAGGGTGACCCCATGATCCCATCACCATCAGGCCCCTCCTCCAATTCGACATGAGATTTGGGCAGGGACACAAATCCAAACCCTATTATTCTGCCCCTGGCCCCTCCCAAATCTCATGTCCTTTTCACATTTCAAAATACAATTATCCCTTCTCAACAGTCCCCCAGTATTAACTCATTTCAACATTAACTCAAAAGTCCGAAGTCCAAAGTCTCATCTGAGACAAGGTAAGTCCTTTCCACCTATGAGCCTGTAAAAATAAAATAAAATAATTAGTTACTTCCAAGATACAATGAGGGTACAGGCATTGGGTAAATGCTCCCATTCCAAATGGGAGATATTGGCCAAAACAAAGGGGCTACAGGCCTTATGCAAGTCCAAAACCCAGCAGGGCAGTCATTAAATCTTGAAACTCCAAAATAATCTCCTTGGACTCCATGTCTCACATCCAGGGTACACTGACATAAGGGGTGGGTTCTCCAAGCCTTGGGCAGTTCCACCCCTGGGGAGGAGCTGTGCAGGGTACAGCCTCTGTGGCTGCTTTCATGGGCTGGTGTTGAGGGCCTTTGGTTTTTATAGGTGCACAGTGCAAGCTGTTGGTAGAGCTATCATTCTGGGATCTGGAGGATGGTGGCCCTATTCTCACAACTCCACTAGGCAGTGCCTCAGTGGGGACTTTGTGTAAGGGCTCCAACCCCACATTTCCCTTCTGCACTGCCCCAGTGGAGATTCTCCATGAGGGCTCCACCCCTGCAGCAGAATTCTGCCTGCACACCAGGTGTTTCCATACGTCCTCTGAAATCGAGGCAGATGTTCTCAGACCTCAATTCTTGTCTTTGGCACACATGCAGGCTCAACACCATATGGAAGCTGCCAAGGCTTGGGGTTTGCACCTTCTGAAGCCACTGCCTGAGTTGCGCCTTGGCCCCTTTTAGGCATGGCTGGTGCTGGAGTGGCTGGGATGCAGGGTTCCATGTCCCAAGGCTGCACAGAGAAGCTAGGCCCTGGGCCTGGCCCACTAAATCATTTTTCCCTTCTAGGCCTCCAGGCCTGTGATGGGAGGGGGTGCTGTAAAGGTCTCTGAAATGCCTTGGAGACTCCATTCTTGGCTATTAACATTTGGCTCCTCTTTACATATGCAAATTTCTGCAGCAGGCTTGAATTTCTCCCCAGAAAATGGGTTTTTCTTTTCTATCACATGGTCAGTCTGCAAATTTTACAAACTTTTGTGCTGTTTCCCTTTTAAATGTAAGTTCCAGTTTCAAATAATCTCTTTGTTCATGCATATGACTGTACATGTTTAGAAACAGCCAGGTCACATCTTGAATGCTTTGCTGCTTAGAAATTTCTTCCACCAGATACCCTAAATCATCTCTCTCAAGTTCAAAGTTCCACAGGTCTCTAGGGAAGGGGCAAAATACCACCAGTCTCTTTGCTAAAGCATAGCAACAGTGACCTTTACTCCAATTCCCAACAAGTTCTTCATCTCCATGTGAGACCACCTCCACCTGGACTTCGTTGTTCATATCATTATCAGCATTTTGGTCAAAACCATTCAACAAGTCTCTAGGAAGTTCCAAACCTTCCCACGTCTTCCTTTCTTCTTCTGAGCCCTTCAAACTGTTCCAACCTCTGCTCTTTACCCAGTTCCAAAGCCGCTTCCACATTTTCAGGTATCTTTATAGCAATGCCCCACTCCCGTACCAATTTTCTGTATTAGTCTGTTCTCACACTGCTATAAAGAACTACCTGAGACTGGGTAATTTATGAAGAAAAGAAGTTTAATTGACTCACAGTTCTGCAGGCTTAACAGGAAGCATGGTAGGGAGGCCTCAGGAAACTTATAATCATAGCAGAAGGCAAAGGGGAAGAAAGCACATCTTACTGTGGTGACGGGAGAGAGAGAGCAAAGGGGAAAGTGCCACATACCCGTAGACCATCAGATCTCATGAGAACTCACTCTGACAACAAAAAAAGCATGGGGGAAATCTTCCCCCATGATCCAATCACCTCCCACCAGGCCCCTCCTCAAATTTGACATGTGATTTGAGTAGGGACACAAATCCAAACCATATCAGATATGGTCATATAAATTTTATTTTTTTACCTGTTGATGTGGTAGATAGCATTGTTTTCCAGTGTTGAACCAGCTTTGCATATCTGAAATAAATTGGTTGTGGAATACAATTCTTTTATACCTTGTTGGATTCAAGTTACAAATATTTTTTGAGGATTTGTGTATTTGTTCCTGAGAGATATTAGTCTATAGTTTTTCTTACTCTTACTAATAATGATTTATCTGATTTTAGTATCAGAGAAGTGCTGGCCTCATAGAATGCATTAGAAAGTGTTCCCTCTGCTTCTATTTTCCAGAAGAGATTGTAGAGAATTATTGTATTTTCTGTCTTAAATGTGTGATACAATGCACCAGTGAAACTATCTGATCCTTCTGCTGACATTCTTGGAAGGTTATTAACTCCTGATTTATTTTTTATACATATTGACCTGTAATGATTATCTATTTCGTCTTTGATGAGTTTGGTAGTTTGCATTTTGCAAGTAATTGGCCCATTTCATATAAGTTATCAAATTCGGGGTCACGGAGTTATTCATCATATTATTTTACTATCTTTTCACATCGAAGGGATTCCTGCTGATGACATATCTTAAATTTCTGATATTAATAATTTTGGTCTTCTCTGTATTTTTCTCAGTCTGACTAGAAGTTTATCAATTATATTGATCTCTTTAAAGAACTAGCTTCTGATTTTATTTTCTCTTATTTTCCATTTTTTATGTTCATCGACTTCTGCTCTAATTTTGCTTATTTGTTTGCTTTAGGCTTAAATTTTTTTTTCTATTCATAATTCCCAAATGTGGAAGCTTAGATTATTGATTTTAAATCTTCTTCCTTTGTAATATATGCATTTAATGCTATAAATTTTTCTCTAAGTATTATTTTCATTGCATTCTACATATTTTGATAATTTGAATTCTCATTTTCAGTTAGGTCAAAATATTTTGTAAAAATTTTTCTTGAGGCTCCTTCTTGACCCATGTGTTATTTGAGGTTAATTTATAAGCATTTTAGGATTTTTGTGGTATATTTCTGTTGTTAATTTCTATTTTAATTCTATTGTCATCTGAGTTTATATTTTATATTTAATTTTTATTTAAACAAATACGTTAAATATGTTAAGGTGTGTTTTATGGCCAAACATGTGGCCTTTGTGAGTGTTTCAATGTGAGCTTGAGAAGAATGTATATTCTGCTGTCGTTCAATGAATTATTCTATAAATGTTAATTAGATTCAGTTGATTGATGTTTCAGTTCAGTTCAACTTACATCTTGTTGGAGAATTAGCCTCATCAATCTTTGTGTAAGTCTCTGCTTTATCCCTGCTATTTTTTTTTCTTTGGAAGCCTGCTTTGTCTTAAGTTAATAGCTGCCCTGAGAGCATCCTGAAAGTTGGAATGGGTATGTGGGGCAAGACTCTGATGAAGCTGGGATCGTTAAGACCCTACATTCTGATGAATCTTCTTTGCCAGTAGAAACAACTCTCCAGCCCAGTAGGAATGGCTGCTCTGAACCTATTTGGGGCAATTAACACTGTATAGCCTGAGGTGACTGCAATGGGCCCCCTGAGGTAGTTGCCATGCAAAACACAGCTGATTTTTTTCAGGTCCCACCCCATAACTACACTCACATCACAACAGGACTCTAAAGGCGAGGTAGAAAGTGTGACCCATGAAGAGGCGTGACACACTCCAAGGGAATTAGTTGTGTTTTCTTATTTATACAGACAAAAATCCAGGCTATATGTGCAGAAATGAATAGTAAGTGTGTGGGCTAATGAGAGAAAGTTAGATCAGGGTAAGTTTATTGATATGGGCCCACTAAGCAGAGACTCTGCATTTAATATTGTAGCTTGGGGAGTCAGAAAGGACTCTAACAGTTTGGTTGGTGGACCCAAAAAGGGATCAAAAGGTGGCCCACAGCAAGGGAGTTAAAATATAAATGCCAGGTGTGCCTTGGTTTAATGCCGAAGAAGGGATTAAAGGCTTAAAGACATTGGGATGTTAGAGTGGATTTTCCATTTAAGACCTACTTATATGCCCTGGGAGGCTTCAAAAAACATACCTTTCACCAAAATGGTGAGAAATAAATTTTTGAGGAGAGCCTCAGCATCCTTGATGTGTTTGTTCTCTATAGGCAAGATTTTTAGTGGAAACTAGAGTCACTGAATTGGGAAAACTAAATGTAATGGGAGTAACTGGATCCCAGGTTGGCAGGAGCCAAGTACCAGCATTCAGCCACCAAAATCCAGGTGGGCCTAGCTGACACAGTGGACAGCAATGTCACAGCAGCCACTAGAATAGTCTCACTCGTGGAGACCTATGGCATTGGCTAGTTGATCATGGTGCTCCTAGAAGTGAAATAGAGAGGAAGCCAACTAAATTCTTACTTGATCTGTATAAGCAGAAAAAGTTGTAGGTCAAGTGAATAAAAGTCTAACTCTAATACTGAAAAACAGAGAATCATGATCCCTCAATCAATTATCAGAGGCAAAGTAAGGCCTTTATTCTTCCTGTAAGGGATAAAAGCCAAGTCCCCTTGAGGAAGAAACCCATGACACTGCCAAAAATTTATAATGTTAATCTCTTTCTCAGCCTTCCCCAGAGGAGCTTATGGCCTTTTAACAAGATGACTAAGCATTAGGGAAAAGTAAATAATCAGACATTTTGGTGACTGCTGGACACTGGCTCTGAATTGACACTAATTCCTGGTGGCACTGAACACCACTGTGACTCAACAGTCAGAGTAGGGGTTATGCAGATCAGGTGATCAGTGGAGTTTTAGCTCATCTTATAGTAGATTCAGGTAATCTCTGAACCCATCCTGTGGTTATTTCCCAGTTCCAGAGTGCATAATTGGAATGGACATATTCAGCAACTATCAGAATCCCCACATTGGTTCTCTGACCTGTGGAGTGAGGGCCATTATCATAGGAACTGCCTGTACCTAAACAATGTAAACCAAAAGCCATACTGCATTCTTGGAGAGATTACAGAGATTAGTGCTACTCTCAAGGACTTTGAAAGATGCAGGCGTGGCAGTTGCTACCATATCCACATTCAATTGTGCTATTTGGACTGTGCAGAAGACAGATGGACCTTAGAGAATGACAGTGGATTCATGAGCTTAATCAAGTATTAACTTTAATTGTAGCTGCTTTAGCAGATGTGGTTTCATTACTTAAGCAAATTAACACATCCCCTGGTACCTGGTATCTGAGATCTGGCAAATGCCTTTTTTTTTCTGTATCTGTTTCGAAAGGCCATTAGAAGCAGTTTGCTTTCAACCTGCAAGGCCAACAATACAAATTGAGTGTCCTATCCCAAGGGTATATCAGCTCTCCAGCCCTGTGTCATAAATTCAGTTCATACAGAACTTGAGGCCTTTTCCTTCCACCAGATACCACGCTGGTCCATTATCTTAATGACATTATACTGATTTAACCTAGTGAGTGTGAAGTAGCAACCACTCTGAACTTATTGGTAAGACATTTGCATGTCAGAGGGTAGGAAATAAATCCAACTAAAATGCAAGGGCATTCTACCTCAGTGAAGTTTCTAGGGGCCTAGTGCTGTGGGGTGTGTCAAAATATCCCTTGTAAGGTGAAAGAGAGTTGCAACATCCCGTCCCTCCTATAACCAAGAAAGAGGCTCAAGGCCTAGAGGCCTCTTAGTATTTTGGAGGCAACGTATTCCTCATTCAGGTCCAACCCATTTACAAAGTGAACTAAAAAGCTGCGAGTTTTGAGTGGAGCCTAGAAAAGAGAAGGTTCTGCAAAAGGCCTACATTACTGTGCAGCTGCTGTGCCCCTTGAGCCACATGAGCCATCAGATCCAATGGTACTTGAAGTGTCAGTGGCAGGGAGAAGTGCTGTGTGGAGCCTTTGGCAGGCCCTTTTAAGTGAATCGCAGTGCAGACATAGGACTCTGGAGAAAGGATCTGCCATCCCCTGTGAATAACTACTGTCTTTCTGAGGAACAGCTTTTGGCCTATTCCTGGGCCCTTTTAGAGCCTGAACACCTAATCCTGGTCCATCAAATTACCATGCAAGCTGAGTTGGCCATTATGAGCTGGGTATTTTCTTACCCACCAACTCAAGAGGTAGATGTGCACAGTAACAATCTATCATCAAATGGAAGTAGTATATGTAAGATTGAGCTTGAGCAGGCCCTAATGGCACAGTTAAGTTACATGAAGAAATGACACAAATGTCCATGCCTTCCGTAGAAGCCTGAACCTATGGCCTCATGGAGAGTTCCCTATGATCAATTGTAGAGGAAAAGAATCTCAAGCCTGGTTTACAGATAGTTCTGCAGCATATGCAGACACTACCGAAAAGTGGACAGCTGCAGCACTGCGACCCTCTCTGGATCATTCCTGAAGAACACTGATAAAGAAAAAATCCTCTCCATGGGCAAAACTTCAAGCAGCACACCTGGTTGTTCACTTTATTTACAATGAGAAATGGCCAGCAATGAGATTCTATACTGATTTATGAGCTGTGGCAAATGGTTTGGCTTAATGGTCATGTCCTTAGAAGGAACAATATAGGAGTATTGGTGAAAACGAAGTATGGAGAAGAGGTATGAGAGTAGACCTCTTTGAATGGGAGAAAAACATGAAGATATCTGTGTCCCATGTGAATGCTTACCAAGATTTTAGTAATAAAATGGATAGAATGACTCATTCTGTGGATACAGTCAGTTTCTTTCCCCATCCACATTTGTCATAGTCCAATGGGCTCTTTGCCATTGTGGCAAAGATGGGGATTATGCATGGGCTTAGCAACACGGACTTCCACTCACCAAGGTTGACCTGACTATGGCCACTGTTGAATGCTCAATCAGTCAGCAGAAGAAACAGCACTTATTACTTGATACAGGATCATTCTTCGAGATGATCAGTCAGTAACCTGGGGCGGGTTGATTACATTCTATTGCTTCCATTATGGGAAAAGCAGGGTTTTGTTTCTACTAGACAAGGCACTTACCCTGAATATGTATTTTCCTTCCTTGCATGCAATGCTTCTACTAAGACTACAATCTGTGGACTTACAGAATGCATTAGTCACTGTTATGTTATTCCACACAGCATTGTTGCTGATCAAGGAACTCACTTCACAACAAACAAAGTGCAGCAACGGGCTCATGCTCATGGAATTCATTGGCCTTTCTATGTTCCCCACCATGCTACAAAAGCAGGCTTGGTAAGATAGTGGAATGGCTCTTTGAAGACTCAGTCACAGAGTCAGCTAGATGGCAATACCTTGCATGGCTGGGACAAAGTTCTCCAAAAGGCTGAATATGCTTTAAATCAGTGTCTAATATATGGTTCTGTTTCTCCCATGGCCAAATGCATAGGACCAAGAATCAAGGGGTAGATATGGGAGTGACACAACTCACCATTACCCCTGGTGACCACTAGCGGAATGTTTGCTTCCTGTTCCCATGACTTTATACTCTGCTGGGCTAGGGGTCTTAGTTCCAAAGGGAGGAATACTTCCACCAGGAAACAAAATGATTCCATTGAACCTGAAGTTAAGAGTGCCACCCAGTCATCTGGGGCTCCTCATGCCTCTAAATTAACTGCCAAAGAAAGTTATCATGCTGGCTGGAATGATTGATACTGGTCTGGCTGGATTATCAAGGAGAAATTAGACTGCTACTCCACAATGGAGGTAAGGAAAAGTATATCTAGAATTCAGAAGATCCCTTAGGGAATCTCTTAGTATTACCATGCCCTGTGATTAAAATCAGAAGAAAACTACAACCCAATCTAATGTTTCAGATGACTCTCCAGGAATGAATGTTTGAGTCATCCCCCCCAAAAAAGAGCTACAACCAGTTGAGGTGCTTGCTGAAGGCAAAGTAATACAGAATGGGTAGTGGAGGAAGGTAGCTATAAACACCAGCTACGACCACATGACCAGTTATAGAAACAAGGACTGTAAGGACTGTAATTGTCATGAGTATTTCTTTTCTTCTTCTTTCTTTCTTTTTTTTTTTTTTTTTTTTGAGACAGAGTCCCGCTCTGTAGCTCAGGCTGGAGTGCAGTGGCACGATCTAGGCTCACTGCAACATCTGCCTCCCAGGTTCAAGCAGTTCTCCTGCCTCAGCCTCCTGAGTAGCTGGGATTACAGGTGTGCACTGCCATGCCCGGCTAATTTTTGTACTTTTAGTAGAGAGGGAGTTCCACCATGTTGGCCAGGCTGGTCTTGAACTCCTGACGTCAGGTGATCCACCCGCCTGGGTCTTCCAAAGTGCTGGGATTACAGGCATAAACCACCATGCCTGACTGAGTATTTCTTTCTTAATTTGTTATTTATATGTCTGTGTGTGTCTCTGTGTGTAAGTGTATATATATCTTTTGTTCTCTCTCTTATTCCCTTATTATGTAACATAACAAGTATTGACTTTTTTTTTTTTTTTTTGAGATGGAGTCTTGCTCTGTCACCCAGGCTGGAGTGCAGTGGTGTGATCTCCGTTCACTGCAAGCTCCGCCTCCTGGGTTCATGGCATTCTCCTGCCTCGGCCTCCCGAGTAGCTGGGACTACAGGCACCCACCACCACGCCCGGCTAATTTTTTGTATTTTTAGTAGAGACGGGGTTTCACCATGTTAGCCAGGATGGTCTCGATCTCCTGACCTCGTGATCTGCCTGCCTCAGCCTCCCAAGGTGCTGGGATTACAAGCATGAACCACCACGCCTGGCTGACTTTCTTTCATAGTAGTTAAATATTGTCATTTTACAACATGATATTTAAGTTTTGGGATATAAACGAAAAATATAAACATCATCCAATTATTTTGCTTATTTTTCTGGGGAAATATTTCATGTGTTTTTGGTTGTACACAGGATGTTTGCACCATGTTAGGCAGAAGAATGACCTTGTTATTATCTCTTCAAGATGTGCATGGTTGTCAAGTTGACAAGGGATGCTTATGATGATTAATTTTGTATCAACTTAACTGGGCCATAGGGTGCCCAGATATTTGGTTAAACATTATTCTGGGTGTTTCTATGAGGGTGTTTGGAGATGACACTTAACATTTCAATTGGTAAAGTGTATTGCCCTCCATAATGTAGTTGGGCCTCATCGAATCATTTGAATTCCTGAACAGAACAAAAGGCAAACCATACCTTGAGTAATGGAAAATTTTCCAAAAGAGTGCTTTTGGGCTTCATCTGTACCATCCGTTCTCCTGGATCTTACTTCAGATTTGAACTTTGAACTTGCCAGTTTCCAAAATTGTGCAAGCCAAATCCTTATTACATATAACATATGTAATATATTGTATATTATATACACACACACACATATATGTGTGTGTATTTTATGTGTATTTCTCTCTCTATATATATATATATATATAGCAAACAACAACAAACATCGAAAGGCATACAAAGGAGGAAAGTATGGGCTATTCACACACAGAAAAGAAAAAACAGAAACCATCAAATATATATATATATATATATATATATATATATATATATACAGAAAGAGAGAGAGAGAGAGAAAGAGAGAGAAAGACAGAGAGACAGAGAGAGCGACAGAGAGACAGAGAGATGTGTGTAATACTCTCAGGAGAACTGTGACTAATACAAGTGGCCTAATGCTAAGTCCAAAGAAGCAACTCTCCTGGGCTTTTAGTGGTGCAGGCTGTCTTTGGGTGTCATTTCTAGACATTAAATCCAGCTGTCTCACTCCTGTCATGGATTAAGCAATTTAATGCCTTGTGCAAAGTCCTTCTCTGCTTAAATTAGTTAGTCAGGAGCCTTTTATCTGTGAATACATTTTCACTGACACACAGAGGGATTATCATGAAGTCATTACAAATATTGTGATTGGTTCATGTCCTTCAACACATAGTAAGTGGCAAAAAATGGGCTGCAAAAACATTACATATACAATGATAAGAATAAAGGGAAAAATAAAATTAAAATTACATATTATAAGAATGTGTTTGTGTATGTGTGTGTATATATCTCTCTATATATATCTATATATATCTCCAATCCTCCCTCTGACCTATGTACTATTTTTATACACTACAATTTTACATATGCTTTAGACACAAAATCTGTTATTATTTTTGCTTTAAATAGTAAGACTTTAGAGAAATCAAAAATGAGAAAGCCAGTAAATTTTATGTTACCTTTGTTCATTTCTACTGCTCTTCATTTTAAAAGATTAGGAGTGTGGTTACATGATAGGACTAGTTAAGTAGGGAGCTCCAAGAATTGGTTCCTCCACTGAAGCCACCATTAATCTTAGAAAAACTGGCAGAATCCACTTTTACTAAAACTCTGCAATCTAATTCAACACTTACAATAATCAGAGAATATCTATTGAAAAAAGAGAAAGCTGAATTTTAGTAAGAAAAAACTGTGGCTTTTTTTCTGACCCACAGACAATTCTTGATTCCCTAGATCACCAGTGGCCCTGGGAATCACAACATGAATTTATGATGTGGCTTGCTGGTGCCACTGCCTGGGTGGTAGGTGGCAGAATATAGACCTTGTTCTGAAAATAAATTGTATTTGTAGGTTTTGACTTATGTGGCAGTTCCCTGAGAGACCAGCACAGAGGCTGACCATTGTTTCATCTCTTTCTGCTGGAGGAGGCTTTTAGGTATCATCTCATGAAAGTGTTTGGAGTGCTACCCATAGCCACCTAAGACAAGTGATGGAGGACGGAGCAGATACCAGATGGTCCTAAAGGTCTGGGAATGAGGTGGCTACTGAGGTAGACTCTTGAGGAAGTAAAGGCACTGCACATAATGAGTAATCTGGAGTGTAAAGTCTACACCCAAAGATAAATACATTCTCATAAAAAGAACTGACAGTGCCCTAGACTTGCAACTCTGGGTATCTTTGGGCATGGAACTTCATGAAAGCTAAGGCTGAGTTATAGGTGGCCTGTCTAAACAATAAAGTATTGTACCAGCTCAGGGCCAATATGAAAAGACCAAAATCTTTTTTTTGTTGTTTTTTGTTTTGGCTCCAGGCATTTAAGGAAATCTCTATCAGGTCACAGGTCAAATGAGGAAATAATGAAACAGATTGCAAGACTATGTACAATAAAGAATGCGGTCTTCATAAAAATACTTTGCAAAAATAAAAAAACAGAATGCAGTTCTTTACTATCACCATCAACAAACCGTGGGGAGGGGGAAGGATCTGATTATCATAGTTACAATATTATAATATTCACAGCGTCAAGTTTTCAACATCAACAACAAACATCAAAGGCATACAAAAGAGGAAAGTATGGCCTATTCACACACAACAAAGAAAAAACAGACAGAAACCGTCAATGATAAAGCCCTAACATCGGATTCATTAAACAAAGAAATTAAATTAACTATCTAAAATATGCTCAAAGAGCTAAAGTAAATCGTGAACAAAGGAAACTGTGAACAGGAGAATTACATATGAAAAAATAGAGAATAGCAACAAAGCAATAGATATTATAAAAAATGAATGAAGTAGACATTCTGAGCCTGAAAAGCATGATAACTGAAACAAATAATTAACCTAGAGAGGTTCACTAGTAGATTTGAGCAGGCATGAGAGAATCAGTGAATTTGAAGCTAGGACAATTGAAATTATCCAGTCTGGAGAGCAGAAAGAAAAAATAATAAAGAAAAATTTATAGAACCTAAGGGATAAGAAATTGTGGGGGGCAAAATGCAGTGGGATGACATATTTAAAGAGCTTAAAATAAAATAAAACTGTCAACCAAGAATTCTATGTCCAGCAAGCTATCATTCTCAATGAAATGAGAAATTAATACTTTCCCACATAAACAAAAGCTGAGGAAGTGTATCACTAGGAGGCCTGACCTCTAAGAAATGCTGAATAGAATCCTTCAGGCTGAAATAAAAGGAAACTAGACAGGAATTTGAACACATATGAAGAAATAAGAGCTCTGGTAAAGGTAACTATACAGGTAAATACATAAGCCAGTATTATTAAATTTTTGATGTATAACTCCTCTTTTTATATCCTATTTTATTTTAAAAACAAATGCATAAATAGTACTTTTAACTTTGTGTTAATAATCATGCAATGTATAAAAATGTTATTTGTGACAACATAAAGGGGGATACTGAACTGTACAAGAACAGAGTTTTTATATGCTCTTGAAGCTAATTTGATATCAATTCACACTAGATTATTTTAAATTTCAGATTTAAATGTAATCCCCATGGTAACCACTAAGAAAATATCTAAAAATATACATAAAAGGAAATGAGGTGGGAATTAAAATGACAAACTAGAAAAAAATCAATCTAACACAAAAGAAAGCAGTATTGGAGGTTATCAGTGAGCAAAGAGATAAAAGACATGCAAGAACTAAATTAAAAAATCACCAGTAGTCACTTTAAAGGCAAACGATTGAACTCACTAGTTAAAAGACAGAGACTGGCAGAATAGATTTTGTTTAAATGGTCCAACTATATGCTGTCTAAAAGAGACTCATTTTAAAGCCAAAGACACAAATATTATAGGTTGAAAATGAAAGGATATAAGAAGATAGTCCATGCAAATAGAGCTAGAGTGGCTACACTAATATTTGATAAAATAGACTTTGATTCAAAAATTGTTGCAAGAGACAAAAAAGGTATTAAATATTGATTTAAAAGATCAATTCACCAAGGAGATATAACAATTGTAAATACATATGTACCAAACAATAGAGCCCCAAAAGATATGAAACAAATATTGACAGAATTAAGGGAAGAAATAGATAGTTCTACTACAAAAATGGTTGGAGACTTTGTACTAGTTTTCTAGGGCTGCTATGACAAGCTGTCTTGAATTGAGTGGCTTAAAACAAAATAAATTTATTATCTCTCAGTTCTAAAGATGAGAAGTCTGAAATCAAATTGTTGGCAGGTCCATGCTCCCTCTGAAGTTCCTAGGGAAGAATTATTTCTTGCCTCCTCCAATTCTTGATGGTTGAAAGCCATCCTTAACATTCCCTGCTTTGTAGCACCATGACTCCAATCTGCCTCCATGTTTACATGGCCTTCTTTCCTGTTTATGTCTTCAGATTTCTCTCATCTTATAAGAACAAAAGTTTTTGGATTTAGGGATTTAGGATTTAGATTTTAATACAATAAAAACTCATCTTAGTTTAATTATATCGAGTTATGGCTTCAACATATTTTTGGCGGGACACAATTCAACCAACAACTGTGGTAATAGACATGTAAAATAGGGTGAATGCATGATACTGACAAGGTGTGCACACAGCAACAAGGATATCTTAAAAACACTTATCTGAGGGAAAAAGGAAGAAGCAAAATTGCATTTACGTAATTTAAAATGTATGCATACAAAACAGGTCTACACATTTTATGATGTCATCTACAAGGAAAGAATGCATGCCAACTATTACATTAAATTAAATTAAAATGAAACCTGTGCTCAGGGGTAGAATGAAGCAGGAGATGGGGACTGATAAGGTTTGGATCTGTGTCTCTGCCCAAACCTCATGTCGAACTGTAATTCCCAATGTTGGAGGTGAGGCCTGCGGGAACGTGATTGGATCATGGGGGTGGTTGCTCATGAATGGTTTAGCACTCTCCCCTTGGTGCTGTCCCTATGACAGTGAGTGAGTACTTGCAAGATCTGGTTGTTGAAAAGTGTATGGCACCTCCCCCTTCACTCTCTCTCTCTTCTTCCTGCTCTGGTCATGTGATGTGCCTGCTCCCCCTTCACCTCCTGCCATGATTTTAAGTTGTCTTAGGCTCCCCTGGAAGCTGAGCAGATGCTCAGCTATGTACTCAGCATCATGCCTTCTGCACAGCCTGCAGAACGGTGAGCCAATTAAACCACTTTTCTTTATAAATTACCCAGCCTCAGGTATTTCTTCATAGCAATGGGAGAACAGAATAATACAGGAACAAAACATAAAATGAAAGAGAGGCTGTTCTCAAGTTAATAAGGAGCCTTGATCTGAGTGGTATGCTTGATGTCCTGTGCACCTGAGGTCCAAAAAAGAATTGATAATAAAATAAACACATAGAAATAATTGTCAACACTTATTTAGCACTTACCATGTGTCAGGTACTGTGCTAGCTCTTACAGACATACAAAGTAGGTGCTAGAAATACCTCCAGTTTACAAATGAGGAAACTGAGGCTCAAAATGGGAAGGCAAGTCATCCTAGGCAAGGCCACACAGCTGGTGGAGCCAGGAATTGAATTTAAAAATCTGGCTCCAGAGCCCTGTTCTCAGCCATGCATGAGAAAGTTGTCACGTATGCTATATGTCTGTATGTTTATATACAGTCCTGCATTATTTAATGATGAGGAGACATTCTGATAAATGCAACGTTAGGCAATTTTGTCATTGTGTGAATGTCATAGAGTGTACTTACACAAACCTAGATGATGTATATGCATATTATTATATGTATATTATATATATTTATAATATTATATACTTATATATTTATAATATTATATACTTATTTTATATATATTTTTTACATGGAAAACCAAATGTCCCAGCATCATTACTAAATATCAGTCATTTCCCCTACTTGATCTGCAATGCCAATAACAAGTGCCATAAGTTAGGTTTCTATATATGCTCCATTATAATATTATGGGACCACCATCATATATGTGGTCCATTGTTGGTTGAAATGTTGTTATGTGGTACATGACTATATATTCTACCTGTCTATCTATCTTATCAATGTCTAACTAACACAGTAAAAGTATTCTTAACAACTTTATTTCTTGTTTGAGCTCTTAAATGGCATTTTGAAATGTTGTAATATCAATCAATATAAACTTATAGAAATATTAATCATTGAGATTAAACCAAACCAAATCTCTAGGCCAAATCCCTATCAATCTCTTTAAGAAGAATATCGGATGGTAGTTTGTTCTGCATTTGTGATTATCTTAAAATAGTATGTAATGTAATATAGGAGAGAAAAATCATGAGTATTGAGTTTTCCTTTTGTTTGGAAAATGGCTAAATTGTATCTTATTGAAACTTGATACTATAGATTGATTCCCTTTTCAAATTCCCTTGGATATGGATTTTGTTTGATCTTGATTCCACATTCTCAATACTGAAAGTTTTCTTTGATGCCAGACATCTGGGGGTCACTTAACAAATGAAACAGCAGGGACTCATTTAAGTACCCAAATCTACCTTAGGTCCTAGAGATTGCAGCTGCCCCAGATCTGTACAAATCTGAAGTCACAGAATAAGGACTACAAGATTATCAACAAAAGAATTAAAGTAGGTATGGATTTTACTCACTGCCATTTGACTTCCTTAGAGAGAGATGGCTTGTAGAAGATGTGGCATTTTCTATCTCTCCCCAGAGACACAGTGGGGACTCTGTTTAGTCCTCGAAGGGCACTGTTTATAATATGAAAATGTGCTTCTGGGAAGATTTCCTATGGCTACCACTTTCTCAGATGACCTGGTGCCATATTAATAAAATGTTAAACCCACAAACTCCTGATGAGTCAATAAATAATGTAGGCTGAAATCACTAAATATTATGCCTCTGGGGGCTGTTCCATCGAAATGTACTGATTCAACACTTTTCTTCCGAGAAAGTTCTGCCTCATTCAGCATTCCTGCTGTGGAGTTTGCCAATCTGAATACCAAGGCCCTGGAAGGCTGCTGTCACCTTTCTCAGCACACAAATGATGGGGATGTAAGGCTGGTGCTCATGGAATTGCAATTGCCTCTTGTCTTTAAAGGCAGTTAATTTCTACCCAGTTTCTGAGACTGTGGAAGGAAAGCAGACAAGGTCTCTGCTTGACTAGTAGATTTTGCTCTTCCCCACCCTCACCATAAAGTTCAAAGGCACAAACTGAAAAGATTTTGAAAGCTGGCTCAAAGCCTTTTTCTTCTGTTAACAAAAAGTTAGAGTATTTTGCTTGGGAGGATCAGTTTCATAATTGTATCAGGGCTCCTATTCTAGAATTTCTAGAGCCAATTCTTCAGTAATGGGCATCTCAAGCAAGCACATGCAAGTTGTATGTTTATTAACAATTTTTTTTAAACTGGCAACGCTTCTCATGTTCCCTTACAGAGGGAGGAAGACATATCTGGAGAGACTGTGGAAAGAGCAGAAGAAAACATAAACTGATTACACCCACAGAACAATTGCTGATGGAACATGAAGGATGCTTTAGGGAAAGCACCCTGATGTTTCACATTCAAATTGCCTCATCATGTGTTTTTAAGGTGCTGCCTGTCTCCAGGCACAGAGGTGCCTGGAACTAAAACCTCAGTGTTTGTCCTCTCTGTATTATCCTTGGCTCCAGAGCAAGGAGAGAGTTCCAGGACAGGTGTGTACAGTGTTTGCAGGTGAATCTGCATGTTGGTCTGTGCACTCGTTTCTCCTTTCCACCCCAGCAGTCAGTGGTGATTTATAAGCATCCTTCTGCATGCCCTTGTGATGTGAGGGAAAGAGCAGAAACATTTGGTTTAGAAAATAAATGGAGTCTAAGTAAGACCTTGAGCCTTTAGTGGGTTAGTTGTCAGCTTTTGGACAGATCCCTTTACCTTCTTACCCTTAGCTTTCTCCCCTATGAAACGGGGCCATGATCTTGTAAAAGGATGAAAATGACATGAGTAATTGCAAATAATTATAAACATCAGGGAAAATTCAATCTACATCTACTACGCCTTCCATTCCTTTTCAACTATGTTATACATTTCTTTTAACTTTAGCTATTCATGGTGCAAGGGATCTTCCAGATCTCTAGAAAGCTAATTCAAAGACTGACATTAGAAAACTTTACAGAAAAAAAAAGATTAAAGAGTTGCAGGCATGGGTGCAAAGAGCAACATAGCTGCTAAAGGAAGCTTGAAATCTTTGTCTAGTCCTGGGGACCCAGCTGGAGTTGTCAGGAATCAGCAGAGCAGGTGTTCAGCTGAGGTTTGGAAGAATTCTTAGCCCATTGAAATACTTTATGGGCCGGGCATGATGGCTCACACCTGTAATCCCAGCACTTTGGGAGGCCAAGGTGGGTGGATCACGAGGTCAGGATGTTGAGACCATCCTGGCTAACACGATGAAACCCTGTCGCTACTAAAAAATACAAAAAAATTAGCTGGGCATGGTGGCAGGCACCTGCAGTCCCAGCTACTTGGAAGGCTGAGGCAGGAGAATGGCGTGAACCTGGGAGGCAGAGCTTGCCATGAGCCGAGATCGTGCCACTGCACTCCAGCCTGGGTGACAGAGCGAGAGTCCGTCTCAAAAAAACAAAACAAAACAAAAAAACTTTATAAAGTCCTGATGCGGTGGCTTATGCCTGTAATCCCAGCATTTTGGGAGGCCGAGGTGGGCAGATCACTTGAAGTCAGGAGTTCAAGACCAGCCTGGCCAACATGGCAAGACCCTGTCTCTACTAAAAATACAAAAGTTAGCCGGGCGTGGTGGTGGGCACCTGTAATCCCAGCTACTTGGGAAGCTGAGGCAGGAGAATCGGGTGAGCCTGGGAGGTGAAGGTGGCAGTGAGCTGAGATCACACCACTGCCCTCCAGCCTGAGCAATAAAGTGAAACTCTGTCTCGAAAAAAAAAAAAAAAAAACTTCATAAAAATGCTAAAATATTTATCCAGAATGCTCATTTATTTCTAGGATGAGGTTTATGCATTTCATCATGCAAAAAGTTCTGTTCAGGTCAGGACTAGAACAAATATTAATATATATTTACAAATGTTTGCAATGTACAAAAGGCTCTGTTAGTGATCTGCTGTAAAGAAAAAGAAAGGCTGCATCAGCCTTTGAAGTTTTGTTTGCCTTTGAAGCTGGAGGAAGTCATATTGCCTGAGTGCTGCTCTTCACATTAAGAAGGTAGGGCCACTTGAGGGACACCATCTGACAGGCTGCAATCTAGGAGAGACCTACAGGGTTCCAAAGGCTCAGTGTGCTAATTTCTGAAACAGGATAGAACCTCCCATCACCTCAGAGCGATGGGACGGCAGGCAGGCCTTGGCGAGCCTCACTTCATCTCCACCCTCTTCATGAAGCCCCTGACTTTTAGTTCTCTGCCTAACAGTCCAGAAGGGACTGGCCATTTCCAGCTAAAGGTCAGGCTGTCTTAGGCATAGTTGAAGTAACAGAATCATCCTTATTGCTGGTTGCTTTTTTCACTTTTATTTCTTTATTTCCTCTTCTCTTGAGGCTTTCAGAGGCACATTTTGGTGAGAGAAAATAAGTCTAAACATTTATGAATTAGAAATATTGGCTTCTGGCATCCTTGTGCCAGTTGTGTGGGAATCTATTTCTTAATAAGATCATAATTAAGAGCACGGTTGCAGATTGTGACTGTGTTTACAGGGGCCACTGAACTTGGCCTGTAAATAACAAACAAAGTCATAAAAACTATCCAGAGAATAAAAGGTGCATCCTACAGTGAAGCCCTAAGAGACGGTAGTCCCCAGGCTGGCTGGAGAGCAGCACAGTAGCCACTCTGCTGCAGCGGGAAGGGATTGAGGAGATGTCACGGAGTCTGAGTGGCAGAGCCAGGGCCAGATCCAGCCCATGAGGTCACAGGCTGAGGAGTTTCTGAGTTTCAGAGCCACAGGCACAGCCCAACCCCAGGACTGAAAGATGCCAGTTACTCATCCAGTCCCCAAGGAGTTCCTGCCGCTGACCTTTGAGAGAGAAGACCCCAGGGAACAAGCCTTTCACCAGAAGGGGGAAACTGGAGCTTGAGTAGCTGACATTAAATACTCATGTTGTCTTTGGTTATAGATTTAATCTCCCTGACTCTGTTTATTTTTCGTTTTTGTCTTTCATCATGAGTATGTGGTCCTAAAGCAGTGAATCTCAAACTATGTTTCTAAAGCATCTGAACCTGCTGGGAAATGAAAAGTTACCCACTATTTAATATAAATATACATGCATATACACATACACATACAAATGCATATACAAATACATATGCAAATACATGCACAAGTGCATATACATGAGCATGTATCCACGCATATCATATACATGTACACATACACATACATACATATACACATATAGACATATGCATATACATAGACAAAAGTATAGCTGTTTTGGCTGAAGCTCCGGTCTCACTCACTCAACTCACACTCACCCTCTCCCTCGTCTGGCCTTCATAGTGACACCTAAGCACCCTCACAAAAAGCCTAGGCTCTGCCCAACTCCACTTTAAAACCACTGAGCTTTGATTCAGTCAAAAGCTTGTCCTCACCAACCAGCTTGCCAGTGAATCTGAAAATGTGGACCTTTGCGTGAGTCAGTGCTTTCTGACATCAAAATCTCTTGAAGGAAAGAGGATCGTTCCCCTATTTTAAAGATTGAATTTGGCAAAAAATTTAAAAAAAAGAAGTAAGAATTTCAAGACAGATGGAAAAAATCTTTAGGGCTAAACAAAATCTCATAAAATGAATGAGGAGGAACTAAGCATAAACTATGTGATATTAATGGGTTAGAGATGTGCAGAAGTTTAGGGAAGATATTATACATGAGCAGAGCATTTAGAGATTGATGGGTTTCTGGATAAGTGGAGGGAAGCAGTGTAGGAGGAAAAAGCCATGGGTAAAATAAAAGTTCCTGATGATCACAGATGTCACAGGACTGGAGGAGTTTGTGCTATAAAAGGGAGAGGGATCGTAGTTGAGATAATGAGAAGATGAGAGAGACTCGTAGGAGCCTCATTATGGAATCTACGGAGGGCTGATAAGGGCAGGGCTGATCCTGTCACTCAGATAGGATGTAGAATGCTATCTCTGAGTGGGACAAGAACTCTGCCAGGCTGGTTCAGGACCGGGCGAGTGAGGGTGAGGTCTTGCTCAGCATTTTCAATGAGTGGGCCAATCAGTGGCTCTATGAAAATGGCAGAGATTCCTTCCTTGGTCCCTGTTGGATAGTCACCTCGTAAAATTGATCCTAATTTCTGACAACTACTCATGAAATATGCCTGCATTTTCCCATGCCAAACATTTGCAAACCATCTATTTGAAAAGTTTAAATGGATATTGTTAACTGAAAAAAAAAATCCACAATTTTTAAATTTAGAAACGGAAAGGAGACTTTTTTCTTATAAAGGGTTACATCCTGCAAGGTGGCCAACCTGCAGGCTGGGAAGCATGCCTCTGGCTGAAGCCCGGAGACAGGCACTTTGAAGGAGAAGGGGTTGAGTTGTAGAAGCTTCATTCTGAATAGGTTGACTAAACACACATATTCAACAAGTTACAGGAGGAGCTGTGAATATTCATGAAGGTGGTCCTGACACATGCCTAGTGAACAAACATGCATGTAACATACAACCCATATTCACCTTGGGGTGGAGAGTTACCATTTAAATTTGTTACAGTTTAGCCCTATATGTCAACAGGTTTTATCAGGAGACAAAGGCACTTAAGTGTGCAACCTCTGTAAACCAGCCAGAACCAGTCCATGATTGGTGGGCTCTTATCAGGAGAAAGTTACTGAAATCAGTCTCTTGTCTGATCGAAGCTGTAACTATGGCTGGTGGAACAGGAGTTTAGTGAGTGAGTGTCTGTCTGTGAGCTGGATGGATTGTGATTGTTTTAATATTGCTTATGTTGAGGCTGGGGCTTGTTTAGCTGCTAGAGAAAAAGAAAAAGCTGTGAGAACATAGTTTATCCTTTCAGTGTAGGGGTGTGTGACTTACCTCTTGCTTGGCATGGTAGGTCCTGTTTATAATTTGGTATCTTATGGCCACAAAGAGTCTGTTCTGTCATTCTTACAGTCTCTATTTTAACATTAATGCTGGCTGTTGTGACTAAACCATAAAAGGGAAGGGGCATAACAAGGCATGTCTGATGTCCCATCCTGTCATGGCCAGGAACTCAGTTTTCAGGTTTCTCTGGGCTCTCCTTGGCCACAATGGGGTCTGTTCAATAGGTGGGAGAGTCTGGATTTTATATTTGTTTATTTAGACAGAGTTTCGCTCTGTCACCTAGGCTGGAGTGCAGTGGCATGATCTCGGCTCACTGCAACCTTCGCCTCCCCAGTTCAAGCGATCCTCGTGCCTCAGCCTCCCAAGTTGCTGGGACTACAGGTGTGAGCCACAACACCTAGCTTTTTTTTTTTTTTTTTTTTTTTTTTTTTTTTTTTTTTTAGTACTTTTTAGTATTTTTAGTAGAAATGAGATTTCCCCATGTTGGTTAGGCTGGTCTCAAACTCCTGACCTCAGGTGATCCACCTGCCTCGGCCTCCCAAAGTGTTGGGATTACAGGTGCGAGCCACTGTGCCCAGCTTGGATTTTATTTTTAGTTTACAACATGCATGCCCACACTTGCACATATATGCACACATGTGTGCACACACATATTTATAAGAAGAAAATATGGACAGCTGCTACAGTCTTCATTTCTGGCCACAGTATCGTAGCTAATATTTAACTCAACTAGTTGGGGATCCTTTTTCTTGTCGGGTGACCCAAACCTTAATTCCCAAAGGGTGTGAGTCCTTAGCAGTCCTGCCTTTGTGAGGTTGCTATTATTGTCCATTTCTATTTCCAAAGGCTGACAAAATAAATTACCACAAACTGAGTGGTGGCTCAAAAAACAAATTGATTTTGTCACAGTTCTAGAGGCTGGAAGTCCAAAATCAAGATGTCAGCAGAATGCATTCCTTCTGGAGGTTCTGAAAGAAAAGCCTCCCTAGGCCCCTCTCCTAGCTCTGATGCTGCTGGCACGTCCTGGTAATTTTTTGGCTTGTTGCTTCATCATTCCAGTATCTGCCTCCATTGTCACATGGCACTCTTTCTGTGTGTGTCTGTGTCTCTTCTCTGTTTCCTTTTTTTTTTTTTTTTTAAGACGGAGTCTCACTGTCTCCCAGGGTGGAGTGCAGTGGTGCGATCTTGGCTCACTTCAAGCTCTGCCTCCTGGGTCCACACCATTCTTCTGCCTCAGCCTCCCGAGTAGCTGGGACTACAGGTGCCCGCCACCATGCCTGGCTAATTTTTTGTATTTTTAATAGAGACGGGGTTTCACCGTGTTAGCCAGGATGGTCTCGATCTCCTGACCTCGTGATCCGCCCGCCTTGGTATCCCAAAGTGCTGGGATTACAGGCGTGAGCCACCGCGCCCGGCCTTCTCTGTTTCTTATAAGGACGATAGTCACATGGACTAGAGCCCACCCTTATCCAGCTCATCTACCCTTGATATCATTTGCAAAGACTGTACTCCCAAATAACATCACGTTCACAGGTATTGGGGGTTAGGACTTTAGCATAGCTTTTTCGGGGGACACAATCTAGCCCACAAAATTGTCCACTAACATTTTCTATTATGTGTGGCAGAGCCAAGAAGCACTCAAGAGCATCCCCTGGGTTTTTAGGGGGACATGGTTCTTCCTACCTCCCTTGTGAGCAGAAACCCAATTTCTGCTTAGGGATCAGCCAGGACAGTTACTCTATTCTTTGTAGTGGAATAAGAAGCCTCAAATGACAGAATAAAGCCTCAGTATCCCATTCAACAGATACAGCCTTATTTTCTCCAGCAGAAGCACTTCTGTCTTAGGAACTAGAATCTCCAAACCAGCAAAGCACAAGATTCTGGAGGGAGAAGCAAAAATCCTGCAGAAGAAATATGAGAAGAGCCATTTCCAATTATGCCTCTTTGATTTCCAGACTCCTGTATTCTGTTGATTGATTGCTGCTTCAAAGCATATACTAATTCCAGAATGCTGTCACTTTATTGGCGCTGTAACTGAGTATTCTCAGGCCATTGTGCCATTATATCAGGACAAGGCAGAAATTGGTGGAGGTCAGTGTTACAATCTGCTTGCCCTATCATGTGGCTGAGTGGTTCCCCCGGGAAGTTAATGCTGCTGAACCCTTGAGTGGCTTCTATCACCACTTCCTTAGCCACTTTATACCCAGACCCATTGAGCAAACACCCCGGAGCCTTCCAGCACACCCACTGAATGTGTCATCACATCCCCCTGATTCCTGAAAGTCTCCTGTGTAGCAGATGACCTTCAGGGAACATTCACGTGGGACACAGGTATGCCCCACCCTGTGTCCCTTCTGAGAAGTCCATTTACACATCTCTTCTTCAGTCTGTCACTAGTTATCCAATGCCATTCTTTCCCAGTCTCTGACCATCTACTCAGAGAACCACACATGAATTTGTGTAGATCTGTACTTCTGGCCATCTGTTACGCAGATAAAATGAAAAACTAAATTTTACTGCTACAAGTTTTGTCCACTGGGAAGCTATCCTTTTCCCTTTGTTCTTCAGCACTATCCTTGAGTGAGACAGTAGCATTGGCAGCGATCCACTTATGGCTGGTGCCAGCATAACAGAACCATCTGCAAACCAGCTGCCGTAGGCAACTCCCAATGAGGTCCTAAGTGTAAATTATGGGAAGAAAAGATGGAGAAGAAGGAAAAGATGGAATCGGAGTCCTTAGCAGTCACCTGCTCATGAAACCTGTTTCTGGACTTGCCGAATCTTATTCTCCTCCCACCTTATGGCCTAGTGTGTCGGTGCATAGCCAATTCATGATGAACAGTGGTCATGAAGTTCTCATTTTGTCTTGACAAAGCTCAGTAGCATAGCAAGATAAGAGTTGATTCTTAAAATAATAATTATATGCAGAGTAGAACATGGCTTTTCTCCAAAGCCCTATATATTTGCATTGCGATTCTCATTTGGGCTTGCCAGAAGCTCCTGAAAACAGATATTCAATTATGCTTTTATTTATTTATTTATTTATTTATTTATTTATTTATTTATTTTGAGACGGAGTCTCGCTCTGTCACCCAAGCTGGAATGCAGTGGTGAGATCTCAGCTCACTGCAACCTCTGCCTCTTGTGTTCAAGCAATTCTCCTGCCTCAGCCTCCCGAGTAGCTGGGACTACAGGTGCCCGCCATCAGGCCTGATTAATTTGTGTATTTTTACTAGAGATGGGGTTTCACTATATTGGCCAGGCTGGTCTCGAACTCCTGACCTTGTGATCCGCCTGCCTCGGCCTCCCAAAGTGCTGGGATTACAGTTGTAAGCCACCACACCTGGCCTTCAATTATGCTTTTATGTGTGTCCATATGGCCCCAGTCACTTACCTTGGAGCTTTGTTGGTTACTCAATAAATGGGTTGGGACAGCACTCTCAAATGTGGTATTTGTTGCCTCCAAAGACATTTTCTCAACACCGTGCCCATTTTTTAGGGGTAGGTAATAGATGAAATAACAACTTCTGTTTCACTTTGGAAGAAATGCCCAAACATGCTTCAGACCACAGGGCCATGAGAAACCTCCCCAAGGCATGGGCCTCGAGATTTCATGGGGTTTATTGTTCACTCTTTGCCACACATGTGTCTCATTAAGACATTTAGGGTTCTTGCTGTGCTTGCTCACCAGATTCAACCAAGATGGTGTCCTGGGTATGGTGGAAGAAGATGTTCTCTGGGATGCAGACATTTCCCTGAACAAGTCCATCACAGAGAGCAGGAGAGTCTGGCCTCTTCAGATGTGAGCCATCATTAAGTTCAAATTCACTCCACCATCCATGCAAACTGTGAGAGCTGCTCCATGGTGCCCAAATCAGCACATTCAGCTAGAATCTCTGTAAGTGCTCTCACATGGATGGGGTCAGCCTTATTCAGTGTTGAATTCTGTGCTCTGTGGTGTAATGTTCTTAGGATTCATGCACTACATTTACCCATGTTTCTGGTACTTTGAATTGGTGAGTATTGCCCTTTTTATCATTTTTCTTCCCTCTCTCTTTTTTTTCTCTCTCTCCTATAAACCATGTCCTTCTGGATTGGACTTTGCTTTTCTCCCTGTGGAACATACTTGACATTTGTGACCCTAATTATGGGTCTCATGCACTAATGGGTGATGGGAGTGAGCCCTGAGAGTTTTAGATATCACCTTACCAGGGAGCTCAAGCATGTGAAGTTATTAAAAGGTCTTCAAATAAGGGAAGATTCTACAGGCAGGGAGAGGAGGCTGCTTCCTTCAGCAAGGATGGCTTAGAGAGACTTGGGGTGTAAATTTCCCAGCTTTTCTTGAATCCACACAGATAACCCAATTCCAAGTCTTGGAGAGCCCCCTGCTACAATCAAAGCCCAACTTTTACACAAATGTATTGGCGAGTCTGAGGATTGAACTTACACTGTAATTTTGTACCTACTCCATTAAATTCTGCATCTATTTTATACAGCTCTATCTGCCTTGCTGCTTGTAAGTAAAACAAAGATGTTTTGTTTTGGTTTTAGTGTCACTGGAGAAGCTGTCTGATTCTCTGAACATGACGCAAGCCTTGCTGTCACCACCACCGTGAAGGTCAGATACAGCACCCAAGGTACTTGCTGCAATAGGCCTTTCTTCCCCTGCAACTGAGGTGATAATTGAATCATAATACCACTGCACGCCTTGGGTTATAGGAATCCCGTTTCCCACTCAGCATTGCATTCAAGACAAAGGACATACCAAGTCAACCCTAACATCTCACATCAGATGTTCATAAACGGCTCACATTTTCTGTACTTTATGCATATTTTTTTACTCATAAAAGAGTCAAGGGGAAACAGCTTTGAAGAAGGAGCCCAAATGATATTAGCGTTCATACTTATTTTTAGACTTCAAAAAGATAGGTATCTAAACCCTACTTACTGGATAAATGTAAGGGTGTATTTTAGCCATTGTAGATTTCCTAACAGTAATTATTAACTATACAACCATACAAACTCATTATTAAGTACTTAGTGTGCTTTTGACATCAGCTCCATCTCGATTTCTTTGAATTGCATGAGCTGTTTTGTAGGACAGTACACATCTGTCCTGGAAGTGTCCCAGAGAGCCAGCAAACCCCTCACCTGCTGGACTGTGGCTGTGTTGGGAACCTGTCTACGTTTAAAACTCCAATGCTTTGACTGAGTGGTATTGGCTGGATAAAATCTGTGGTCTTTGTGAGCTCTACAAGGGCAAAGCTGGTTAACTTGTTCATTTCAAAGGAGTAATCTTAATATTGTTAATGTGGCTTGTGGCATCAAGGTTATTAGAATTTAAGGACTTAATAGATTTCTCCATCTACTACATCAATGGTAATTGTAGAAATTAGCTAAAATGCACTACTGCTTAAATGCAATGGAAAAATATTTCTTTCTTCCTTTCAAGACTTTAAGAGGTCTGAAATGTTTCTGTCCAGGCCCTTGCGCCTCTGCCACCGCTGTGAGAAGTACATATCCTGGCCAGCCTGCTGACTCAGGAGGTTGAGAATCAGGTGCAGCAGACCAGAGCACTGCTTCAGTGTCAGGGTAGAGCTGCTCCATGACCCAGAGATTCATACGAGTAAGTTATTTTCCTCAAGACCAGTGAGTTTGTTACACAACAGAATTGTGGCCATACCCAACCAATACAGCATGAATCTTTTCCATTACGTTACTATACAATTACACAATTGATCGTTCTATATGCATTGTTTTGTTAAACTGCATGTCTTAGGGATCCTCCAAGGTTAGTACCTATAAGCCAAACTTATTCTTTTTAATGGCTGCAGAGTATTCTGCAGTATGGTTATAGCAAAACTTATTTATTCATTCCCCTGTCGATGAATATCTAACTTCCCAATCTCTCCTTAAATCAACAATGCTGAAATGAACATTTTTATGTATATATGCCTTTTCACACTTGGGCATCATATTTAAGATAGATTCCTGCTGTAAAGTTTATGAATCAAAATATGTACATATTTAAATTTTGAGAATTACTGCCACTTTTTCTGAAAGGCTACACATTTGCACTCCCACCAATGATGAATGAGAACATTGATTACCCTGCCTCTTCTAAATTAATCCCAGCCTAATAGATGAGGAAAAAGTCTCATGGTTGTAACATACTATTTCTTGATTTTTGAGTAAGTTTAACACATTTTCATATGCTTACTATGTTTGACTCTTCCGAGAGAGTATGTTCATGGTCTAAATTTTTCTATTAAAATGTTTTTCTTTCTTATCAATTTTAGGATCTCTTTATATATTCTTGATATTCATCCGTATTGATTAAATATGTTACAAATATTATCTACCAATCTACCACTTGCCCATTGACTTTACAGTATTTTGCTTTTTCACTAAAGAAGATTTTAGGTTTTTATGAAGACAAACGTTTCATTAGATTTATGTAGGACTTTTGATTTTTGCACATTGCCTAGAAATACTTGTACTTCACTTCAATATAATGAAACCACTCCGTATATTTTCTTTTACTAAATTTACAATCTTAACTTTTATCTGGCATTTATACCATTGCACTATTATGAAAACACTCTATAATGTTTTCTCCTAATAAGTTTACAGTACCATTTTATATCTGAACATTTTTTATAATGTAAGAAAAAATTTTTCCTATAGATATCTAATTATCTCCAAATTATTTATTGAATGAGCTATTCATTTACTATTGACTTTAAACACCATTATCTTTGTCATAAGCTACTATCTCATTAACAGAAGAGTATATTAATTTTTAAAGAGTTTTAAAAATTTTATAGCAAAAACACATAAAATTTACATCTTAATTGTTTTTAATGTACCGTTTAGTAGTATTAAGTACATTCACATTGTTGTGCAATCGTGACCACCATCTATCTCTAGAAATTCTTTAATTTGCAAAACTGAACATGTACCCATTAAAAAATAACTCATCATTTCACCCTCAAAAGGGTGAAAATCCTGGAAAGCCTGGAAACTGCCAGTGTACTTTCTGTCTCCATGAATTTGACTACTCTATGTATCTCATATAAGTAAAATCATGCAGCATTCTTTTTATGACCAGCTCTTTCACTTAGCCTAGTGGCTTCAAGATTCATCCATGTTGTAGCACGTGACAGGATTTCCTTCCTTTTTTAAGGATGAGTAATATTAAGGGTATATTTCTAAAACCTCGAGCCTGTTTATCTGTTTTATTTTTCTACTTTGGTACAATACTACAATGTTTTAAATACAACAGATCAATAGTGATAAGAAAAAGCTGGTATAGTTGGATATTTGTCCCCTCCAGATCTCACGCTGAATTTGATCTCCAGCGTTGGAGGTGGAGGCTAGTGGAAGGTGCTTGGGTCACGAGGGCAGATCCCTCGTAAATGGCTTGGTGATATCTGCTTGGCAGTGAGTGAGATCTTTTTCTAATAGTTCATGAGAGAGTTGGTTGATTAAAAGAGCCTGAGCTCCCCTTCCCTCTCTCACCCTCTCTCTCGCCCTCTCTCTCACCCTCTCTCTCGCTCTCTCTCTCACCCTCTCTCACCCTCTCTCTCACCCTCTCTCACCCTCTCTCTCACCCTCTCTCACCCTCTCTCTCACCCTCTCTCACCCTCTCTCTCACCCTCTCTCACTCTCTCTCTCACCCTCTCTCTCACCCTCCCTCTCGCTCTCTCTCTCGCCCTCTCTCTCGCTCTCTCTCTCACCCTCTCTCTCGCTCTCTCTCTCGCTCTCTCGCCCTCTCTCTCACCCTCTCTCACCCTCTCTCTCGCCCTCTCTCTCGCTCTCTCTCTCACCCTCTCTCTCGCTCTCTCTCTCGCTCTCTCGCCCTCTCTCTCACCCTCTCTCACCCTCTCTCTCGCTCTCTCTCTCACCCTCTCTCGCTCTCTCTCTCACCACAACATAAACCTGCTCCCCTTCACCTTCCACTGGTGGTGGAAGCAGCCTGAAGCCCTCACCAGAAGCAAATGCTGACACCATGCTTCTTGTACAGCCTACAGAACCATGAGCCAAAGAAACTGCTTTTCTTTATAAATTACCCAGCCCTAGGTATTCTTTTATGGGAACACAAAATGGAATGAAATACAAGTAAATTTGCCATCTTATCGTTCTCTTTGTAAAAATGAATTAGACATTCTCCACTGCTGTGGTCTGAATATGTCCCCCAAAATTCATATGTTGTAAACGTAATGCCCAATACAACAGTGTTGGGACATGGGGCATTTTGAGAGATGTTTAGGTTTCTTCAAATTGATATCATTATAAAAGGGCTTGAAGGAGAAAGTCTGGCCCCATTTCACCCTTCCTTCCTGATATGGTTTGGCTGTGTCCCCACCTGAATCTCATCTCGAATTCCCATATATTGTGAAAGGGAACCGGTGGAGGTAATTGACTCATGGAGGCAGATCTTTTCCGTGCTGTTCTCGTGATAGTGAATAAGTCTCACGAGATCTGATGGTTTTAAAAATGGGAGTCTCCCTGCAAAAGCTCTCTTCTCTTGTCTGCTGCCACGTGAGACATGCATTTCACTTTCTGCTGTAATTGTGAGGCCTCCCCAGCCATGTGAAACTGTAAGTCGAATAACCCCCTTTCTTTTGTAAATTGCCCAGTCTCGGATATGCCTTTGTCAGCAGCATGAAAACGGACTAATAATACACTTTTCTTCTGCTATGTGAGGACACAGCATTTGTCCCTTCTGGAAGATGCAGCATCCAAGGCACCACCTTGGAAGCAGAGAATAGCCGTTACCCGATAGTTAAGCCAGCCAGCACCTCAGTTGGACTTAGGCTGTAGAACGGTCAGAGATAAATTTCTGTTCTGTATTAATTACCTAGTCTCAGATATTCAGTTATAGCAGCACAAAACTGACTAAAACATCTGCCATATGAATTTTAAAAACCTTTTATCAAGTTCATAAAACTTTCAGTTAAATTGAAAATTTTCTTTTTTTGGGGGGGTTTATTATTATTTTTATTTTTTATTATACTTTACGTTTTAGGGTACATGTGCACAATGTGCAGGTTAGTTACACATGCATACATGTGCCATGTTGGTGTGCTGCACCCAGTAACTCGTCATTTAACATTAGGTATACCTCCAAATGCTATCCCTCCCCCTACCCCTACCCCACAACAGGCCCCGGTGTGTGATGTTCCCCTTCCTGTGTCCATGTGTTCTCATTGTTCAATTCCCACCTGTGAGTGAGAACATGTGGTGTTTGGTTTTTTGTCCTTGTAATAGTTTGCTGAGAATGATAGTTTCCAGCTTCATCCATGTCCCTACAAAGGACATGAAATCATCATTTTTTATGGCTGCGTAGTATTCCCTGGTGTATATGTGCCACATTTTCTTAATCCAGTCTATCATTGTTGGACATTTGGATTGGTTCCAAGTCTTTGCTATTGTGAATAGTGCTGCAATAAACATATGTGTGCATGTGTCTTTATAGCAGCATGATTTATAATCCTTTGGGTATATACCCAGTAATGGGATGGCTGGGTCAAATGGTATTTCTAGTTCTAGATCTCTGAGGAATCGCCACACTGACTTCCACAATGGTTGAACTGGTTTACAGTCCCACCAACAGTGTAAAAGTGTTCCTATTTCTCCACAGCCTCTCCAGCACCTGTTGTTTCCTGACTTTTTAATGATCGCCATTCTAACTGGTGTGAGATGGTACCTCATTGTGGTTTTGATTTGCATTTCTCTGATGGCCAGTGATGGTGAGCATTTTTTCATGTGTCTTTTGGCTGCATAAATGTCTTCTTTTGAGAAGTGTCTGTTCATATCCTTTGCCCACTTTTTGATGGGGTGGTTTGTTTGTTTTTTTTTGTAAATTTGTTGGAGTTCATTGTAGATTCTGGATATTAGCCCTTTGTCAGATGAGGAGATTGCAAAAATTTTCTCCCATTCTGTAGGTTGCGTATTCGCTCTGACGGTACTTTCTTTTGCTGTGCAGAAGCTCTTTAGTTTAATTAGATCCCATTTGTCAATTTTGGCTTTTGTTGCCATTGCTTTTGGTGTTTTAGACATGAAGTCCTTGCCCATGCCTATGTCCTGAATGGTATTGCCTAGGTTTTCTTCTAGGGTTTTTATGGTTTTAGGTCTGACATTTAAGTCTTTAATCCATCTTGAATTAATTTTTGTATAAGGGGTAAGGAAGGGATCCAGTTTTTCATGAGATGTATAGATTAACCTGGAGATAATTTACATTTTCCATGACTGTATCTTTCAGTGTAGGTATAGGGTATGTCTCCTCTTATTTTTTTTTTTTTAACATTCTTCAACAAAGTTTACAATTTTATTCACATCAGACTTGTATACTCTTTGTCAGGTTTATGGTAGAATTTGCTGGCAACTCTTCAAAATTTAATCAACCCTTTTCTTTGTGCAAGCAGTTAGATTCCCTTCCCAGCTTCCCTTGCAATTAGTTGGGGTCATATGACTGAGGTTGTAGTTAGTGGAATTTGAGCAGAAGTGATGGATGTTACTTCCAAGCCAGGACCTTAAAACCATCCCACACTTTCTCTAAGCTCTCTTTCCTTCCTGCCTTGGATGACAACTCCCAGGGTGATCTTGGGAGAAACCTGTGGAAGGTGACAGAACCCCTGTGTCCCTGAATGATGCAGTGGAGCAGAGTCCCAACCTCCCCCTCTGGACTGCTGCCCTGGGCTTTTGGATGAGTGAAACATGAACTGCTCTTGGATGGAGTTGTTACACGTTTGAGTCTGTTACTACAGCTGATTCTACCCTAATCAGTATCAAACCAGTGACCTTAAGAAGGTGTGATGCCACAGATGAGCCCTGAAATACATGAATGCCACTTCCAGGCCACCCCATAACAACCTTACATACACACTCTTCCATGCTTTCCTCCTCTCTGGCTAACCAGGATTGCAACTCCATGATAGCCTTGGAAGCAGGGTATAAAAGATGGCAGAGTCGCTGCTCACCTGTGCACCTAGAGCCTCCACACCTGCCTGGAACCACCTGGAACGTCACGTTGCTAAGGGAGTTGTTAGATATTGGGGTCTCTGTAATGCTAGAAGAGGTTCCATTTAGATAATAAAAGTTCTTCTTTGGGGTTTTGTGTGCATTTAAACAATTGGTAATGGCATTTGTTTCTTTCTATCATGTTTTCTAATTGGTTATTGTTAGTAAGTATTTTTAAATGTTTATTTTATATCAGACCACCTTACTAGTTAATATAGTTTATCAGTTAATTCTGTGAAATTTTGGGGTAGATTATCAGATAAAACTTTTTAAAATGGCAGTTTTGTCTTTTCTTCATGCTGTCTGTACAATGTTTCTGTATTTACTGCTAAGATTTCTTATTCACTGTTTGCATAAAAGTGGTGCTAGTAGGTGTCCTTTTCTTGTGTATAATTTTAACATGAATATTTATGATATTTTGCCATTAGCTATTATGTTTGCTCCAGTTTTCTAGATCTCTCTTATACAAAATTAAGAAAGTTTTCTTTTATTTCTAACTTCACTGTTTTGCTTTGTTTACATTTTTATCAGAAATGTAATCAGGATGTTGGTTTTAGCAAATGCTTTCTTGATATTGATTGAGATGATCTTGTTTTCCTCTTTTAATCTGAAGACATACAGAATTGAATTAATAGATTTTGAAACTATTGAATCATGTTTGCATATCTAAGTCTTGATTTTACAAGACACACACATTTTTAAAAATCATTATTCTGTGAAATTTGCTAAGATTTTTTGGGGTTTAATTTCTGCAGCTCTCTGTGTTAGTGAGATTGGCTGATCTCATTTAGTTTTGTGTCAGCTTTGTCTAGTTGTGGTGTTAGTTTTATACTAGCCTCACAGAATAAGGTAGCAGCCTTCCCATATTGTTTGATGCTACAGCAAAGTCTGTATCACACAGGGATAATCTAATCTATGAGCTAAAGTTTCATAAAATTTATTAACTCAAGAAAATCCCTGAACTTGGTTTCATTATTATGGATAGATTTTTTTCTTTTTATTATCTTTTAAATTTGGTTTAGATGCTTTTGACTGTTTGAATTTTGTTTCTTATTAAGTTAAAAATGATAATTTATAGTGTTCTCAAAAACTGTCCATTTAATCTAGACATTGAAATATATTAATTTAATATCTTATATTTTAAATATATTTATATATTTATACCAGCTTGCTTTTAAAATTATATTTGTATTTATATTATATTACAAAATATTTTTAAATGCTCTTTTCATTGCAAAGAACTGTCTTTTTATTTTAGTGATGAAATCTGTGAATTTTAGCTGCTAAATCATTTTGTTTAAATCTTATTATATTGCTTCTACTTTCTTTAGGTTGTTTTTTCTTTGATTTGATTACATTTTTCAATTATGGAAAATTTTCAGCTGTTAGCTCCAAATACCTCCTCTCCATTCTTTCTCTCCTAGAACTCTTACAGATTGTGCATTCTATCATTAATTCCTCCTAAATGATCATTCCCAGTCGCCATTTTTTATATATCTGCTGTAATCTGAGTGATTTCTCAGTGCTAATGTCTACCTCACTGATTCTCTCTGTTGCTATTTCTATGTAATCTGTTGAAAACTGCATCTATTGATAAATTATTTTCTTTTTTGCTATCCTTTCATTCTTTATTTTTAGTTTATTTGTTTTATGGAAGGAAATATGGCTTGTATCATTTTTGCTTTTAGGAATGTGCATAGCTTTTCTTTGCAGCCAGACACATAATCTATTTTTGTGCCTATCTGGGTAGGGAGGATTTCAAAAACACCTGGAGGCAAGAATAGGGAACATTAACTGCCTTAAAACCAGGATCAGTCCTGGCTCCCCAGGGGCTCAGCTCATTGGCTCCAGACAAGAGTTCTGATCTGAACATCTGAGTTAAGAAAAAAGACCTCATGTGTCTTCCTGTGCCATCCTGCTGGAGCAAGAGCCAGGAGACCTACAGGAGCGCTGCTTCCTCCTCCCTTTTATGCGCTTGTCTCAAGTCTGTTTTGGAGGCCATTGCAAAGGTGCTGCCTGCAGGAGCCAGCCCTCTGGGCGTGTGGAGGGAAGGGCACACTGACTAAGCTGCCCACAGGAGGGAAGCGGGACCAAGGACGTGGGAGGAAGCTCACATGGTAACTATGGGGCATAAGGCATTTTGAGAAAAGCAAGACTTTGAGGAGGAATTTTTAGGACTAAAGAATAGCATGAGTGTCTGGAAATCCTAGGGTAAAGAGCAACTCATAAGGAGAAAGAGAAAGGTGGGAGAGCTCAGAGGCAAAAGTCTATTCTTACCTGTGCCCTGGACTGGCCCTTCCCTACCCCATTTCCTAGACACCGAGATAGAATTTCATGCTGCTCACAGTGTCCGGACTGCAACACACCATTTCTGTGTTTCCTGTAGTTAGGTGGAGTTGATAATTTAAGTAACAGACAAAACTAAGAGACCCCTTGGCCAGTCTCAGGCAGCAAGCACAGTGTGTGCCCTTTATTATTTTATTTTATTTATTTATATTTTTTGAGACAGAGTCTCACTGTGTCGCCCAGGCTGGAGTGCGATGGCGGGATCTTGGCTCACTGCAAGCTCTGCCTCCCGGGTTCACGCCATTCTCCTGCCTCAGCCTCTTGAGTAGCTAGGACTACAGGCGCCTGCCACCATGCCGGGCTAATTTTTTTTTTTTTTTTTTTTTTTTTTTTTAGTAGAGACAGAGTTTCACCGTGTTAGCCAGGATGGTCTCGATCTCCTGATCCCCCCTCCTCAGCCTCCAAAAGTGCTGGGATTACAGGCGTGAGCCACCACGCCTGGCCGTGTGTGCCCTTGATACTAGTAATAGGCACATGTGAATTTTGTCCACACTTATGCAGAAATGGAGAAAGAAGCACTGCAGTAAACACCTAAGAAACAGCAATCAGAAAGGTTGTGGGCAAAGCTCGATATTCAGATGTGTCCTGGACTCCCCTCCAGTATCATTTTAATTACAAATCATCCATATGGAAACCTGGAGACTGTTTTAACTTTCCTTTTCAGTTTTTAGTTATATCTTACATCTTATATCACTTTCTAAAATTGAATAACCTGGAGATTAATTTATTTGCTTGTCACTTTTCCATTAGAAGCTTGAATTCATTTCTGTTTTCATTACCAGTACACAGTGGCTTGTCCCAAATTATCTTCACCCAAATCCTACCTGGATGAACTTACAGCATTTTAATAAAAATGGTTATTTGCTCTGGGAGAAAATTGTAATGGGCAAAATAAATCTCCTTATCTTTGAAGTAGTTTGAATGTGAGATCACAGTATGTCCTTTCTGTTAATACTTGGCTGCAGGATAATCCATGATTCCTTCTTTAAAAAAGTTCAGTACTAAAGTTGTTATGCAACATTTTATTAGAAGATAAAGTGCTCCCATTCTTCATATATACTCCATAAACTGCTGAGATGTCAAAGTGCTCCATAAATAATACAAGCTTCTTGCCCATCATTAACAAAAGACGCTGCTAAGTGGACAGAAAATTCAGTAATTCCCTTTTATGGAGATCACAGTACATACACTTAGTCCAATTTGCTGACCCTGCCATCAAAAATTACTGTCTGCAGAAACCCTGGCCTGGATTTTTTCACACTGAAAAATGGAGAGCTGGGGATTTTAATGGAAGACGCTGAACACTGGTTAAAATTCTGCCTTCACTTGAGAACTGGTCCACTGAGAAAAAATTATAACTATTGCTTCCCTTCCATTGAGAACACACTCTTCTATCAAAGGCATTCTGAGCCAGGAATCTGAGCTCTTTCAAGAAATCAGCTTATAGTAAGGCCAAATGAACTGCTAAGTCAGATCCCAGTGTGATGATATGCATGTTCCCATTTATGATATGTCATCAATCATGGCTCATGCCTCTTGATTGCACTATGATAAATATGCCACTCAAGCAGGTTCATCGTACATCAGAGCCAGGGAAGGCAGCTTGGGAAATGCACAGGGTAATGGGCAACTTGGAAAGTGTGCAAATCCAGACAAGGCAGGTGCCTGCAGGACAAATCAGCCAAAGCCAACCAGATGTCTGGGCACCTGGTGTGGACATGCTTTCCCTCAGCCCAGATTTAGTTTCAGTGCATCACGTCTCTGTGTTCCAAGCAGCAGTTAACCTCAAGGCCGCACTAACATCTCTGGTGAGTTTACGGCCTCTGGTTCCTATCTACTCTCTGATTTAGGATATTCTTCAGCAGCAGATTGATCCTACATTCTGGCAAGTGCAGTTACGTGGATCGTAATGTGCAAGTTCCCATGACCCCTCAGTCTTTCTTTCCAGCTGATGCACAAGTTAGACTCTAGTCCTCTCCAGATGTTTCATCTCACAATATGAAATCCACCTTTCACTGGTATCTCTCACACAAATCAGAGCCAGATTGCCAAACTTCTTCACCTGACCTAATCGGCCAAAAACCAGAAAGCAGTATTTGCTGTTTTCCAATGATGTGGCCCACCGTGATTAACTTCCATAACACACAAACATGTTCCTCAAAAAGAAAGGCTAATGCTACATTCTAGAGAAAATGTATTACCCCTTGATATGGTTTGACTCTGTGTCCTCACCCAAATCTCATCTCAAATTGTAATCCCCACGTGTCGAGGGAGGGAGGTGATTGGATCACTTCCAATGCTGTTCTTGTGATAGTGAGTGAGTTCTCATGAGATCTGATTTTAAAAATGGCAGTTTCCCCTGTGCTCTCTCTCTCTTGCTGCCTTGTGAAGAAGGTGCTTACTTCCCCTTTGCCTTCTGCATAATTGTAAGTTTCCTGAGGCCTCCCCAGCCATGTGGAACGGTGAGTCAATTAAACCCCTTTCGTTTATAAATTACCCAGTCTCAGGTAATATGTTTACAGCAGTGTGAGAAAGGACAAATGCACCCCTCTCACCCTTTCTTTCCTGTTAAATTGTTTCAAAACTAGCTTTGGGGCATGTTAAAAATGTAGATGCGCCAGGCGGATAACTCATACCTGTAATCCCAGCACTTTGGGAGGGTGAATCACGAGGTCAGGAGATCGAGACCATCCTGGCTAACACAGTGAAACCCCGTCTGTATTAAAAATACAAAAAGTTAGCCGGGTATGGTAGCATGCACCTGTACAGTCCCAGCTACTCGGGGGGCTGAGGTGGGAGAATCACTTGAACCTAGAGGCAAGGTTTCAGTGAGCTGAGATCGCACCACTGTACTCCAGCCTGGGCAATGGAGCAAGATTCCATCTCAAAAAAAAAAAAACAAAAAACAAAAAACAAACAAACAAACAAACAAAAAAAACCTGCCTGGGCCTCAAGTGCAGACCTATTAAATTAAAATTTCTGGGAATGGGGCTTACAGACTCTTGTTTTTTTATAAGCAGCCAGATAGTTCTGTGCATTGAAGTTTGAGAAGTTATTTGGGGTAGGTTTTCTCTGAGATGCCTTTCTGCCCTGATATTTTGTGGTTCTAGAAGCATTCAAAGAAAACTGTCAATGCACACCCCAAAGGCACACCCATGGGTCTCCTGCAGCACTGGCCACCATTCTCAGACCATTGCAGGACTGTGCAGAGGGAGTGATGGACAGGGGAAAATGGGACAGGGAAGAGCTAAGGGTTGGAAATCACAGGTCTGCTTTAAACTTCAGTGCCTTTACTTCTGGCTCTGCTGTCTTAGAGCAATTACATGACCTCACTAATTTCAGGTTTTCTAATTTCCAAGACCTGCAGTGTTAGATCAGTTACATGACCTCACTATTTCAGGTTTTCTACTTTCAAAATAGGAGTAAAAACAGATACTTCCCAGATGGCAGGAGGGTCAAATGAAGCAATAATGGGGCTGTATATAGCAGTGTTTAACTAAAATTTGAATTATTTAACTCTGTAAATGTTAGTTTTCTTCCCAATTTCCCGTTTGTAAATGATCCCTGGTTCGTGGGTTATTTTGAAGATCACCTTAGATGTATATGAGAGAGACTCTCTATGGATGACGTCGTGAAGAGCAGAGACCCTGAATCCCTTTACCTGTCGGGGAAGAGGGACAGACAAGGCCACCAGTTCAATCTGAGAAAAGGGCAGTGTGGTCCACTGAATAGTGGCCCCCCAGGACCTCCACCATCTGGTCCCTGGAACCTGTGATATGGTGACTTGGAAGGCAAAAGGGATTCTGCAGATGTGATTAAGAACTTTGAGTTGGGGAGATTATCTTGGGCCATCCAGGCGGGCCCTAAATGTAATCATAAATTTTCCTATAAGAGAAAGGCACAGGGGACTTGATGACAGTAGGGAAAGGCAGTGTGATGACACAGTCGGGGGGAAGGTGATGTGATGCAAGGAAGGGGCCAGGAGCCACGGGACGCAGGCGGCTCTGGAAGCTGAAAAGGCAAGGAAGCGATTCTCCCTAGAGCCTCAGTTAGAACCAGCCCTGCCCTGCAGACACCTCGGTTTTGTTCCCATAAGACTCAGTTTAGACTTCTGACCACCAGAACTATACATTCCCACTGTTTGAAGCCACCGAGTTCGTGGTAACTTTTACAGTAGCCACAGGAGAGGAATGCACGTATATGTAAAAGCAACACTATTGCTAAGAAAGTAAGGAGCACGTTTTCATAATTTACAGATGACAAGTATCTGAAATTTCAAGGGTAGTTTGAACTCACATATTTCCCCCACCAGCACTTTCAGGGCACTCACTCAGTGCCTGGCCTTGTGCAGCTCCGTATCACTCTGACAACCTAAAGTTTAGGCTGCTGCAGCCACTTTGCCCCACCTGAAGCATCTCAGGGGTGGGGGCTTGGGATGCTAAATTCTTCTCCATGCTGCAGGCCCAGGGTGCACTCAAGCTGGCACCGTGTTCCCCAGAGCTGGTCTCAGTATCTCCAGAGTGGGCGTCCTGGAATCCTCTCAGCCTGGGAGGTTCTCAGGGTGGCTCGAGCAGCCCTGTCCTCCCAGAGCCTGCTCAGGTCAGGAGACCCATGGAGGGAAGGGTAGGGACTTTCCTCCCAATCCCTAGAAGTCACTCCACCCACTATCCCAACCTTGCTTCCTTTTGGCCCCATTTGTCCTCTTGTCCTCACTTTGTCTGCCAGAATCATACTTCCGACCTATCGTAAAGGGTGGTTTTGCAGTAAAAATGAAGCTGATGCAACCAGTTCAATGCACAGAGGCCCCTGAGCTAAGAATAGGATGAGTGTGTAATTTCTCATCCACACCAGGACACTGCTGGGCTTGGCAAGCTCCCACTAAAGACAGCACAGTCACGAACCACAGGACTCAGGCCAGGGCAGGGAAAGTAAGAGGAGGCAGGCCCCTCTGTCAACCTCCATCTTCCCTTATCCGCAACTGGTGCTGCAAGCCTGCAGCTGCAGTAGGCTTCCAGGAGAGCCCTTCAGAAGACCTAAGGGCTGAGCAGAGTCCTCCGGGTGGAGAAGCAGGACACAGGCCTTTTATTTCCCTTTTCTTCCAGAACACCACCTGGATTAGAGAGAGCCACCTTTCCCAGGTGGGGCATTTGCCTCCTTTGACTGGCCCAGACTCATGATTATTCAAGGCTCTTGCCTGTAACTAGATCTTCCTAAGGAATCAGTGACTCTCTAGAACCCATCAGCAGAGGATCTTCTGCCATGTACACTGTTATCATGTCTCTTTTAGCCATCCATGAAGTTTCTATTTTCCAAGAGAGATGCCCAAAGCCTCCAAGCCACTTGCAGGGCAGTCAGGAATCACACACTTTGGATCCTATTACAGAGCAAGCCTTCCTTAATGCAGAACACCCCTTTCCCCTGCCCAGCTTTTCGGGTTCTTTTGTGATGACCTTCCCACTCTACCTCCTCTCAGGTGGGCAGATAACACTGGATACGCAGTGACAATTTTGAATTTCAAATAAACAACTTAAGTTTTTTAGTTTCTTTCTTTTTAAAAAATACCTATTGCCCTACCTTTTCCCAAGCCCCTCCACCAAATCTGAAGAACACAGTTTCCAGAACCCTATCACAATTTTATCATATCAAAAATACACACTTAAAGGCTTTTTAAATTTATTGACGTGTGAAGTAGTTAAAGTGGCAATTATATAATTACACAATAATTTGGTGGAGATGATATTTCAAATTATAAGATGCATAAAGGAAAGGTAATAAAAGGGTCTTAGGCTAAAGGCCTTCAAATTTGTGATATACAAAGAGCACAGACCACAACCATGAAGTCCAGGAGGGCCGGGTCTTGCACTTGTAGAAAGTGCACAATCAGGCTGGGCGTGGTGGCTCACACCTTTGGGAGACTGAGGTGGGCAGATCACCTGAGGTCAGGAGTTTGAGACCAGCCTGGCCAACATGGTGAAACCCCATCTGTACTAAAAGTACAAAAAATTTGCTGGGCGTGGTGGTGGGCACCTGAAATCCCAGCTACTCAGGAGGCTGAGGCAGGAGAATCATTTGAACCTGGGAGGCAGAGGTTGCAGTGAGCCGAGATCACGCCACTATGCTCCAGCCTGGGTGACAGAGTGAGACTCTGTCTCAAAAAGAAAGAAAGAAAGGAAGTGCACGTTCAGATGATGTCTCCTCCCGGCCTCACACTCTCAGGAAGGAAAAACAGAACAGCTGCGTAGATCCCACGGTCTCTTCCTGAAGCTTCCCTAACTCTAGCACCAGTTCCAGATGGGACAGCCCGTAGGCTGCTCAGGCAGTGTGTCAAAGGCTCACCTGATGTGCCAAGGCTTTCTGGCTTGGAAGCCCCTTTCCGTGCCATTTTGTTAAAAATCTGTAAACAGAAATTTAAAGTAAATTTTACCTATTTATTATTTTGTTTTATGCTAATATGCATGTGAAGTTAACAATTTTGGGGCCGTTCTATGAACATACCAGTGGTAAATACCCATTATCATGTCTCTTTCTGTTTTCTGAAAAATGTTCTTTCAGTGCAGATAAATAGTCATTGAAAATCAGTAGAATGTGTGTCTTTTGGTCAAACAGCAGGAGAGCTGGGAAGGGAAGTTGAAAGGCCTGGGTAATTTTCATTTGTCAGTAGTGAAATCATCAGATTAATGAATGAAGAATGCATGATTTCCACCTTCATGAAGTCACTGCTAGTCTTAACCAGACACCATAAAAAAATGCAAGGATGTCCTGAGCTGGAAAGTTAAAATCCTGAGTGTTCCAGAATCATAGACTTTAAATCCTAAGGTTTAATCCTGACATTATGCCATCAGGAGCCTGGTGGCCAGGTAAGGTGGAAAATGTAAACTCTTTTACCAATTTCAAAAGAGCTCTGGAAATTAGCCTATGAATCCTATAAGTGAAAACGTCCTCCAGCCAAAGACCTCAGGATCAGGCCTATAGTTGAACGAGTTGGATTTACTATTTGTTGGAGGGAGAGAGACTACACGCAGGGCACACCAGCGGGAACTGTGGGGTGTCTCAGGCCGAGGGGGTTTGCCAGGACTCATTACAGAACTGGGGCATGTCGGGTGATCTGGGGAGAGCGTTCAAGGAAGTGGGGCTTTGCTCCAGATTTGGTTGGTGTTTGGAAGAAGGGGATGCTATGCGATGCGTGGGTTAATCTTACCTGGAAGAAGGCAGACCAGAGCCAGGCAGCAGGCTTTTAACTATAAAGCAGCAGCACTCACTAGCATGAGCTGGGAGAGGGGGATATTAAGTCACTTTTATGGTTTGAACCATGTTCTTGCCTTGTCTGTGTTCAGACCTAATGACATAATGGTCTTGTTCTTTTTTTTTTTTTTTTTTTGAGACAGAGTCTCGCTCTGTCACCCAAGCTGGAGTGCAGTAGCATGATCTCGGCTCACTGCAAGCTCCACCTCCCAGGTTCACGCCATTCTCCTGCCTCAGCCTCCCAAGTAGCTGGGACTACAGGCACCTGCCACCGCGCCCGACTAATTTTTTTGTAATTTTAGTAGAGACGGGGTTTCACCATGTTAGCTAGGATGGTCTCGATCGCCTGACCTTGTGATCCACCCGCCTCGGCCTCCCAAAGTGCTGGGATTACAGGTGTGAACCACCGCGCCTGGCCAGTCTTGTTCTTGTCTTATTCCGTCACACTCACCAAGTGGCTTCCCTGACCGTTCCTGTTCAGTGAACTGTTTATGTTCATCAGGAGAGACCAAGGCCCAGCTGTGGGCACCGGGCCAGCTCCTGCATATTAGGGGCCACCTTTGTCTTCTTAGAGCAATAATAACTGATGAACACCAGGACTAAGTTAGCACTGTGTGTTCTTGTTTACTGTGGGATTTTACTGAATAATATTTCATTACATTTCTTTCTCCAGAAATGCTGGGAAGGAATAATTTGGTGGAGACAATAGTTCAAATTATAGGATGCATAAAGGAAAGGTAATAAAAGGGTCTTGGGCTAAAGGCATTCAGGTCTCGCCGTATTCAAGTGTGCAATGATGTGTTGTAGCCACTGAGCCAAATCCTGGGAGACCACAAGAGGCTGATTGTGTCTGTCCCCATCAGTATCCAGGAAACTCACTTTCCCCAAACACACCTACAGCGAGGTAGTTCCCTAAGTTAGGCAGCCTCTATCCACAAGCCGCACCTGCATCTCTCCAGTACCTGAACACTTCCTTCATTCCACAAGCATTTCCAGACAGCCCACCTTCCCCTCACACTGCATCCTTCTCCTCAGGGACACAGAAACCCCCTCTCACTGCTGGTCCCAATTAGATGGGCAGGCCCCTCCCTGCTGCTCAAAGCACAACCAGAAACCAGGCTCAGAGGCAACCAGAACTCCGAAAGGTGTTCAGAGGAAGGCGGGCTGGTTTTGGGACCCCAGGGGGAGAAGGAAGGCACAGCAACAGGGTGCTTTATGGCCCCAAGACCAACAGAAGGTGACCCCAGCCTAGCACCCATGGCAGCCAGCTAGGCTTGCTCCCGCTCTGATGGAACAGGGCCCTCTGGCAATACCAGGCCAGCCTGACGCCACCTGACGGAGGAGGGACCTGAAGCCCTGTCCGCATAAGTGGCCCCAGGGTGGCTCCCCTCCTTGTGTACTGACAGCCCCTCCTCCCCACCCAGAAATATCTGGTTGGTGGGCACCTGCAGGGGATCCAAGCCTCTTCTTCAGACAGCCTGAGCCTTGGGCCCCACTGGGAGACACTCAGGGCAGAGCCTGGGGAAACTCCGTCTGCCCCTCAGCCTGCATCAGGAGGGATCCTGAGAGCCACAAGGACCCCCGAGAAACCAAGCAGGAGAGAACAACACAGCAGCGACTCTGGAAATTAGATGCCAGTAGAACCACAGCCTGCAAGATGGGCCAGGACCCATGTGCCAAACCTAAACAGGTCACTGCCTTCTAAAGCAAAAGAGTCACAGGGGACCCAGGTCACCTAACATGACAGGCAGAACGTCCACCAAACAACTGAAAACTCACCATCCTTCCAAGAGTGCAGAGATCACCACCAGCATGAGCACCACGATCAGCTGCTGCCAAGACCCAACTATCAGATGTTGGAATTATCTGACAAGGGCTCTAAAGTATCTGCCATTAAAAATGCTTCAGCAATGACAGGTTCTCTCGAAATAAATCAAACAATGGAAAATCTCAGCCCTTTCCTCACTGCCCCAGGGCTGGCAATCACTTGACATGGTTGCCTGTTACACCTGATAGCCCTCTTTGACTTCTTTTTTTTTTTTTTTTATACTTTAAGTTTTAGGGTACATGTGACAATGTGCAGGTTAGTTACATATGTATACACGTGACATGCTGGTGCGCTGCACCCACTAACTCGTCATCTAGCATTAGGTATATCTCCCAATGCTATCCCTCCCCCCCTCCCCCCACCCCACAACAGTCCCCAGAGTGTGATGTTCCCCTTCCTGTGTCCATGTGTTCTCATTGTTCAATTCCCACCTATGAGTGAGAATACGCAGTGTTTGGTTTTTTGTTCTTGTGATAGTTTACTGAGAATGATGATTTCCAGTTTCATCCATGTCTCTACAAAGGACGTGAACTCATCATTTTTTATGGCTGCATAGTATTCCATGGTGTATATGTGCCACATTTTCTTAATCCAGTCTATCATTGTTGGACATTTGGCTTGGTTCCAAGTCTTTGCTATTGTGAATAGTGCCACAATAAACATATGTGTGCGTGTGTCTTTATAGCAGCATGATTTATAGTCCTTTGGGTATATAACCAGTAATGGGATTGCTGGGTCAAATGGTATTTCTAGTTCTAGATCTCTGAGGAATCACCACACTGACTTCCACAATGGCTGAACTGGTTTACAGTCCCACCAACAGTGTAAAAGTGTTCCTATTTCTCCACATCCTCTCCAGCACCTGTTGTTTCCTGACTTTTTAATGATTGCCATTCTAACTGGTGTGAGATGGTATCTCATTGTGGTTTTGATTTGCATTTCTCTGATGGCCAGTGATGGTGAGCATTTTTTCATGTGTTTTTTGGCTGCATAAATGTCTTCTTTTGAGACTGTCTGTTCATGTCCTTTGCCCACTTTTTGATGGGGTTGTTTTTTTCTTGTAAATTTGTTGGAGTTCATTGTAGATTCTGGATATTAGCCCTTTGTCAGATGAGTAGGTTGCGAAAATTTTCTCCCATATTGTGGGTTGCCTGTTCACTCTGATGGTAGTTTCTTTTGCTGTGCAGAAGCTCTTTAGTTTAATTAGATCCCATTTGTCTATTTTGGCTTTTGTTGCCATTGCTTTTGGTGTTTTAGACATGAAGTCCTTGCCCGTGCCTATGTCCTGAATGGTAATGCCTAGGTTTTCTTCTAGGGTTTTTATGGTTTTAGGTCTAACGTTTAAGTCTTTAATGCATCTTGAATTGATTTTTGTATAAGGTGTAAGGAAGGGATCTAGTTTCAGCTTTCTACATATGGCTAGCCAGTTTTCCCAGCACCATTTATTAAATAGGGAATCCTTTCCCCATTGCTTGTTTTTCTCAGGTTTGTCAAAGATCAGATAGTTGTAGATATGCGGCGTTATTTCTGAGGGCTCTGTTCTGTTCCATTGATCTATATCTCTGTTTTGGTACCAGTACCATGCTGTTTTGGTTACTGTAGCCTTGTAGTATAGTTTGAAGTCAGGTAGCGTGATGCCTCCAGCTTTGTTCTTTTGGCTTAGGATTGACTTGGCGATGCAGGCTCTTTTTTGGTTCCATATGAACTTTAAAGTAGTTTTTTCCAATTCTCTGAAGAAAGTCATTGGTAGCTTGATGGGGATGGCATTGAATCTATAAATTACCTTGGGCAGTGTGGCCATTTTCACGATACTGATTCTTCCTACCCAGGAGCATGGAATGTTCTTCCATTTGTTTGTATCCTCTTTCATTTCATTGAGCAGTGGTTTGTAGTTCTCCTTGAAGAGGTCCTTCACGTCCCTTGTAAGGTGGATTCCTAGGTATTTTATTCTGTTTGAAGCAATTGTGAATGGGAGTTCACTCATGATTTGGCTCTCTGTTTGTCTGTTATTGGTGTATAAGAATGCTTGTGATTTTTGTACATTGATTTTGTATCCTGAGACTTTGTTGAAGTTGCTTATCAGCTTAAGGAGATTTTTGGCTGAGACAATGGGGTTATCTAGATATACAATCATGTCGTCTGCAAACAGGGACAATTTGACTTCCTCTTTTCCTAATTGAATACCCTTTATTTCCTTCTCCTGCCTAACTGCCCTGGCCAGAACTTCCAACACTATGTTGAATAGGAGTGGTGAGAGAGGGCATCCCTGTCTTGTGCCAGTTTTCAAAGGGAATGCTTCCAGTTTTTGCCCATTCAGTATGATATTGGCTGTGGGTTTGTCATAGATAGCTCTTATTATTTTGAGATATGTCCCATCAATACCTAATTTATTGAGAGATTTTAGCATGAAGGGTTGTTGAATTTTGTCAAAGGCCTTTTCTGCATCTATTGAGATAATCTTGTGGTTTTTGTCTTTGGTTCTGTTTATATGCTGGATTACATTTATTGATTTGTGTATATTGAACCAGCCTTGCATCCCAGGGATGAAGCCCACTTGATCATGGTGGATAAGCTTTTTGATGTGCTGCTGGATTCCGTTTGCCAGTATTTTATTGAGGATTTTTGCATCGATGTTCATCAGGGATATTGGTCTAAAATTCTCTTTTTTGGTTGTGTCTCTGCCCGGCTTTGGTATCAGGATGATGCTGGCCTCATAAAATGAGTTAGGGAGGATTCCCTCTTTTTCTATTGATTGGAATAGTTTCAGAAGGAATGGTATCAGTTCATCCTTGTACCTCTGGTAGAATTCGGCTGTGAATCCATCTGGTCCTGGACTCTTTTTGGTTGGTAAGCTATTGATTATTGCCACAATTTCAGCTCCTGTTATTGGTCTATTCAGAGATTCAACTTCTTCCTGGTTTAGTCTTGGGAGAGTGTATGTGTCGAGGAATTTATCCATTTCTTCTAGATTTTCTAGTTTAATTGCGTAGAGGTGCTTGTAGTATTCTCTGATGGTAGTTTGTATTTCTGTGGGATCGGTGGTGATATCCCCTTTATCATTTTTTATTGCGTCTATTTGATTCTCTCTTTTTTTCTTTATTAGTCTTGCTAGCGGTCTATCAATTTTGTTGATTCTTTCAAAAAACCAGCTCCTGGATTCATTAATGTTTTGAAGGGTTTTTTGTGTCTCTATTTCCTTCAGTTCTGCTCTGATTTTAGTTATTTCTTGCCTTCTGCTAGCTTTTGAATGTGTTTGCTCTTGCTTATCTAGTTCTTTTAATTGTGATGTTAGGGTGTCAATTTTGGATCTTTCCTGCTTTCTCTTGTGGGCATTTAGTGCTATAAATTTCCCTGTACACACTGCTTTGAATGCATCCCAGAGATTCTGGTATGTTGTGTCTTTGTTCTCGTTGGTTTCAAAGAACATCTTTATTTCTGCCTTCATTTCGTTATGTACCCAGTAGTCATTCAGGAGCAGGTTGTTCAGTTTCCATGTAGTTGAGCGGTTTTGAGTGAGATTCTTAATCCTGAGTTCTAGTTTGATTGCACTGTGGTCTGAGAGACAGTTTGTTATAATTTCTGTTCTTTTACATTTGCTGAAGAGAGCTTTACTTCCAAATATGTGGTCAATTTTGGAATAGGTGTGGTGTGGTGCTGAAAAAAATGTATATTCTGTTGATTTGGGGTGGAGAGTTTTGTAGATGTCTATTAGGTCTGCTTGGTGGAGAGCTGAGTTCAATTCCTGGGTATCCTTGTTGACTTTCTGTCTCGTTGATCTGTCTAATGTTGACAGTGGGGTGTTAAAGTCTCCCATTATTAATGTGTGGGAGTCTAAGTCTCTTTGTACGTCACTCAGGACTTGCTTTATGAATCTGGGTGCTCCTGTATTGGGTGCATATATATTTAGGATAGTTAGCTCTTCTTGTTGAATTGATCCCTTTACCATTGTGTAATGGCCTTCTTTGTCTCTTTTGATCTTTGTTGGTTTAAAGTCTGTTTTATCAGAGACTAGGATTGCAACCCCTGCCTTTTTTTGTTTTCCACTTGCTTGGTAGATCTTCCTCCATCCTTTTATTTTGAGCCTATGTGTGTCTCTGCATGTGAGGTGGGTTTCCTGAATACAACACACTGATGGATCTTGACTCTTTATCCAATTTGCCAGTCTGTGTCTTTTAATTGGAGCATTTAGTCCATTTACATTTAAAGTTAATATTGTTATGTGTGAATTTGATCCTCTCATTATGATGTTAGCTGGTTATTTTGCTCGTTAGTTGATGCAGTTTCTTCCTAGTCTGGATGGTCTTTACATTTTGGCATGATTTTGCAGCGGCTGGTACCAGTTGTTCCTTTCCATGTTTAGTGCTTCCTTCAGGAGCTCTTTTAGGGCAGGCCTGGTGGTGACAAAATCTCTCAGCATTTGCTTGTCTGTAAAGTATTTTATTTCTCCTTCACTTATGAAGCTTAGTTTGGCTGGATATGAAATTCTGGGTTGAAAATTCTTTTCTTTGAGAATGTTGAATATTGGCCCCCACTCTCTTCTGGCTTGCAGTTTCTGCCGAGAGATCCGCTGTTAGTCTGATGGGCTTCGCTTTGTGGGTAACCCGACCTTTCTCTCTGGCTGCCCTTAACATTTTTTCCTTCATTTCAACTTTGGTGAATCTGACAATTATGTGTCTTGGAGGTGCTCTTCTCGAGGAGTATCTTTGTGGTGTTCTCTGTATTTCCTGAATCTGAACGTTGGCCTGCCTTGCTAGATTGGGGAAGTTCTCCTGGATAATATCCTGCAGAGTGTTTTCCAACTTGGTTCCATTCTCCCCGTCACTTTCAGGTACACCAATCAGACGTAGATTTGGTCTTTTCACATAGTCCCATATTTCTTGGAGGCTTTGTTCATTTCTTTTTATTCTTTTTTCTCTAAACTTCCCTTCTCGCTTCATTTCATTCATTTCATCTTCCATCGCTGATACCCTTTCTTCCAGTTGATTGCATCGGCTCCTGAGGCTTCTGCATTCTTCACGTAATTCTCGAGTCTTGGCTTTCAGCTCCATCTGCTCCTTTAAGCACTTGTCTGTATTGGTTATTCTAGTTATACATTCGTCTAAATTTTTTTCAAAGTTTTTAACTTCTTTGCCTTCGGTTTGAATTTCCTCCTGTAGCTCGTAGTTTGATCGTCTGAAGCTTTCTTCTCTCAACTCGTCAAAGTCATTCTCTGTCCAGCTTTGTTCCATTGCTGGTGAGGAACTGCGATCCTTTGGAGGAGGAGAGGTGCTCTGCTTTTTAGAGTTTCCCGTTTTTCTGCTCTGTTTTTTCCCCATCTTTGTGGTTTTATCTACTTTTGGTCTTTGATGATGGTGATGTACAGATGGGTTTTGGTGTGGATGTCCTTTCTGTTTGTTAGCTTTCCTTCTAACAGACAGGACCCTCAGCTGCAGGTCTGTTGGAGTTTGCTAGAGGTCCACTCCAGACCCTGTTTGCCTGGGTATCAGCAGCGGTGTCTGCAGAACAGTGGTTTTCGTGAACCGCGAATGCTGCTGTCTGATCGTTCCTCTGGAAGTTTTGTCTCAGAGGAGTACCCGGCCGTGTGAGGTGTCAGTCTGCCCCTGCTGGGGGGTGCCTCCCAGTTAGGCTGCTCGGGGGTCAGGGGTCAGGGACCCACTTGAGGAGGCAGTCTGCCCGTTCTCAGATCTCCAGCTGTGTGCTGGGAGAACCACTGCTGTCCTCAAAGCTGTCAGACAGGGACATTTAAGTCTGCAGAGGTTACTGCTGTCTTTTTGTTTGTCTGTGCCCTGCCCCCAGAGGTGTAGCCTACAGAGGCAGGCAGGCAGGCCTCCTTGAGCTGTGGTGGGCTCCACCCAATTGGAGCTTCCTGGCTGCTTTGTTTACCTAAGCGAGCCTGGGCAATGGCGGGCGCCCCTCCCCTAGCCTCGCTGCCGCCTTGCAGTTTGATCTCAGACTGCTGTGCTAGCAATCAGCGAGACTCTGTGGGCGTAGGACCCTCCAAGCCAGGTGCAGGATATAATCTCCTGGTGCGCCGTTTTTTAAGCCCGTCGGAAAAGCGCAGTATTCGGGTGGGAGTGACCCGATTTTCCAGGTGCTGTCTGTCACCCCTTTCTTTGACTAGGAAAGGGAACTCCTTGACCCCTTGTGCTTCCTGAGTGAGGCAATGCCTCGCCCTGCTTCGGCTCGCGCACGGCGCACTGCACCCACTGTCCTGCGCCCACTGTCTGGCACTCCCTAGTGAGATGAACCCGGTACCTCAGATGGAAATGCAGAAATCACCTGTCTTCTGCGTCGCTCACGCTGGGAGCTGTAGACCGGAGCTGTTCCTATTCGGCCATCTTGGTTCCAGACAAAAAGTCTTTGACTTCTTTTAGGGGCGGGTGCCTTTGCCTGTGTAACCACTGTTCATAGGAAAGTGTCCCCATTCACATGACTCCAGTGGTTTCTGCCACCCGTCTGCACCGATTGAGTGACTGAGGGGCTCTGCAGCGCTAGCAAACATTCACCTGGGGAGATAGAGAAGATGCTTTAGATCATACTCTCCTGGAAAATGCCTTGAAACTCTCTTTCAACATTTCTTCCTCCTAGTCCTTCTGTCCCAGGCTTTGAGCAGGTTATTCCCTCATCAGCCACGTCCTGTCGGCTGCCATTTTCCATCTCATATCTGACCTATAAATCACATCCTACATCTCACCTTAAGACTGGAGGGAGATCCAGCTCCCACTGCCACACCTGGTCAGCCTCCCAGCATATGGGACTCAACAAAGTTTAGGGCAGAAGTGGAAAGAATATGCTGTAGCTCCCAATTCTTTTTCCAGAATCTAAAAACAACTGAATTATACCACTCTCTGGCCCAGAGCCTTCAGTCGCCCCTACTGCTCTTAGGGAAAGCACTAGGGAATCCCGAAGACCCCCATCTCCCATCCCAGACAGTGCCTTCTCCCACCCTCACTCCTCCTGCCCACCGCCACCCTGCCCACCCTGGCCCTCTCTGGTGTTCCTCTCATGCATACCTCTCAAGGTGCACCAGGCGGCTGCCTCTGGGTACTTGCCCAGCCCTGTCCCCTCTGCTCCCCTCTCGCAGGCCATCCCACCACACTCGTCCCACCTGGCTTGTGTCAATGTTCCATTACTGTTCACCGGCTGCCCACGCACCTCCAGCTCCACATCGTGAGTATTTCTCCCCCTTCTCATCTCATGTCCTAAAAGCATTCAACAAATATGTACTCAGTAAACGGTCTCTGCTGCTTTCCATGTGTAATGACCCCTCCCTAATGACCTCACCAGATGCCTCCTGGACCCACTGCCAAAGCCCCTGTATTTATTTATTTATTTTTATTTATTTATTTATTTTTTGAGACATGGTCTCGCTCTGTTGCCCAGGCTGGAGTGCAATGGCACAATCTTGGCTCACAGCAACCTCCGCCTCTTGGGTTCAAGTGATTCTCCTGCCTCAGCCTCCCAAGTAGCTGGGATTACAGGGATGCACCACAATGCCTGGCTAATTTTTGTATTTTTAGTAGAGATGGGGTTTTTCTGTGTTGTCCAGGCTGGTCTCGGACTCCTGACCTCAGGTGATCTGCCCGCCTCAGCCTCCCAAAGTGATGGGATTACAGGCGTGAGCCACTGTGCCCGGCCTAGCCCCTGTGTTTCTGAGCTGTGCTTTTTGGTATTTGGGTCCTGGTAAATATCACTTAGGAAGAGACAACTGACAATGTCTTTCTAAACTTTCCTTTTTCTCACCAGAGAATGTGTTGCTAGACGTCATTGTCATGGTGGCAGGAGGAATTTGTTAAACTTCAAAGGAATGCCTGTTTGTCATAAAGCCTTTAAAACAAGAAGATGGCATCTCCTATGTGGGAGGAGTGAGGTTTGATCCTGCGGAAAATAAACTTAGCTGACATTTTCGAGTGCGTCCTGTGTTCTGGGCTGTCCTTGCGACAGTGTCTTGGCAGGTAGTACTATAGTCACTCCTTTAACGTGGGGACACCCGAGTTTGGATAACGTGAGCAGTGTGCTGGAGGTCAGTCGGCAGGGGGCAGAGTTGGATTTGAAGGTGAGGTCGTGTTTGTGGGGCCACTGTTTTTAATCACGGTACTAGAGGCACCACAGAGAGTGTAGAGAAAACAGAACCGCAAGGCCTGAGTGCCTTAAAGAGAGGTTTTCAGAATCAGGACCCAGCATGCTTATTCTTGCTGCAGTGCCTTAACACGCTAAACAGCGCTTAACCGCGCTAAAACATCCCATGGGAAACTGTGACTGCAAGGCCCGGGGGATGTTCCTTCTCAGCCCATGCCCTGCCCATGCCCCAAGTAAAAGCAGTTTTAGGGACCACTAGTGTCCCAGGAATCATGGTATTAAAGAGTTGTTGGGTGTGGTGGCTCATGCCTATAATCCCAGCTGCTTTGGAGGCTGAGGCAGGAGAGTCGCTGGAACCCAGGAGGCAGAGGCTGCAGTGAGCCGAGATCGCGCCATTGCACTCCAGCCTGGACAACAAGAGCCAAACTCCAATTCAAAAAAAAAAAAAGTTAACCTTTCAAAGCAAGATGGTTTTAGCCATAAATTTTCATAGCAACAGAGGACAGCACATACCAGTGACGGAACCGATACTTTGAATCAAGCCAGCCAGAGGGGTCTACACCCCCTTCCACTGCAGACACCAAAACACAGGGTGCCATTCTCCATTCCCTGCCATTTACAAAGAAGAATGGACAAAGTAAGTTTGAGGTTAACGAAAGCAGCCTCAGGATGTTGAGTTCCTAGTCTCAGTTCAAACAGCTATTTGTGTGAGGCTGGGCAAGTCGCTGGGGTGGGCCTCAATCCCCTCATCTGATTTTACCTGAGGCGCCACCAACTCTAGGAAGTCTCCCATGATTGTCTAAGGCTGGGATCCCTCCCTGTGTGGCCCTTACTCTCTTTTTACCTAATTCCCTTCCTAAGAACGAGCTCCTTCCAGCTAAGATAAGCTTTCTCATGACTGCACCCCCTGTGTCTGGCAGAGGGGACAGCACCTGACAGATGCCTGCCTTGGAGGCTGGGGCTGCCACAACAAAGAACCACAGCCTGGGGGCTTAAACACAGACGTGCATTTCCTCACAGTGCTGGAGGCTGGAAGTCCAAGATCAAGGTGGGCAAGGCTGGCTTCTCCTGCAGCCTCTCTCTTCGGCTTGTAGATGGCTGTCTTCCCTGTGCCTCAGACGATCACCCCTCTGACTGTGTCTGTATCCTAACCTCATCTTCTTATAAGGACACCAGTCAGAATGGATTAAGGTTCACCCTCATGGCCTGATTTTAACTCAATTACCTCTTTAAAGGCCCTCTCCAAATAAGATCACAGTCTGAGGTACGGTGGTTGGGCTTCAACATATAAATTTGAAGAATCTTAATTCAGACCACAACGGGGTCTCACATGTCTCAGGTGAATGGACTGAATCTCAGCCTGCAGTTCAATGGGATCACATCCATGTGAATCTGAATTGCAGCTGTGGGTTGACCTCAGCCAGTTGGCTTTGGCTCTCCTCTGCCCAGTTATTTCCAGGAGTCTGGAAGAATCTCAGGAGAGCTCAGGGAACCTGGAACAAACACCTACTGCTGGCCCCCACTGCTGCCACTCCTGCTCCCTCCTGATGGCAGGGTCCCTGTCTCCCCCAGTCACAGACACGCGGATGAGCCCCCATCTGCCTGGCTGACCCACTGCCTCCTGAGCCCAAGTCTCTTTGGCTGAGGCCCCAGTACACACCAACACCATTTTCAAAATGACTCCTTCACAATTTCTCTTTAAGGCCAGACACCAAAGTCCCCCAGACCTGTCTCTGGAACAAATACTCTTATCTTTTGTACTTGAACTAACCTTTAAAAAAAAAAAAGCTTGGAACCTGATGCCATAGACGAGCTCTGAGCTTCTGTATATTTGGAAATTCTGAATCTAATTGAATAGCATGAACTTGTCTTTTCCACAAAGGATTTGAGGCACTGTGTTTTTAAGTGACTAAGCCCACGTCCCTCTCCAGACACCACCTGGGGCTTGGCAATGAGGATGCTGGCGGGGGTTTAATATGGTCACACGGGAGCCAGAGAACCAACAAGGTTGACCAGGGCACAGGGGGCATGCTGAAGTATGGCTGGGACTGCAGCAAATTCTAATTCCAAGTGGATGGTAATTTCTTGAGCATTATGATGTTTGAAAAGTACAACAGAAGTCTATATTGTAATGTAGTGCCTTCTTATCCACAGGGATATGTTCCAAGACCCACAGTAGATGCTTGAAACCTTGGGTAGTAGTGAACCCTACATATGTTTTTTCTCTGATATATACATACCTATGATAAAATTTAATGTATAAATTAGGCACAGTAAGAAACTAACAGCACTTACTAGCAATAAAATAGGACAATCATAACCATATGCTGTAATGAAAGTTATGTGAATGTGGTCTCTGTCACAAAACATCTTATTGTCTTCGCCTATTTTCTGACTGTGGTTGACCACAGATAACTGAAGCCACAGAAAGAAACACCACAGGACATGTGTGGTGGCTCACGCCTGTAATCCCAGCACTTTGGGAGGCTGAGCTGGGCAGATCATCTGAGGTCAGGAGTTCGAGACCAGCCTGGCCAACATGGTGAAACCCCAGCTCTACTAAAAATATAAAAATTAGCTGGGCGTGGTAGCAGGCGCCTGTAGTCCCAGCTACTTGGGAGGCTGAGGCAGGAGAATGGCGTGAACTTGGGAGGCAGAGCTTGCAGTGAGCCGAGATCGCGCCACTGCACTCCAGCCTGGGTGACGGAGCAAGACTCTGTCTAAAAAAAAAGAAAAGAAAGTAACGCCACAGATGGGGGTGACTGTATGGTAATTACCAAAATGTGTAGGAGAAAAACATACTCACTTTAACCCTGACATATTGATTTCACCAAGACTATCTTTATCTTAAATGACAGCTTAAAATAATGTGTTTGAAAAACAATTACACTATTCATATTAATACAAAGATACTAAATGGCGAATTCTTGGCCGTTTTCATTTACCACAGAAAGAAAAGGGGGCAAATATAGTTGGAAAAAGATTAAACTCTGTAGCTTCATAAGGTCCTTCAATGTAAAGATGAATAGCTTCAACATGAAGTGAAAAGCATCTGCCACAATCTTCTAAAATTACTGGGAATATAATTTACCAGCAGCCTTGGTGCTGAGACATAACACACTCTCTCTCCATTGTTACCCATTGCCCTGAATATGTGGTCAGTGACTATCAACGCGTTGCGAGTGGAGGAAGGCAGGATCAGAGATATCGCTGCCCAAAAAAGCAACAATAGCAAACAGCAGCAGCAACACAGAATGATGGAGCCTCCTGCCACACTCTTCAAAGCGCTGCAGCCAGGAGGACACAGAGAAGAAGGTGGTGTGGGCCTGCAAAGGACAGACTCTGAATCAGTGCGACCCACCCCGCGTGTCCCTCCAACCCAAATAGCGGATCCCTCTCCCCACCCTACGCTGCCAGTCTCGAGTGAGGCTCATTGAGAAGGGAAGTTGTAAGTTGGAGGGAAAAAGTTTTAAGAGAGCCCATGAGTGCAGAAGTCCCGCCTCCCACCAAGGATCTCAGCAGATGCAGGAAAGTCACAGGCAGGAGGTCTTCAGGTGTCTTCCCTATGGGCAGGAAGGAAAGGGGATGTGACTATAACCAAATTCCTGCTCCCACCAGCCCTCCAACTACCAGCCCTAACAGCCAAATCCATGGACATTTTATCTGTCCTGACTGGAGGTTGAAGGGTGTAAGGAGAGAGGTTGGGAAATTTCACCGGGAGTACGCGGCTAACTGAGAAAGCTGAATAAGAGTTCACTCACCCCAAAGACCCAGAATTTCATGAATTAGAGCAATAAATAATGATATAGATCTCCTTCCAGGGTAATGCCTAAGATGTATTGGAGCACCAACAGACCAACATCAACAGCAACAAAGTAAAGACAAAAACGCCCAGGCTGTCCATCCTAGGGGCTGGCCTTCCTCTCAGAACCCCAGGCCAGGAAAGCAGGAAGAAGGGGGAGCACAGAGTCTGAAAGGGGCTGAGACCTGCTTTTTCAGAGGAATTTAAAGATCCACATGGAGCTGCCCAAATTAAGCAAAAGTAAGAGTGAAATAAATGGCAAGGCATTCCTGCAAATGCACTGCAGGGGAACAGTGAACACAGGGTGGACCATGGTCTGTAAAGAAAGACAAAGATTTCATTCTGCAGCAAAATATGTAACTGAATCCATGCAAGAAAGTTCTCCAAAATGTTGTGTAAGAAGTTAGTAAGAAATCGATTTCAATAAAAAAGAGCTAAAAGATAGAAAAGCAAAATGAAAGGTAAATTGCAGAGTTTTGGAAACAAATTGAAGAGCAAAAACTCATTTCAGAACGGGAAGAAAAAAAAAAAAACCTACCCGAACTGTAAATAGCAGGAAACAGAATAGACAATGCCAAAAATAACAAAGCTACCATCATAGAGGAAGAATTTCAGATCTCCAAAGGGAATAAGAGGAATAAAACACATCATTGCATATTCAAGCCAAAATGAGGAAAAAGAAGGAAAATTCATTTTGCATAAATAAATATACCATGTATGTGATGGTAGGAAATTAATTTCAGAAAGTAAATGTTATAACTCATGAATTTGTAAAAATAACAAAGATAATTGCACTATGAAAATTAGGTAAAAGGGAAGATTACCACAAAATGAATGAATTGCCCATCCTATTAAACATCTTTCAATTTTCTCTCAATAGTAGTCAACAGATACTCTTCTGAATTGATAAATATTAAAGCATATCACAGAGTGTTGTATAAGGAACCTGCAGAAAACCTAAAAACAAAAAGATAACTAATAATATATTGGGGTTTGAAGTGAGAAGTGGAGAATTAATAGAAACTGTCAGGTTGATAAATCATGAACTATAGGTTGAATTATGTAAAATTATATAGGTAACCACTTAAACACATAAAAGCAATAAATCTTTCATTTTAACAAAAGGATTGCACATAATCAGAAGGAGGGGGGAAATAAAAAAATCCAAAAGGGAATGCAAAAGAAATATTAATTACAGATATTGAAAAAAATATTAAACCAAATATATCAGCAATATGTATTAAAAATATAAGTGCAGATCCAAGATAAATAAACCTAAAACAAAGTGCCTCAAAAAGGTTAAACATAAAATTGAGTATAAAATAATAAGAAATACATATTGGTCTGTGTCTCCAGTTTCTGACACAGAGCTCCTAATACCCTTGTAATTTCCTGAGTGATGGGGGTACTGGGAGCATCTTTTGTTCTAATATTGGTTGGGAGCATCTTTGACTGGGTTCCTGGTACAGAACTTCCAATCCCTTGGAATTTCCTGGGTGATAGGAGCATCTTTTGTTCTAATGAACGACTCTTGGTGGAATCCTAGATGAGGGCTGGTCACCAGAAAGACCAAGCCATGGTTAGAAGCTTGGAACTTTCAGCCCCACACCCCATCCTCTAGGGAGGAAAGAGGAGTTGGAGATTGAATCAATAATCAATCATGCCTACATGATGAAGCCTCCTTAAAAATTCCTAAGTACAGGTGCGGGAGCTTCAGGGTTGGGGAACACGTGGTGGTGCTCCTGGAGAGGCCATGGCAGCTCCATACCCACCCCCACCATATCTTTTCCTGTATTTCTCTCCCATTTGGCTGTATTCTTTATAATAAGTGGATAAACATAGTAGTGTTGCCCTGGGTTCTCTGCGCTGTTCCACCAAATGACTGGACCTAAGAAGGGGGGCGTGGGAACCTCCGATTTATAGCCAAGTTGGACAGAAGCTGTGGGTGACCTGCAGACCCACCACTTACAACTGGCATCTGGAGCAGGGCAGTCCTGGGAATTGAGCCCCTCCCCTGTGGGGCTGGCTCTAACTCCAGTTAGTGTCAGAGTTGAGCTGAACGGTAGGACACCCAGCTGGTGCTGGCGAATGGGTGGGATTTTTCCCCACACATGTGGAGACGGGAGGTGTTGTGTGAGTGTAAGAATGAACGAGAGAGGCATCTCAGCATAAGAAATCAGTGGGGCTGATTTTAAAAGCAGACAAATGTGAATTCAAGGTTAAGTATTGAAAATAGAATGAAAATCCGGTAAATCGTTAAACATCCTGTGGTAAATGGAAGGATGATTGAAAGAGGAATGCTGCTGACAGGGAGCGTGGCCCCAGCCAGGCCAGTGAGCAAAGCCAGGGGTGGAACTCCCACACACCCGCCCAGGTCGTTCTCAGAGAGGGACCCATTCACAGGCACTGATCATACAAACCCCTCAGAAACACCTCAGCACATTATAAATATTAGAAATAGAACAAAAGGCATTTTGCTTAAAGCATAAGGTAATGTAACTAGAAATTAATTTTTAAGTTAAAAAATGTGGAAATTTTAAAACACTCAACAAAGCTCAGTTCGGGCTGGTCTGAGTGCAGTGGGGTGTACAAGGAATTGATTACAAGCAGTTACAGGTTTCTTTGCTCCTTTTCCATTTCCACTGCTGCTTCACTTCACTAGCCTTTATTTAAAAAGTCAGCTTGAAGAAGGTACAACAATTCAACTTATAGAATATCCAGAAAATACAAATGAAAACATTGCATATTAAGACGTATGGACTGCTGTTAAAGCTTTGATCAGAATAAAATGCAGAGCCAAAAATACTTATCTGATTAAATAAGAATAATTGGAAACACATGAATTAGGCATCTATTGAATAACTTAGTACAACAACAACAAAATAAAAGTAGAAGAGAACTGGCTGGGCGCGGTGGCTCACGCTGGTAGTCCCAGCACTTTGGGAGGCTGAGGCGGGTAGATCAACTGAGGTCAGGAGTTTGAGACCAGCCTGGCCAACATGGTGCAACCTCTACTAAAAATACAAAAAAAAAAAAAAAAAAAAAAATTAACCGGGAGTGGTAGTGGGTGCCTGTAATCCCAGCTACTCAGGAGGCTAAGGCAGGAGAATTGCTTGAACTCGGGAGGTGGAGGTTGCAGTGAGCCAAGATGACGCCATTGCACTCCAGCCTGGGCGACAGTGCGAGACTTCCTCTCAAAAAAAAAAAAAAAAAAAAAGTAAAAGGATCATGGCTGAATCCTGAGGATATCTTATTTCATGTAATGTGAAATAAGTCAGTCACAAAAGGACAAATACTATATGAATCCACTTGTATCAGGTACCTAGCCAAATTTATAAAGACCAAAAGGAGGCCAGGTGTGGTGGCTCACGCCTGTAATTCCAGCACTTTGGGAGGAGGAGGCAGGCAGATCACTTGAGGCCAGGAGTTCGAGACCAGCCTGGCCAACATGGTGAAACCCCATCTCTACTAAAAATATAAAAAATTAGCTGGGATTGGTGGTGTGCTCTGGTAATCCCAGCAACTCTGGAGGCCGAGGCATGAGAATCGCTTGAACCCAGGAGGCAGAGGTTGCAGTGAGCAGAGATTGCACCACTGCACTCTAGCCTGGGTGATAAAATGAGACTCTGTCTCAAAAAAAGAAAAAAAAAAAAAAAAGGACCAAAACAAGAGTGGTTGATGTTTGATAGAGACAGGGTTTCAATTTGGGAAGATGAAAAGAGTTCTGGGAATATGTGGTTGTGAAGACTGTACAACAATGTGACTGTATTTAATGACACTGAATGGTACACTTAAAACTGGTTAAAATGATAAATTTTATGTTATGTATATTTTACGAAAATTTAAAAATATACAATAATTTTTAAAAAGTAAAATAGAATGAAAATATTAAAGATAAAAGCAGAAAACTAAAAATTAGAAAACATACCTGCAGAATTTGTTGATGGGAATTATTTATCAAAGGTGAACACACAGAACTCTAACACAGCAGCAGAGGAAATGGTAGGAAGGCCATTGGCAGAAAAAAAGGAAATTTAGAAAGCAGTGCAAAATGTTACACGTGACGGTGGAGAGAAGACAAGAAAGAGTGTGGAACTGCAGCGCTGCAGAAAGGTGGCATTCCCGAAGCGGGCTGTGTGCAAACACAGGGGGCGTCTCGTCACAAAGAGTTTGAGAAAGATAGAATCTGTGGGCCGCATCCCCAGGGGCCATAACTTTGAGACCCCTTCCCCAACTCAGGACAAGCTATGGCATTAGAAGGTCAAACGCATATGAAGTAAACAGTAATTACAAAAGGAGCTATCCATGGTGAGGTCAGAAACACTGATAGACGGAAGGTCTAGGGAGGTTGGGAAGGGTTTGTACCACATAAAAAATGAAGGAATGAGAAAAAGTTAAATTATGTAAGAGTTCCTTCCTGAGGCGTGCACCTCCAGGGGGCTCTGCTTAAAGCTTCTGTCAGTCTTTTCTCCAACTCACTGGGGTCCCCGGGAGTGCAATGACCAGCTACATCTAACCCACCATGCTGCCCCGACTAGTTTGTCCCACAGGCTCCCAGGGCCCAGAGGAAGGGCTGAACCATGTGTTGGGCCCAGCACTGGCTGGAGAAGCACCTGCAACAACTGTGGCTTCTGCTGTGCTGGCCCACTGCTGTCACCTGGGAGGGCTGGGTCAACGCAGGGAACCCCAAGACCCTGCAGACAGGTCCTCGGACTGCAAAGTCTAAGGGTCCAATGTCTTAAAAATATAAACCGGTAAAACTCATGGCAAGCTAAATCAATAGGCACGGGAGAAAGGAGAAATGCACACAATTACAAACGGAAAAAGGAGAAAAAGCCACAAATACAGAGGAAAGAAAACACCTGAAGTGCATATATTACAAAACTACGCAACTATGTTGAAAAGTGGATGGAATTAATTTTATTTTTAAAAATGTCATTAAAATGGACTCTAGAAGGGCTCGAGGACCTAACTTGCCTGATGAGCAAAATCCAGAAATATACCACGGCAGGCCCAGACAGCCCCAGCTAGTTCTTCTACACTTAAGCAGAAAATAATTCAAAACCAATAGATGATTGTAGAATATAGAGGTTTTTGTTTTATAATATTTCTTCCTTTAAGTCAGCATAAAGTTAAATCTGGACAAAAAACACATAAAAGCAAGATGTAGAATGATGAATCTTAATTATAAATATTGATAACCAAAGTCATGATACTAATAAGTAAAGAACATCTCAGGAATACACTAATGATTTGGTCTTAAGTATTCTATTAATATAATTAAACATACTACTAGAGCAAAGGAAAAGACCTTCTGATAATCCCTCTGGACACTGAGAAGGCTTTGACAAAAATCTAACATCTACATTTTCCCCAGAGAGTCTTAATAGTTTGAGAACACACAGATACTTTTTTATTATGGCAAGGAAAATACATGTCTTCATACAAGTTAAACGCTGAGACATTAAAACGTCCCACTGATGTCACGAACAAGATAAGCATGCCACCTGAATCACTGTGACTCAACACTGATCTCAAATCAACTAGATACAAGAAAGAAATAAGAGACACATTGGAAAGGAGAAGTCAAAAGTATACCTTAGAAACAAGTAGGAATCACAATTTGTGGTTGATTATAACATTCATACATAAAAACCAACTACTTTCTTATACAATGGGATAAAATAGAAAATAAAGTGGAATAAATCATTCTATTGAAAATGATAGCCAAATGATAAAACATCTAGAAATAAACTATAAATTCAAAGCACCTTAGTGAACAAAATCATAAAACACTACTAAGTTACATAAAATTAGACTTAAACACAAGATTTCATGCTTTTGAATAGGAAGACTCAATCTGTAAATTCATTGTGACTCTAATTGAAAAAAGATTCATATGAGAGAGAGATTCAGAGTTGATGGGAGTGTTGACTTGAAAATACTGATATTAGTATGAATAATGCTTTAGAAATGAAAGGCATTCATAGAGATAAATAGAACAGAAACAGAACCAAACACTTAAAGAAATTTAGTTTACAAATAAGGCTGCATTTTGAACAACTGGGGAAAACACTATGACTGTATTTTAGAAATGCATTATTACATATTTATTGATACTGCTGACCACCATTTCGAGGAAAAAGTATGGATTTTTCCCTCATGTCCTGCAACAAATGAATTCCAGGGAGTCTGAAGATGTGAAGGTAAACCAATAAAACCATAAAGTTTCAGAAGAAAATGCGAGTAAGTCTATTTATAATCTCAGAATGAGGAAGGCTTTTAAAAACTGGAAACAAATCCCACGATCGACAAAGAAAAATACTCACAAATTGACAACATAAAAATTTAAACTCTATGCCAATAAATAAGGAAATCAATAAATAACATCGAAAGACAAATGATAAAAATATTTTAAAGACATAAGACAAAAATGTCCCAAAGTGCATGAGCAAATTAAGAAAAAGCCAAATAACCCAATTAGGAACTGGGTAAAATATATAAATGTATCAAAATTAAAACTACAAAAAAATTTTAAAAGATGTCCCATTTTATACACAAAATAAACCAAAATCAGAATAATATTCGTAAATATCATGTTTCACCAATTATATTGGGAAAAACATTAAGTTTGAAAATACCCAGTGCTATTATAGAAAGCTGAGAAATTGGGCCTTTTATTGTACTCTTGATGGAGTTACATCCTTCGATCAGTTTCTAGAAGATAATCTGGCAATAGCTATCAAAATTTTAAATACATGTAGCCTTAAACCCAGCAATTCCATTTCTAAGTTGGAATTTATACCGTTTTAGTCACAAAACTATGTCAAGATGTATGTACAAGTATGCCAATTATAGATTTGTATATAAAAATAAAAACTGGAAGTATCCATATGTTCACCAATAAAAGGCTATTCAAATAAATGATAGTCCGCTGAGATAATGGAATGCTAAGCAGCTACTAGGAGGAATGAGGTAGATCTTTATATGTTATTATGGGACGACCTCTAAGACAAAACACCACATGAAGAATGCAAGGTGCAGCGCCCTTCACAGAGCGTTAGTGCTGGAAAGGGAAGGTCTCTCTCCATAACCCCCGTCCCTCCTTCTTTGGCCTCTTATCTTCTTTTCTTCCTTTCTAGAAATGCCCTTAGAAGCTCATTAGTGGTCCCCTCTGAGAGAGAAAACAGGCAGTATGGGAGACTGTTGTTTTTAACCACTCATACTTTTCTAACTATGTGCACATCTATTCCTTATTATTACTTTATTAAAGGACAGAGTAGTTATTTGAGAGTCCAAAATATGCACAACTTGTTTGCATTTTGTGTTCCTGTATAAAATACAAAACCAAAAAGGTTTCTTTTTAAAGCAAAAATGTGGGAGGGATCAATTTTGGGATAATGATAAGAAATGAAGCATTCCTTTTATATATCAAAACACTTCTACTTGTTTCTAAAGACACTGTAACAGAAAAAAAAAAAAAAAACGAAAATCTTGTGCATGGCTCATCCATAGCATGTGGAAGGAATGCCTGCTGAGGAATGATCCTGCTCCAAGCCGCCTGAGGCTGGAATGTCCTGATCCACCAACTTTCTCGTAAGTGAGGTCTCTTGTCACACACAAGGTACCTCACACTTACACACACACACACACCGCACACACGCAAGCTTCCATCTTCCTCCAGTGCAAACAAAGTCATGTGCATTACCCAGAAATGAGTGAGCCAGATGGCTGGAAAAGCACATACAATTTATTTAACTCTGAAAATCAAATCTTCCCTCATGATGTTCCCACCTCAGGGATTAGAAGCAAATTAAAAATCTCTAGGGGCTCAGAAGCCTTCTATAATTTTGAGCTCTGAGCAGTTGTTGGATGACACAATGGAACAGGAGAGGTCTTTCTTGGTGAATTACCCTCTGATCTCATTAAAGAATAAGAATGAGACCATCCTGGCTAACATGATGAAACCCTATCTCTACTAAAAATACAAAAAATTAGCCAGGCATGGTGGCGGGCGCCTGTATTCCCAGTTACTCGGGGGGAGGCTGAGGCAGGAGAATGGCATGAACCCGGGAGGTGGAGCTTGCAGTGAGCTGAGATCATGCCACTGCACTCCAGCCTGGGCGATAATCTAAGGGAAGAGCTGTATCATCACTTAGGTTTAAAAATTAAAGTTTCTCTTGTTTTAAGTTGCCCATCTCCAGTGAATCCACCCAAGGACTTTGAGCCAGCTTTTGGGGCTGCAGCTGGGGTGGACTGGCTTGGAGCAGGCAGACTCCCAAAGGCCAGAACTCAGAATTGCTGGCTTGTCAGTCACTGAGGGTCGGCCAGCTCCTCCCTGCTGCCTGCCACTGGCCAGGTATCCAGAGAAGGGATGGGCCACACCATCCCCTCCCTGGCGCCTGCCATACTGGGGACCAGAAGAGTTCCCAGCCTCTACTTCCTGGCCCTGACACAGGCAGAAAGGGCCTAGGAATATGTTCACTTTATGTTGTGCATTTGTATGGATGCACACATTTCTAAGACTAATTAACTCCAGTGCATGTGAATCAGCTAACACATTATTTTTTTAAAGCCCACGTAAGTGGCTTCACTTAGCTGTAGCTATTCTTTTGGGCTGTTAATTCTAGTAGAACTCTTATTTGTCCTGTGGGTTCTGCAGAATAGAACAGATTTGCTCAACTCCTCAGTGTCTGAGAGCAGCACCTAGGAGTTATCTGGGATCCACCAAAGACACTCCGCGGGGCCTGGCCCTTGTTCAGAATAAACAGAAACCTGCGTCCCTTTGATCTCCTTGACAGGGTAGGTTTGCAGAAGTCAGGCAGGCTGGTAAAAACATCCTTAGTAAGACCAACAGTCTGTCTTTCTTTTTTTTTTAATGTAGAAACAGCATCAAGCTGTTTCTCTCTACCGTCTTTGATAGAAATAAAAATAAAAATAAAAAGTTGAACTGCAGAAAAGCTAAGAGGTTTTTAGTTTTTGTTTTTTGTTTTCCTTCCACCAGTCAATTATTGGAAAGGATTTAGTGAGTCTGGTTTATTTTAGCTTCAATCTGGGTTTGTACACAAGCAAAAAGCAAATGTTGAATTTTCAGGTAGACCTTCATGCAGACATGCAAAACCAACTGTCTCGGTGGTGAGGAGCCATGGGGAGCTCTCCGAAGGGCTTTCCAGGCAGTGGGCTAATGGGCAAAATGACTACTCAGTGGCCCTGCTGACCGATGGTACGGATGTGCCAAGGATATCTATCAGCCCATCTGAGAATATGAAACAAAGTGCTGAGATTCTACTACCTAAAGTAACAAAGAAACCGTAAGCAACACGACTGACAGCCAGAAGGGAACACTGGAGTTGTGGCGTGTAATGCTGTCCTGGATTAGCACCCCCAAATCTCGCCAAGCCAAAGGCCTTGCCCATCTGTGAGTTTTCCACATGTACAGAACCAGGCGTGGTTACGCAAAGTCTTTGGACACGGCCTCCACGAAGTTGGGAGCCGACATCAGGATGCCGATGGTGCAGATGATGGTGAAGACCGAGAAGGCCATGAGGCACAGGCGGTCCACCACACAGGCGGCGAACTTCCACTCGCTGCAGACCGCCTCGCTTTCGTCCTGGCAGCGGAAGCGGTTGGCAATGTAGCGGACCTCCTCCAGGATCTTGGCCAAGTCCGGGTCCCCCTCGGGGGGTTGCCCGCCGTGCAGGAGGTGCTCATCGTGCGTGGGGGAGCAGGCCATGCGGCCACACACTACCCCAGAGTCGGGGGTCGGGACACAGTGCACGCCGTCCAGGCCGCGGAAGCCGATGTACAGCAGGTTCCCGTTGCTGGCGGGCGGCGGCGCCACGGCGCTCATCTCCACACTGGCCAGGCTGCAGCGCCGCTGCTTGTGCTGGCAGGCCGGGCGCACCTTGTCCTCCCCGGGCCTCTTCATTCGCAGGAACCACGCGCACCAGTTCAGAAGGATGACTCTGGTCTGGGGAGACAACAGAACGTTAAGAGCAGCCCTGAGGCGGACACGGGCTGATCCCAACAGCAGTAAGATCCTACAATACAAGCCCTGCTTCATTGGTCCTGGGGGTAGCAGCCTCCACTGCCTCCCGGATGATTTTAGCAGGCAAGCAGTGCTTGCGTATGACAAGCAGTCGAGTTCAACGTGAGGCAAGACTAAAACTGATGCACCCTGGGAACAAGCTAAATTGTTCTCCGGGGCAGGCACACTGCAATCTCAGGGAAGACAGCTTCGTGGAAGGGGAAGGCTATCTGAGCTGTGTAAAGAGGGAAAGTCAATTTCCCTCTCTGATCCTTCCTCATCTGTAACTCGGGGACCTTCAGATCTAACTCTGGCTCCCACACTACCTGTTAGGTGCCCTGGAAGGCCACTGCAAATTCGCAAAGAGTGCCTGGGGGAGGTTGTACATTTTCAAATGCAATCCCAGGATATCCATGAGACACCAGGTAAACTTGAAGCTTGAAGCAGTTCAGGCTTCCAACATCAGATTACCACATCTCTTGTGATGACATGACCACTTTGCAAAGCTGTTTTTCAAAGTACCCTGATAAAAAGCAAACACCAAGGAACTTCATGTGAAACAGAAACTAGGTTAGTGGTCTCCAATCTGATCCCAAGATTTGAGAGGCGGTGCCGTGCCCCATAGGTGCTACATTGTTAAGGCATAAATACTTATTAAAGTGTTTTGATCTATTTAAAAAGAGAGCCTTGGGTATTATTTCTTTTGGCCAGGGGCTCTGTGAAAAATTTCCTGAGATACTAACGTGCTGTGAACCAAGGCAGTTTCGGAACCTCTAACCTAACTCAGTAGGCTTCAATGAAGACCGAATAAGATGATGTCTGGGAGAGTACTTTGAAAAGTTGAAGGCAGAAGTTGGCAAACTTTCTGTAAAGGGCCAGGCAACTACTCACTTCTGCTGATGTAGCACACATTGAAGGCGTCAAATGGATGGGCATGTTTTCTAAAATAACTTATTTACAAAAACACTTGGTGGACTGGATTTGGCCACCTAGGCCATAATTTGCTAACTTCTGGTCTAAAGTGTGTCCTAGAGTGCATGAAAGAAGCTGGAGAAAAATCACCATGGAGTTTATCCTGGTTTTGCCTCTCATGGAAAGAAGAGAGACAACTGAAGCCTCAATCCAGGTAAAGAAGCATTCTTGCAAGCCCATCCATGTAAAGTGTATGAAAAGTGGGCCTTTTCCCTGAAATTATCCAGATCCTGATTTCATTTACATTTTGTTTTATGATTTTGGGGAAATTCCATCAGTAACCTAACAGGTTTATTTCCTATCTTTAGGAAATAAATATACAGATAGTAAATTGTGCAGTTCGTATCTGCAGAGCTTTCATTCTTGGTCATCTTTTTATAACATCTTATCAAAGATAACTGCAACAAACAGGTCTGGGGACAAGAACAGGGAAGCACAAGACCAGTTTCATTGCAGCTATAAAAATAACCCTTTGTTTCCCATTGTACTTTACAAGCAGGCGGCACTCTGCGTGTCCTGGAAAGGTTGGGTCTGCTGACCTTGGAGGGTTTTTTATGATCAGTAAGGAGCAGGGACATATGGCCCCAGGTGAAACCTTGGGTGAGTTGGGCCGTCCATACAAGGCTCATGAGACAAGTCATCTCACTTGGGCCTTTCAGGGTCCGGTGAAATGAGTATAATCCCCTCACTTTACAGACCAACAAACTGAGGTTCAAAGAGGCTAATAAACTGGCCCAACGATGTACAATGAGTAAGTAAGTGGTTATGTCACTTCACATGTTTAGCCTTTCCCAGTCTCATCTGTCAAAGGGTCTGTAAGATTCTCTTCAAAACTCGCACAACCCCACCCCTCTGGGAAGGCACCAGAAAGCCTGAGCCAGCTCTCCTGGGAGGCTGCAGGGCAGTGAGTGTGCCTGCATCCAGTGGCAGCAGTGCACACAGGGAGCGAGCAGCACCAGGCACTTCTCCCTCCATGGCAGGGTCTACACGTCCCCCAGTGCACATCTCAAGCTCATACGATACACTCTGCCAAGTCCATTTTGAATTCCATGGCCTGAATCATTAACTTTCAAAGCCAAAGCATTTAAAAGATAAAATTATCCTCTTGGCACTCCTCAAACTGTGCTCTTGACCTCTTCTGTTAGGCTACAGTTTTGTTTCTGGCTGTGCAAATGTCACATAATGCCACTGCACCCGGCAGTATCTTCTTCATAGCAACAGATCATAATAAAAGTCCCTCGGAGGCTGTTTGTGTTTCACATACACATGGAATGAAAGAAAAATGCAGTGTGCTATATAAAGCGAGAGAAATGCATAAGCTTCATCTTTCATTTGCAGCCAATTGGTTTTAATAAGCTTTTATGCTGAGAGGTGAATAATTAGCATATGTTCTTAATTAAGATTGTTCTAGAGCAGTAGAGTGCTCCAGGTCGTTAAAAATGGTTTTGTGTCTCAATGTCTTAATTCTCTTATCTTCTCATCAGTCAAAATACTTACAAGAAATGAGAATGTTTAGATTTTTGTATTTGCATAAATAAATACTAGAAGGAAAAATAAGGAATTCATTAAAACGGTTATCAGTATTGACGGTAGATGCAGGGTAAAGGGGAAGGAATGGGAGCAGGATTTCCTTATGTATAATTTTAATTTTATTTTGACTTTAGAAACAGGTAAATGTATTACCTGCTTCAAACTGATGGATGGACAGACAGAAAGAGCAGCAAACCAACAAGCCTCCAGCTCTCAGGCCTCTCACCTCTGGCCTTGCATTTTCTTAAGTGTGGGTCAGCGTTATAAGGAAATCAGACAAAAATACAGGTGAATGTGTGCAAATGTACCCCAGTGTTTTAAGGGGGGGCCTTCACAAAACAAGCCTCAGGGAATGTAGTGATGTGGTCTGTGTGTGAGACATCACCATGTAGGCTGAGCTCACATTACTGCTTGTGTAATGAGCTACAAGTCAGTCTTTTTTTTTTTTTTTTTTTTTTTTTTTAGGAGATGGAGTTTTGCTCTGTCACCCAGGCTGGAGGGCAATGACACCACCATAGCTCACTGGAGCCTGGAGCTCCTGGGCTCACATGATCCTCCCACCTCAGCCTCCCAGGTAGCTGGGACTACAGCCACACACCACTGTGGTGGGCTCACAGGTAAGTCTTTACTAAATAGTGTATAAGGGGAATGGGCCATGTGGGTGAAACTCTGAGAAGAAACAGTAATTTTGTAAAGCATTTCTTAAGAAGCAGTCTTTGCTAAGTGAGCATTCAGGTAACAACTCCACAATGACTGTTTCAGGAGGCCCAGCAATCCCCTATTCCTGGAGGGTGCCTGACAGCATCTCACCCCCTACAGCTGCATTTAGCTTGTTGGTGATTCCTAGATTCCCTTCTGAACTGGGACACAAGTGCTCTCCAAAGACAGACAACTTTTGGAATGTGAGGGCCTTTTTAGCTCCCCAAATCCTTAGGCCAGGCTCTCTAGACAGGAGGACGGGGAAGCTTTACAAAGCTCACATGAAGAGGGGAAGAAGCTCAGGCCCTCCCTAGGCCCTCATCAAGGTTTCCTGACTGCCAGGCAAGGGTGGATGCAGAGCTCTGGACACCGTGCAGGAGAGGATCCCTGGGTGGGTGAGCATCCGCAGATGTGGCCGGGCACGGTGCCAGCAGCTGGGGCAGGAGTGGTATGGCCCAGGCTAAGCTGACAGGCTGTGGGATGCCATCCTTTCTGTTTTCATCCGTTTCCTTTTATCCCTTCCCCCTTCTGCACTGGTGACAATTAGTCTTTGTTTCATAGACTTCTGGTTGGATGATATCCCTAGATGTACTGAACGTACATATTTGTACACAGCTCATTCTGTTTCTTACTCTTTGCTCCTCATTCTGTTGTGAAGCCTCAACCATGTTGCTACGCATCTGTCTCATCTGTTGCCTCCAACTGCAGCACAGTGCTTCACGGCATGCATCAAAAAACAAACTAGCTTCTCAAAACACCGTGCTGATTGATAGAACACACAGGGCAGCCAGTTTGAGAGCCTTACTCTACTCTGCAGTTAGATTAGACAGCAGTGCCACGGGGCATCCGGGAACACGTGCACCATGACTGCACACTACACAAAGACACGTCAATAGGTGACGAAATACAGAAACAAAGCTATTTCTGGCTGGGAACAATGGCTCACACCTGTAATCCCAGCACTTTGGGAGGCTGAGGTGGGCAGATCACGAGGTCAGGAGTTCGACATCAGCCTGGCCAACATAGTGAAACCCCATCTCTACTAAAAATACAAAAAAAAATTGGCCAGGTGTGGTGGCAGGCGCCTGTAGTCCCAGCTACTTGGGAGGCTGAGGCAGGAGAATTGCTTGAATCCAGGAGGTGGAGGTTGCAGTGAGCCAAGATTACACCACTGCACTCCAGCCTGGGTGACATAGTGAGACTCCGTCTCAAAAAAACAAACAAAAAACCCAAAGCTATTTCTTTAGGAATGCCCGTTTTTTGTGTGATTTTAAAAATAAACCCTAGGAGGAGCCTCCTTTACAGCGGGGCTCCGACTCCATCGGGGGTGGGAGGAACGTACCCACTTGGGCATCTTGCCCCCGTCGGGGTCGTGGTGGTGGTACTGCAGCACGATCACCGTCACCACCACCGAGAGGCCCACGATGATCATGGTGCTGGCGAAGTACTGGGCTGTGGAGAGAACAGATGCAGGGTGAGACCCGGGGATCCTGTGGCACTGCACGTCACAGGACAGGCACACCCTGATCAGGTTCTCTGACCGTCAGGGCCTCAGGGTGCAGTGATGCCCATGTGTCTAGGCCTGCAGCCCACATTCTGGGTGGGCAAAACCAGCCAGTGTGGTCTGACTTCCCGCCCACGGAGTGACCTTCCCTCACTTCATTGCACTTCCATGCACTCTGGCCGACTTGTCAGTCAATAAGAGCTAGCATCGCCTGGCAGGATGGTGATAAGCTTGTTCCTGTGGGTAAATACTGGATGTGAGGGCATGGGAACCATCCAGTGTTCATGATGCAGGCCTCTACTGTGCTCCAGGGGCACAATGAGGGCAAACCTGCACACCACCTGGCTGCCAGCTGTCCAGCCTGAGGAAGGGGTCAGTGGCAGGGACTTTTCAGGACGAGAACTTCAGTCTCAGCTTTGGTTCTAATGGGTCATGGGTGTCCTTCCACCTGGGCCCAGGTGAGGGGCAGCATGGAGCATCTGAGTGCTTCCATCCTGGTCCACTAGCTACTGGCTGTGAGTTTGGAGTGGATGCTCAGCCTCTTCGGGCCTCAGCTCTCCAATGGGGGTGGTACAAAGGATGACGTTTGTGTCCCCACGAAGTTCATGGGTTAAAACCCTAGTCCTAACTGGGATGGTATCTGGAGGTGGGGCTTTGGGAGGTATGAGATTGTGATTTATAATAAGAAATATGTATTTGGTCTTCCTCCCATTTCCTGGCACACAGCTCCTAAAACCTTTGAATCTCTGAAGTCATCAGTGTCTTTTTATATGCTAATGAAATGATTTATGGCTGAGGTTCCTGGATACCCTCAGGATGGGGTTTGGTTGCCAGGGGAACCAGCCAAGTAATTAGAGAGTTGGAACCTTCAAGCTCTGTCCCCTCTCCCAACCCTTGACCCCTGGGGAGGAAAGAGGTACTGACGGTTGAGTGGATCGCCAGTGGCCAATGATGTAATCAATCATGCCTATGTAGTGAAGCCTCCATAAAAACCCAAAAGGATGGAGTTCTGTGGAGACCTTCCCAGTGCTGAACACGGGGAGGTGTTTGGAGGGCAGAGAGGGCATGGCAGTTCCATGCCCCTTCCCAAATACCTTGCCCTATGCATTTCTTTCATCTGACTATTCATCTGTGCTTTATAATTAATGAATAAATATCAGTAAAATGTTTCCCTGAGTTTACTAGAGTGAGTCACTCTAGTAAATGGCTGAACTCAAAGATGTGCTTTTGGGAACTCCCCGATTTATAGACACTTGGTCAGAAGCATGGGAAGCCGGAACTTCTAACTGGCATCTCAAGTAGAAATGGTCTTGTGAGCCTTAATCTGTGAGTGCTGTGCTAACTCCAGGTGGTGTCAGGACTGAAGTGAACTCACTGTAGGACGCCCAGCTGGTTTCCAAGAATTGGTCGATGTGGGAGAAACGCCCCGCTTTGGTGTCAGAAGTGTTGTGTAAGTAGAGAAATGGTGAGTGATTTTCTCAGGGGCCTTCAACAGGTCCTGAGGGTGCAGCCCTCATGAATGGGATTAGAGTCCTTCATAAAAAGAGGCTAAAGAGCTAATTCACTCTCTTTTTGCCACGTGAGGCCACAGTGAGAAGAGGGCCAGCTGTAAACCAGGGATTGGCCCCTCACCAGAGCCCTGCTGCCACCCTTATCGAGGACGTGCAGCCTTGCAGAACTCTGAGAAATAAATGTCTGTTGCTTAGGCCCCCAGTCTACAGCAATTTGTTACGGTAGCCTCCATTAAAATAGGAACTTCTTCCTTGCAGGATTTGTGCAATGATGAGCAATTACACAGGCCAAGATGTCTAGGAGAAAGGAGGGGGCATTCTTTAGTGGGCAGCTCTAATTATTAAACCTTTGGTGTGGCTGTCCACTCAAGGGGCTGAACTCTAAGCGGAAAGCATCAGGGTGCAGGGCGCTAAGCATTCAGCTAGCCCTCACAGGCCCTCACGCCAGGAAGGAACTCACTGCCTTCCTACAAAGACCAAGAGGTACCTGGGAGGAGCTCTGCCAGAGCTGGAAGTTTGAGACCTAAAGTTAGCATCAGGGCCCCTGAGAAAAGGAAGGAGACTGGAGCAAACCGTGACCCTTATGAGCTGAATTATGCTTCCCCCTAGAATTCATATGTTGAAGCCCCAACCCCTAGTACCCTAGAATGTGACTGTACTTGGAGATAGGGTCTTTAAGGAGGTAATTAAGTACAATTAGGTCATCAGGGTAAGCCCTAATCCAATCTGACTGGTGTTCTTTTAATGAAGAAGAGAAAATTTGGACACACAGAGAGACACCAGGGATGCAGGTGCACAGAGGAACTACCAGGGGAGGACAAAGCATTGTGAAAGTGGTTGTCTGCAAGCCAGGGGGAGAGGTCTCAGGTTAAACCATCCCTAATGGCCCCTTGGTCTTGGACTTTCAGCAGTGCAACTGTGAGAAAATAAATTTCTGTTAGTTATTTAAGCCCCTAAGTCCATAGTATTTTGTCACGGCAGCCTGAGCAGACCAACCACCTCTGGAGAGATGGGGGTCAAAGGATTGCCCAGACTGAATTTCCATCAACAGAGGGCAGCAAAGCTGATGTCCCTGGGGCCATCAACATCCCATCCTTCGAGATGTGGGCTATGCACCAACCAAGCCTTTCCCAGTGGGTCATCAGTCCAGAGAGAGAAGGCCTGACAACTGCCCCCGGAAGGGAGGCTGCAAATCTCTACTGAAAGCAGTGTGCTGGAAGGTAGAAAGAATGGAGTCAGAATCAGGTGGAAAGGTGGTTCTTCCCTGTCTGGATGGTACCAAGAGAAAAATGATACCCACAAAGGCTTTTCATACCAACAGTTTCTCTGGCCAAAATACTGCACATACAGGGAGTTCCACAAAGAAGGGCCTTTGCTGCTTGGTTCCTAAAGCCTGGGGGTATCCAGGTAGGGCTCTCCCTCTAGCCCACCCCCAGGTAGACACAGCATAGGTCCTCAAACAGCAGGGGCCAGCAGGTGTAATGACAGTCTGTATACCTCCTTCCAACCTTCCCTGCCCAGTGGGAGTGGAGACTTGTTTTTGTTGTCCCTCCCTGGGTAGAGGATCATGCCTTATACCTGTGCAAAATATATTTTTCTCATTCATATTTCCCTAGAAACTTTTATACAGAGACATTGAGTTATCTCAGGACACAGTAACTGTGTGCTTCTCCCATTTTAACAAAGGCTTTGTGGGAAAACAACATCTTAAGCTAAAATGATGCATCTCTAACGATGAAATATCTGGCTTCAAAGCAAGCATGAGGAGGAGAATTATGAGGGGAAGGGGGGCATTTCTGTGAGATAAAAGTCAAACCTCAAAGCTGAATATCCCCTTCCCCTTACTTGGGCCCGGGTGACTCTGAATAGTTACAGCAAATCATCACCTTCCAGAGAAAATGGGGGCAGTGCAGCCGTATTTCTTCTAGTTTCATCTGCTGGGAAATCCTGGGCACACTCTAACCCTAACCCCATATCTCTAAGAGAGGAGCCCAACTCTTGCCTTACCTATCAATGGTACCGAATCGGATGTTGCGGGCATGATCTCAGCCACGAGCAGCATGAAGACGGTAAGAGAGAGTAAGACTGTTATCCCTAAAACATAAACACACAGCGGTTCCTCAGACAAAAACAGACAAGAAGGCCTCAATTCTGTCTAACGAGGGCTCCTAACCTGACACTCAAAAGAAAGGGAGGCGCTGGGGGGAATGTCGTGGAATGCATGTTTTCCCTATGTATGGGCGTGTGCATTTTCCAGGGGACATTCCATGCCACTTACCAGAGTCCCAAAGGAGTCTCTTATGGAGACAAGTTTAGGACCCAGAATTTTAAAAGCATCAACACAAACTGAAAAATTTAACTTGGCACAATTATCTCTCATATTCTCTGTAAAATATTATTGAGAAGTAGTTTCACGTAGCAGGAAAAAGAAAATATGCAGTCAGGAGACCTGATTTCAGGTCTTACGTTTGCTACTCAGCTAGCTATGTGACCTTAGATACAACATTCAACCTTTCTGAACCTCATACTCAGAAGATATGGGTTTGGGAATGATTTCTACCATATGCTACATCTGATGTTTAGCAACTCTTTAAGACATTGGGAAACTCATTCCACCATTCAAAATCTTGGTTTCCTTAGCTTCGTATGGGAGTGATCGTAAGAATTACACTGGGTACTGTAACATACAAATGCAAGCTGATACTAAGCTAAATTGTTCCCTCGATGACCAGTCGCCATTGAGGAACAGGTGGGGTGGCAGGAGGGAAGAAAGCACAGGCCTCTCAAGGCAGAATGGAGCTGGCCCCCTCCCTGTGCATCCCCCATCCTCTGAGGGTCCTCCAGTATTCTCAGGATTACACAGCCGTCCAGCACGGAGCCCGAATCAGGGACCTCTGGTGTCCTGGAGCCACCGTGGGCTCGGAGGTCCATGGGATGAGCCAGGGAATCCCCAGGAACCCTGATGGAGTCCTGCGCTGTCTGCTGTGAGCCCTCCAGAGCTGATCTCAGCAGAAGGTCTCCAGTCTCAGACTCCCGCCAGACACTGGGGCGCTTACCCAGGGAAATCTTCTCCCCGGAATCTGCAGGAAGCAGGAACACCAGCAGGGCGAGGGCGGAGATGAGCACACAGGGGATCAGCAGGTTGAGGCCATAGTAGAGCGTCCTGCGGCGCATGGTCACTGTGAAGGTGACATCGGGGTAGGGCTCTTTGCAGCACTCATAGAACCTTTCACTCCTCTTGCCGGGGATTCCTCCATAGGGAGGAGGAGAGAAGGAGCCATTGTTAGAATACAATAAATTACCCTGTTTATTTCAATGTGTATACCACACACAAGCACAGTCCTAAAGTTTGCAAAGTGCTAAAAAAAAAAAAAAGGGGGGGGTTGTAATTAGCTTGAATAAAACCTTGTTGATTTACTATAGAGTTAAGAGTATTTTAGTGATAGTTGGCCAAATTGGTACATATTCTTTTGGTGGATTGGAAACACATGATTATAATAATTATAAATAATACATTACCAATTTTACACTGTTATAAATGTAATCACTGTTTTCCTATTTTAAAATAATCAAATATAGGTTCCCATCAACTGAAATTTGCTGTTCAACTTGCTTTTAGAAATGGAGTGGATCTGCATAACGTAGAGAGATCTATCCTCACACTGGTTTGTTTAAATGCATCCTCACTGCAGTTGCCAGTTCCTCTTGGAAAGCATGGCATATCCTAACTGTTTTCTGTTTCTCCTCCTGTAGCTCTCAGTAAATTATGGAGACTACTGCAAAATTCAATAAATGCTCGCACCGGAAAGGACAGTGGAAAATCCCAAACTTTTAAAGCTTGCCCAGGAATAGGAAAGCTTTCTTCCAGGCGGTTAGTCTCATGGCTTACCCACTAGGTCCCATTCTCCATTGGGGATATAGCCACTGATATCTGCCTCCTGCATCTGCAGATCCAAGGACCAGCCTCCGTAAGACCAGGACCCAAACTTCAGTTTGCAGTGCTGCACATCAAAGGGAAACCAGCGTACATCGATGTAGCAGGAACTCTTGAATATGCCTGTGTGGGTGATGGAAACAGAAGACTGAAACGGAAGCTGACTGAGATGTGCTGAAAATACACAGCAGTTCCTTCAGCCGGTTCCGCCCTCCGCACTGCAGCTAACACAGTCCAGAGCAAACGGAATCTGTCTTTTTATTTATTCGCAAAATCTGTAAAACAGAATCTCAGCTAAGCTTCACTGTCTTTTAAAATCCAAACGTAACACTGACATGCTCTCTCAAAGACTGTTTTGTGGGCTTTTTGTGCAAAAAGTTAGCTCTATAATCTGCATTTACCATGAGCATCTTCAGACTCTAAATAATAAAAGTAAAGAATGCAAAATATCTCAGAGAAGTTGATAACCCTGATGATGAAGTTAGAAATAGAATCTAAAAGGTGTGTGTGTGTGTGTGTGTGTGTCTGTTTGGTGCGGGGTGAGGTAGGCATTTTCTTTAGGTTAAAAATGGGAAGAACAACACATGATTATCGAGAAATACAATCTAGAATTCTGGTTAAAGCTAGAATTTTAACTAATTTAAATTCTAGATGAAGAACAGAACAAGCTGGGCACAGTGTCTCATGCCCGTAATCCCAGTGACTCTAAGACATTGACGTGGGAGGGTCACTTGAGACTAGGAGTTTGAGACCGGACTGGGCAACATAGTGAGACATCTCTAATAAAAAAAATTAGCTGGGTGAGGTGATGCATGCCTGTAGTCCCAGCTACTCAGAAGGCTAAGGCAGGAGCATTGCTTGAGCCCAGGAGTTTGAGGCTAAAGTGAAGTGAGCTATGATCGAGCCCCTGCACTCCAGCCTGGGGAACACACCTAGAATCTGTCTGTAAGAAAAAAAGTTAAAACAAACAAACAAACAAACAAACAAAAACAAGAACAGATAGATAGGTTTAAGCTGAAGAGATGGTGCTTGAAGGAAGAGTTTCCGCTGAAAAGAGCTATTCCAGGCTAGGACAGGTTGGAAGTGGATTTCCCAGAGGGCCAAGGGGAGGAAACCAGATAGAGGCCACTCCAGTTATTTACACTCATGTGCTCTTCCCTGCCCAGAGGAAGGCTGCATGGCACAAGAAGACAGGCACAGACTCGGTGTCCAGGTGTTCCTGGGGCAGGGCTGGCACTCTGCAAACTTCTGTTACTGAGTTACAGAAAGAGTGCACGCAGGAAGGGCCTCCACAGCCTTGCACACAAGGACCCCACCCCACAACCGAGTTGGGAAAAGATACACATTTTGTCCCCTGAAGTTCCTTTAAGTATGCTTTGCGTCCTTACATGAAATGTTTATAGGAATCTGGAATCATCACAGACAATCCCCCTCCATTAATAGTTGGATCCCCCCAAAACCCACCTTGTCTGCCAGTTAGTTGGAAAGCTTTGTAACTTCATGAGCCCATTTCTACGAAATAATGGCCCGAGACAGACAGAGAATTTCTAGAGACAGAAAGCAGATCAGTGGTTGCTGGGAGTAGGAATGGGAATTAACTGCAAACAAGCAAAAGGGATCTTTGTGGGGTGATGGGAATGTTCTAAAACTAGACTGTGGTAATGGTTGCATAAGTCTGTAAATATACTAAAAGTTGTTGAATCATGTACTTAAAATGCATGATATGTAAATTCTCTCTCAATAAAGCTGTTAAAAAATAAACACATGAAATGGGGGGGAAAGTCATGTTATGGTCAAGTCTCTATTTCAAAGCTTGAACTCAAAACATTCTTTCCTATCCATGCCCCTCTAACTACAGACAGGGCAGCATCCTGGGACTCGTTCTACACTCCCAGGGAGCAGGCAGGGGTTTCCCAATCCAGGCGGCCCTGGGCCTTTCCTGCCAGCGTAAGGAAGCCCCTCATGGTCACAAGACAACGTGTCCTGTCCTGACCGGAATCCAGGGCCACTGCAGTGGGGACACAGGCCTGGAGCCCCAGAGGGGCTGCTGCACTCAGGCAGCTCGAGGCTTGCAGTGCTGGTCCTGCAGCTGAAAATAGCCTCAGCCTTCCAAACAACCTGCAGCAGCATATTCTACACTGGTGACTACCGGAGGCTGTTTTCTAAAATAGCCCTCATAACAGAAGCTGCAACACGCAGGCCTGGCGAGAAAGACCTCGGGAGTGATGGAAGGCTCCCCCCACTACCCCTGTTTGCAAGGGTCCTGCTGGTAGGAGGAAATGCCAGGGCTAGCAGGAAAGCGGATGCTTCGAGAAGCCTGAACAGCTGGACTTCTTCAATCTCTTCCAATATTATTGGGAGGTGTCTACCATTGACAGGTTCACTCGCTCCTTTGTTCATTCAGGGATAAATGCTAAGGTGAGCAAAGGCTGACTGTGCCCCCAGATGCTTGTCACCTGCTGACAGGGAAGGCACACAGACAGCAACCGAGAAGGCACAGCCAGTATGTGTGGTATGTGAGTGGTGTGAATAGTGTATCTGGTTTGAGAGTGCATGCCTGCATGTGTGTAAGTGGTGTGTGTGAGGGTTGTGAGTCGTGTGTGAGTGGTGTGTATGGTGTGTGAGAGTGGTGTGTAAGTGGTGTGTGTGAGGGGTGTGTGTGTGTCTGGTGTGTGTGTGTTGGTGGTTTGAGTGGTTTGTGTGAGTGGTATGTGTGGAGTGGTGAGTGGTGTGTGGGTGGTATATTTGTGTGAGTGGTGTGTGAGTGTTGAGTCGTGTGGGTGGTATGTGAGTGGTTGTGTGAGTGGTGTGTGAGTGTTGAGTCGTGTGGGTGGTATGTGAGTGGTTGTGTGAGTGGTGTGTGTGTTGAGTCATGTGGGTGGTATGTGAGTGGTTGTGTGAGTGGTGTGTGTGATTGTGAGTGGTGTGTGTGTTGTGTGAACAGTGTGTGTGGGTGGTGTGTATGAGTGGTGTGAGTAGTGTGAGTGGTGTGAGTGGTGTGTGTGAGTACTGAGTGGTGTGTGTGTGTGTGAGGTGTGTGTGAGTGGTGTGTGTGAGGGGTGAGTGGTGTGTGGTATGTGTGAGTGGCTGTGTGTGAGTGGTTGCGAGTGGTGTGTGTGTGAGTCGTATGTGTGAGTGGTAGTTAGGTGTGGAGGTAATTGCAGGTTGCCTCTGAGCAGAAAGTTAAACAGCTGCAGTGTGGGAGATCACCCTGGAATAAACACATTAAAAATCTTCTAAAAGATCAAAAACCCCAGCTGTTCCTATCAATATGCTAGTGCGCACTCTGCATGCACCTGTAGGCCATAAACCCATTTCCCTTGCCCTGTGAATCGACTGAAAAGATGGACTGGTGGGAAAGAACCAATCCAGGGAGCACTTAGCCTTGGAGGTGAGACACTGTTGGGAAGAAGTCAGCCGCTAGAGAGCTCTCCCTTGAAACCACCAGACCTTGCCTGTAACCTGCGTGTGCTCTTTAGCGCACGCACTCAGGATCCTGGAACTGTCATATCTCACCCCCGGCAGCTGGAGCGCTGCACCTGCCAAGACACTGAGTCCCGCAGGGAGGAGGATGGCAAGCTGGAACTGAGAAGCAGAGCCTGGAGAGGTGGCTTGCCAGGCTGGAAGGTGAGGTGGCCACTGCCCGGCAAAGGAGACTCGCTGTATTTGTACATTGGCTTTAAGGCACACATGGCAGAAAATAAGGACATAGTGGCAAAGACGGCTTGATTGAGACAAAAGAGGAGGATGGACTTCTGGGGGTAGAAAGCACACAGAAGCACAGAAGAGAAGAGAGAGGAAGAGGTGGGAGTGAGCAAAGGCGAAGCAAAGAGCTGGTCCACCACACGGGGGCACCGGCCAGACTGACTGACACCCAAACTCGCTTCAGTTTTCTAACTGGAAGAGGACAAAGGAGGTGCAGCTTACCTGGAGGCAGGTACTGGCAATGCCCAGAAGAATTCACCAACACGTTAGTGTGGAATGTGGCGTCAAAGCGCTCATCAGCACTAGAAACAGGAAAAGGACTGCATGAGCCAGTGCCACCAGGCTGTGGATTTCCCGAAGCCCTGGGGTCTGTCTTTGATGGAGCAGCAAAGACCTTGAGAGGGGCCCCTGTCTGTCCTCACAACCCCACACCCTGCCTGAGAGCACCACTGGGGCTGGCCTGGGAGGTCTTCCCCGGGCACAGCTTGGAAGGGCCAGTGTCTACCCCCATTTCAATTTTCACACCGAACTGGTGATTTTTCTCACAATGTATATAAAACCAAGCTCTTAACCAAATGAAACCTGTAAACAACTCTGGAGGACATCGGCAGATGTGACATTTTCATGGCGTCTAGAAGAACAGAGGGTGGGTGAGGCACGCTGCCACCCTGTGAGCCTCATGGGGCAGGGTTTTCACTCGCTGTGTCCAAAGCTCTAGTTCCAGCCTCTTGAAGCGGACACACACTTGGTTTGTGCTTCACATATATATCTTTTTTTTTTTTTTTTTTTGAGACAGAGTCTTGCTGTGTTGCCCAGGCTAGAGTGCAGTGGCATGATCTCGGCTCACTGCAAGCTCCACCTCCTGGGTTCATGTCATCCTCCTGCCTCAGCTTCCCGAGTAGCTGGGACTACAGGTGCACACCACCACACCTGGTTAATTTTTTTGTATTTTTAGTAGAGACGGGGGTTTCACTATGTTAGCCGGGATGGTCTCGATCTCCTGACCTTGTGATCCACCCGCCTCAGCCTCCCAAAGTGCTGGGATTATAGGCGTGAGCCACCGTGCCCGGCCCACATATATATCTTGAATGACTGAACTGCAGGTGCAGGAGGGAGCTGGACACCACAACCCCAGAGGGCTTCCAGCTCCACAGTTAGCGATGAAAAGAAGGAGAGTGAGGGAAGACAACAGAAGTAAGTGCGAGTTTTAGACGGATGCACCTCTGCCCCTCTCCGTCCCCTGTTCCAGCCTCCTGCAGCCAGGAGTTAACAACTGGGATAAAGGACACACACCCACACACACACACAGCCCCAACAGCAATTACACCAACAGCCTGTACTAGCCTTGTCTTTTATTTTCTGGATTCTGATGTGTTGACATCTGGGGCTTTGCTGACTCTGGAGGCCCCTTGGAGAGAGAGTAAACAACTCTGGCCTTTCAAACACAAATCAATCAATCCAGAACCCATACCCCCACCCAAACACATCCTTTATCAGGCTGTCACACTGGGGTTGACACCAGTCCTGCTCTCATCACTGCAGGACCAGGTAAAAGTCAACCAGGAAGAGTCCCTATGCCCCAGGGCCTACTGCAATTATTCTAAGGAGCTAATCCTAAACCTAAGCCTGCGTGCCCTGCTCCTCCCTTCCTTCCTGCAGAAGCCACAATGAAGGACGGCCCTTGCTCAGGTTTCCCGCACTCTCTCGGCCTCCCGCGTGGCCCTGGTGCCTCCCTGTGTCCCTGCATGTGCTACGCTTCCCTTTTTTTTTGAAATGGAGTCTAGCTCTGTTGCCCAGGCTGGAGTGCAGGGGCACGACCTCGGCTCACTGCAACCTCTGCCTCCTGGATTCAAGCAATTCTCCTGCCTCAGCCTCCTGAGTAGCTGGGATTACAGGTGCGTGCCACCACTCCCGGCTAATTGTTATATTTTTAGTAGAGATGGGGTTTCACCATGTTGGTTAGGCTGGTCTTGAACTCCTGGCCTCGTGATCCACCCCCCACTTAGCCTCTCAAAGTGCTAGGATTACAGGCTGAGCCACCACGCCTAGCCTGTCCTTCTGCTTCTAAGAACAGTGAGTAAAACTGCTTTCCTTCAGGACAGTCACTTCTGTGTCTAAGTGTCTCACCATGCCTGATTAAAACCAACCCTGGGTACCCTTAAAACACAGCCCTACTGGTAAAGAAAAATAAACCACCTCAAAAAAACACAGGCAGCCAATCAAAGTACCAGCACCCCAGAGTAAAGCTCCCCTCATTTTGGCCACTATGGCCCCTGCAGGAGCTGCCCATGACTACAGAGCCTCAGGCAGCCTCTCCCATGTCTGAGATTTCTCAAGGGGAAACTTAGAATCACAGATACCGGAGGACAGTCTTCAGCATGCGACACACAGTGGAGGATACACACCAAAAAAGATCCAAAAAGAATGAGTCAATGAAAAGAAGGAAAAATCACTTCTTAAAAAAGTAATGTCCTCACAACATTCAAGAGGACATAGCAATTAGAAAAAAGAGAGAAAAATGGAAATTAAAGGTATGATTTATGAAATAACTTTTTATGAGTAGGTGGGAGGTTTGGCTGATAGAAATCACAGAGATCAAACATAACACAGAAAGAAGACAGCGTAGAGGACAAGGCTGGGGGAACTCGCCTCACTCACAGAAGCTCCATCAGGGAGAGTGGGAGGGAAAAAATTAAGAAATAACACGAAGACACTTCTCACAGCAGAAAAACCACCCAAGCATGAAGGCAAAAAAAAAGGGGTTTTCAAGAACATTAAAGCCTTGAAGAGCTTGTTCCCAACATATATTTCCTTGGTCAGCTTTGGAACAATGAGAGTGAAACCTGAGAAAGAATACACTTTTAGATTAAACCTGGAGATCGATAAAAGAGATTTAGAGGATGACTTGAGCAGGAGGCCTAGAAAAAGGTGGGTCCAAATCCCAGCAAGACGTTAAAGTACTGAGGACAGAACCAAATGGGTTCAGAGCAAGAAAGAGGAGATATAATGAGCTGAAAAACATCATGGACTTGATTAAGGACACAGTTTTAAACATTCTTATAATAAGAAAAGGCAACCAGAAACTCTAGGAAAAAAGTAGTAATTGTATGAGAAAGCCGTGATTTGAATATGAAACAAGCAAAAACGTGATGAAGTTTAAGGGAAGGAAGAAAGGGGGATAAGGGGGAAAAAGGGGGAGACTGAGAGAAAGGAGAGAGGGAGAGAAGGCGAGAGCCAAGTTGTCATGAAAGGACACATCCCCCCCCCTTACTTCCAAAAACACATAGGGAAAGAGAGAGGAGGAGGTAGGATCAAGATGTAAATATTCTTTGCTTGACCGTAGTCTGTATCTGACTGTTAATGAGTCACATTATAAATGGTGATTGGGCACAAAATAGCTGAAAATGTGGACCTGCACAAGCTCACTCTGGATAGTATCATGATCTTCAAGCTAGGTTCTCTGGAGCCCTGAGACCCTATGGAGGCGCCTCAAGGTTTCTGGAAATATTTACCTCCAATATTTTAGTTCCTTTGAATTTGAAAATGGTAATAAAAGTCACACACTCAAATGACTATTAACAAAATTTTAACTCTTAGAGACTACCGTTGTGTTAATTTATGTGTCCTGTTTAACTCCTTTTTGCATGGAAGTTAAACTAAAGCCTCTCTGGCCATGAATTTGCACGCATTTGAATCTCTTATAAAGGAGTCACCAAATGAGATTTCAGCTTTGCATTGCTTTTAAAAAATTAAAGTCTGTCCCTCCAATTACATGGCATCTAACCCGCACCAGACGTGGGATGCGTTCCCCCATCAATCACCCTCAGTAGCAGCAACATAGAAAGCATGGTCTATAGTCTGGGCACAGTGGCCCACACCTATAATATTAGCACTTTGGGAGGCCCAGAGGGGAGGATCATTTGAAGCCAGAAGTTTGAGACCAGACTGGGCAACAAAGCAAGACCCCATCTCTACAAAAACAAAACACTGACAAAATTAATCAGTGCAGTGACATAAGCTTATGTTTCCAGCTACTCAGGAGGCTGAGGCAGGAGGATTAGTTGAGCCCAGGAGTTTGAGGCTGCAGTGAGCTATGTTTGCACCACTGTCCTCCAGCCTAGGAGACAGAGCGAGACCCTGTCTCTAATAAAATAAAATAAAAACATAAATATTTTTGAAATAAAAATAAATTAAAAATTAAGAATAGTGTGGTTTGATGCATGTTATGGGGAACAAAGTTTTGCTTATTTTAAGCTTGGGTTTCTTCCTGTCTGATTTTCATATTTATAATCAAGACTGAGCATCTGTTAGATCAGTGATTCAACTCTGAAAAAAAAAAAGTTCCTACAAGCCTTTCTTTCAAGCATTTGGATCAATTTAATTGAAGAGACTCTTGAGATCACAAGGCAAACAGGTAAAAACAAGATAAAAAAACTGTTGCTATTAGCAACAGCTTACCTGTGACTCAGTGATTTGTGACTCAGTGATTTCTGAATGTTTTTCATCCAAACAGAATATTGAGCTACATGAAATTGTAACACATAAATGTTATCAAAATCCAAATCTTAATACCCATGATGGTAGTTTTACGCTTCTTTCCCATAGGCAAATTGATTTTATAAGTACATAGTATAAAAGTAAACTCTTGTAATGGATTTGTGCTAATACTACTTTATCTGTTTTGAGCATTAGGGGTGGAGATAAGATGAGTTTGAAGAAAGGCCCTGTTGCTGAAAACTGAGTTTGAAAACAGTGATCTGAGGTGGGAAATGAAGAACCTCGGAAATGTGAGTGGCCAGAACCCCTATGAGGACCTCAGTGACCACAGCACCGGCGCAGCTTCCCCGGGGATGCCCGACAGATGCCAGCCAACAGTGACCCCCTCACCAGTGCTGGGCAGCCCTGTGCTGGCAAACACCCATAACCGTGGAAACAGGGGTAGGGCTGCAGGGATTCATTCTCCTCCTCACTCCTCTTCTGTGTGTAAACTGTTCTGTATTAAATAGTCTGAAAATGGCCAAATATATTCTTTATTTTGACTACTGGAAGACACAGTACATCCACAGTTTGTGAAGATGCCGGCCTGTGGCCTCTCCGTCCTTGCAGGAGCTGCCTTTATCTGGCTGCCTTTGTCCTCCCCCAGCCAGCAATGACTGGGGCTCACTCTTGGAGTGAGGAGAGCTCTGAGCCCTACCCTCACCACGGAGGGGGTGACTGGGGCAAATGTAACTCAAACATGTAGGACGCAAGCTACGTGTCCTTAGCGGGGGTAGGAGGAGGAGAGGTGTCTGCATAGGCTTTAAAGGATAGCCAGAGCTCCCAAAGACGGAAACGGATGTGGACAGGCCCCTGGCGGAGGGCATGGTGGGATCACACACTTGGAGATAAGCCAGAACGAAGGAGGCTCCAGGAAGGTCTGGCTTGCCTGGATCATGGTGTTTGCTTACACCATGTTGCCCTAAGCAGTGAGGCTGAAAGAGGGCTTGAGAGCAAACCACTGCTTGGCCCCCCAGGCAGGATTCAGAAGCCCAATCCTTATGGGATTACAAGCTGTGCTTTCAGACGTCAATGGCAGTATAGGCAGGGGGAGCCCATGGGGCACAGGTGGACCCTGTGGGTGGGTCTGAGATCACACCTTTCCTTCCTCCACATCCCCTAGGATCCTCACACAATGGTGCCTGGTCTCATTCCTGCAGAGCTGCTGGCCCTGGAACAAGAGCCCTCTGATCCTAGGCTCAGCCTTGCCTCCTGCCTCAGTCAGCTCTGTAGCATTGACCTCTACGGCTGAGCACGGGAGGCCTCAACACTGAGCCAGAAAAGAAGAGAGTGATTGTGCCTCCACAGAGAAAGCATCATCTGACCCAGAAGCCCGGCTCTTATAACCTTGAGAGAAAAAGCCAGGGGTCCAGCCATCAAAGAAGTCCAGCAAGACCAACTCCCAATAGGGCACGTGTTCACCAGAATGAGCCTCTGCATTCAGGTAAAGATGAATAATAATAAAATAACAATAAGAAGAAGAAATCCAGGCACTCTGTCCTGCTGCAAAGAAAATGCTTCGCATGGGTTCAGGATGACCCTAAATAGTAAGGTCTCATGTGAAATCAATCCCATTCCCTCTGAGCTCTCAGCAACCTTGAAAGACTGAGAGAGAGAAGGGCAAGAGAGATGAAGATGAAATCTATCCAAAAAGGAAGGGAGGAGGAAGGATGATGCTCATCTATCTGATCTAAGGTGTCATTTACTTTAAATCTCTGAAGAAAGGGGAAAAAAAGCTGCCAATTCCCCAATTCCATGTGAAGACACCACTGACGGAAGCAATGCCCAGATTGCAGAGGGAAAGCAAGGCTGTTGAGAATGGGTAAATTTTCTGAACAGAAGACAGAGGGAGAGACACACCCTGTCATAAATCTTTTTAGTTATATATTTTATTCTAAAATGTTGAGGGTCTGCAATCAGCAATGTGGCTTGTCATAGTCCATGACCAAAAAAGTCTTGAGTAGAATCAAACTTTTATGGTCATTTCTACCTGCCAGAGATTCCAGGAAGCAGAATTCTGAGGTACCAGGAGGAGGCTTCCAGAAAAATGCATTCAAGAATATTTCCTTTTTTTAAAAAAAGAAAATATTTACTTATTTATATTATTTGTTTATTTATTTATTTTGAGACAGGGTCATGCTTTGTCACCCAGGCTGGAGTGCAGTGGTGCGATCGTGGCTCACTGGAGCCTCAAACTCTTGGGCTCAAGCCATCCGCCTTCCTCAGCCTCCTGGCAGCTAGGACTGCAGGCACGTGCTATCTGTTCATATTTTGATTTTTATTTTAGATTCAGGACATACATGTGCATGTTTGTCACATGGGTATATCGCATGCGATGCAGAAGTTTAGGGTATAATTGATTCCATCACCCAGGCAGTGAGCAGAGTATCCAGTAGTTTTTCAATCCTGGCCCCCTTCTCCTTTCCCCCTACAGTAGTCTCCAGTGTCTGTTGTTGCCATCTTTATGTCCATGAGTACCCAGTGTTTAGCTCCCACTCAGAAATCTTTTCTTTAGCCACTAGTTGGCATATTAAATTGAATGTAACATGGGATATTATAACAACTGGATATGGCATAGGATGGATTACAGCAAAGCTATAAGTAACATGGGAGAAGATTAACACAGCAGATATCCAGTTTCTGGACTCCCTATTTTTGTTCCTTGTGTTACATGTCTATCCCTGACCCAGCAAAACATCATCTTAATCCTTACAGCATTATGAAAGTGTTGCATTTGGCACAGAAAGTCCCCCAACTTGGTTCTTTTTCTTTAAAATTGTCTTGTTTTACTATTCTTGCTCATTACTGATCCTTTGCTCATCATTGTAAATTTTAAATTTACTTGTACAGTCTCATGAAGTCCCTGTTAAGACTTTAGTTGGAATCACATTAAATTTAGTTGGAATCACATTAATCACACTCAATTTATTTTGGAAAAATTTGGCATCTGGTATTGAGTTTTCCCAGGCATAAACGTGATACAACTCAACATTTATGTTGTTCTTTCTTAAATTTATTTTTTGGTACTCAACACCTGCAGATATTGAAAATAAAATTTGTGAAATTACATTTTCTAACTGTCTGTTGTAAGAATATAGAAACACATTTGATACTTCGATAGATCTTGTTTTGTATCAGATATATTTTTTCTAGACAGTCTCTAGGGATTTTCTATGTAAAAAACAGATATGGCCTATAAAGATGATAACAGGTTTATTCCTTATTCATAAACATTTTATTATTTTACTTGTATTACTACTGAAATTCATATAGTCACTAAGATATTTTTAAAAAGTGATGACACTGATATTCTTATTTTATTCTACGTTTAGAAACTTCTAATGTTTCAGCATTAAGTGAGACCCCTATGTCAGGTTAGGTGAAACTTCTTCCAATTACAAATGGGTTTTAAATAACATCAACTGATTTTTCTCCAGCTACCAGAATGATCATTTATTTTTTTCTGCCTCAATCTTTTAATAGAATGAATTATATTAATGGACTTTTTTGAAAGTTAAACAAACTGTGCATTCCTAATAGAAGCCTAAACTTGTTAGGATTTATTTTTAACTTATTGCTAGACTTTGTTATGCTGATATTTTAGTTAAGACTTATACATAGGAGTTGCTTCCAAGATGGCCGAATAAGAACAGCTCTGGTCTGCAGCTCCAAACGAGATCAACGCAGAAGATGGGTGATTTCTCCAACTGAGGTACCTGGTTCATCTCATTGGGACTGGTTGGACAGTGGGTGCAACCCACGGAGGGCAAGCCAAAGCAGGGTGGGGCGTCGCCTCACCCAGGAAGTGCAAGGGGTTGGGGGATTTCCCTTTCCTAGCCAAGGGAAGCTGTGACAGACTGTACCTGGAAAAACAGTACACTCCCGCCCAAATACTGCACTTTTCAACGGTCTTAGCGATCAGCAGACCAGGAGATTCCCTCCTGTGCCTGGCCCAGTGGGACCCACACCCACGGAGCCTTGCTCACTGCTAGCACAGCAGTCTGTGATCGATCTGTGAGGCTACAGCCTGGTGGTGGGGAGGGGTGTCCGCCACTGCTGAGGCTTGAGTAGGTAAACAAAGCGGCCAGGAAGCTCGAACTGAGTGGAGCCCACCACAGCTCAGCAAGGCCTACTGCCTCTATAGACTCCACTTCTGTGGGCAGGGCATAGCTGAACAAAAGGCAGCAGACAACTTCTGCAGACTTAAACATCTCTGTCTGACACCTCTGAAGAGAGCACTGGTTCTCCCAGCACGGCGTTCAAGCTCTGAGAATGGATAGACTGCCTCCTCAAGTGGGTCCCTGACCCCCGTGTAGCCTGACTGGGAGACATCTCCCAGTAGGGGCCAACAGACACCTCATACAGGTGGGTGCTCCTCTGGGACAAAGCTTCAAGAAGAAGGATCAGGCAGCAATGTTTGCTGTTCTGCAGCCTCTGCTGGTGATACTCAGGCAAACAGGGTCTGGAGTGGACCTCCAGCAAACTCCAACAGACCTGCAGCTGAGGGGCCTTACTGTTAAAAGGAAAACTAACAAACAGAAAGGAATAGCATCAACATCAACAAAAGGGACATCCACACCAAAACCCCATCTGTAGGTCACCAACATCAAAGACCAAAGGTAGATAAAACCACAAAGATGAGGAGAAGAGCAGAAAAACTGAAAATTCCAAAAACCAGAGCACCCCTTCTTCTCCAAAGGATCGCAGCTCCTTGCCAGCAATGGAACAAAACTGGATGGAGAATGACTTTGACGAGTTGACAGAAGTAGGTTTCAGAAGGTCGGCAATAAGAAACTTCTCCAAGCTAAAGGAGCATGTTCGAACCCATTGCAAGGAAGCTAAGAACCTTGAAAAAAGGTTAGATGAATGGCTAACTAGAATGAATAGTATAGAGAAGACCTGAAATGACCTGATGGAGCTGAAAACCACAGCATGAGAACTTCATGACACATGCACAAGCTTCAATAGCCGATTCGATCAAGTGGAAGAAAGGATATCAGTGTTTGAAGATCAAATTAATGAAATGAAGTGAGAAGACAAGATTAGAGAAAAAACAGTAAAACGAAACAAACAAAGCCTCCAAGAAATATGGGACTATGTGACAAGACCAAATCTATGTTTGATTGGTGTACCTGAAAGTGATGAGCAGAATGGAACCAAGCTGGAAAACACCCTTCAGGATATTATCCAGGAGAACTTCCCCAACCTAGCAAGGCAGGCCAACATTCAAATTCAGGAAATACAGAGAACACCACAAAGCTACTCTTCAAAAAGAGCAACCCCAAGACACATAATTTTCAGATTCACCAAGGTTGAAATGAAGGGAAAAAATGTTAACAGCAGCCAGAGGGAAAAGTCGGGTTACCCACAAAGGGAAGCCCATCAGACTAACAGTGGATCTCTCGGCAGAAACCCTACAAGCCAGAAGAGAGTGGGGGCCAATATTCAACATTCTTAAAGAATTTTCAACCCAGAATTTCATATCCAGCCAAACCAAGCTTCATAAGTGAAGGAGAAATAAAATCCTTTACAGACAAGCAAATGCTGAGAGATTTTGTCACCACCAGGCCTGCCTTACAAGAGCTCCTGAAGGAAGCACTTAACATGGAAAGGAACAACTGGTACCAGCCTCTGCAAAAACACGCCAAATGGTAAAGACCATCGATGCTATGAAGAAACCACATCAATTAACAGGCAAAATAATCAGCTAGCATCATAATGACAGGATCAAGTTCACACATAACAATATTAACCTTAAATGCAAATGGGCTAAATGCCCCAATTAAAAGACACAGACTAGAATATTGGATAAAGAGTCAAGACCCATCAGTGTGCTGTATTCAGGAGACCCATCTCACATGCAGAGACACACATAGGCTCAAAATGAAGGGATGGAGGAAGAGCTACCAAGCAAATGGAATGCAAAAAAAAAGCAGGGGTTGCAATCCTAGTCTCTGATAAAACAGACTTTCAACCAACAAAGATAAAAAGAGACAAAGAAGGCCATTATATAATGGTAAAGGGATTAATTCAACAAGAAGAGCTAACTATCCTAAATATATATGCACCTAATACAGGAGCACCAAGATTCATAAAGCAAGTCCTTAGAGACCTACAAAGAGACTTAGACTCCCACAAAATAATAATGGGAGACTTTAACAGCCCACTGTCAATATTAGATCAACGAGACAGAAGGTTAACAAGAATACCCAGGATTTGAACTTAGCTCTGCCCCAAGTGAACCTAATAGGTATCTACAGAACTCTCCACCCCAAATCAACAGGATATGCATTCTTCTCAGCACCACATTGCACTTATTCTAAAATTGACCAAATAATTGGAAGTAAAACACTCCTCGGCAAATGTAAAAGAACAGAAATCACAAGAAACTGTCTCTCAGACCACAGTGCAATCAAATTAGAACTCAAGATTAAGAAACTCACTCAAAACTGCACAACTACATGGAAACTGAACAACGGGCTCCTGAATGACTACTGGGTAAATAACGAAATGAAGGCAGAAATAAAGATATTCTTTGAAACCAATGAGAACAAAGACACACAACGTACCAGAATCTCTGGGACACATTCAAAGTAGTGTGTAGAGGGAAATTTATAGCACTAAATGCCCACAAGAGAAAGCAAGAAAGATCTAAAATTGACATCCTAACATCGCAATGAAAAGAACTAGAGAAGCAAAAGCAAATAAATTCAAAAGCTAGCTGAAGGAAAGAAATAATTAAGATCAGAGCAGAACTGAAGGAGATAGAGACACAAAAAAACCTTCAAAAAATCAATGAATCCAGGAACGGGTTTTTTGAAAAGATCAACAAAATAGACAGACCGCTAGCAAGACTAATAAAGAAGAAAACAGAGAAAAATCAAATAGACGCAATAAAAAATGATAAAGGGGATATCACCACCGATCTCACAGAAATACAAAATACTGTCAGAGAATACTATAAACACCTCTATACAAATAAACTAGAAAATCTAGAAGAAATGGATAAATTCCTGGACTCATGCACCCTCCCAAGACTAAACTAGGAAGAAGTTGAATCTCTGAATAGACTAACAACAGGTTCTGAAATTGAGGCAATAATTAATAGCCTACCAACCCAAAAAAGTCCAGGACCAGACAAATTCACAGCCGAATTCTGCCAGAGGTACAGAGGAGCCGGTACCATTTCTTCGGAAACTATTCCAATCAATAGAAAAAGAGGGAATCCTCCCTAACTCATTTTATTAGGCCAGCATCATCCTGATACCAAAGCCGGGCAGAGACACAACCAAAAAAGAGAATTTTAGACCAATATCCCTGATGAGCATTGATGCAAAAATCCTCAATAAAATACTGGCAAACAGAATCCAACAGCACATCAAAAAGCTTATCCATCATGATCAAGTTGGCTTCATCCCTGGGATGCAAGGCTGGTTCAATATATGCAAATCAATACATGTAATCCATCACATAAACAGAACCAATGACAAAAACCACATGATTATCTCAACAGATGCAGAAAAGGCCTTCGACAAAATTCAACAGCCCTTCATGCTAAAAACTCTCAATAAACTAGGTATTGATGGAACGTATCTCAAAATAATAAGAGCTATTTATGGCAAACCCCCAGCCAATATCATATTGAATAGTCCAAAACTGGAATCATTCCCTTTGAAAACTGGCACAAGACAAGGATGCCCTCTTCACCACTCCTATTCAACATAGTGTTGGAAGTTCTGGCCAAGGCAATCAGGCAAGAGAAAGAAATAAAGGGTATTCAAATAGGAAAAGAGGAAGTCAAATTGTCCCTGTTTGCAGACGACATGATTGTATATTTAGAAAACCCCACTGTCTCAGCCAAAAATCTCAAGCTGATTAAGCAACTTCAGCAAAGTCTCAGGATACAAAATCAATGTGCAAAAATCACAAGCATTCCTATACACCAATAACAGACAAACAGAGAACCAAATCATGAATGAACTCCCATTCACAATTGCTACAAAGAGAATAAAATACCTAGGAATCCAATTTACAAGGGATGTGAAGGACCTCTTCAAGGAGAACTACAAACCACTGCTCAAGGAAATCAGAGAGGACACAAACAAATGGAAGAGCATTCCATGCTCATGGATAGGAAGAATCAATATCGTGAAAATGGCCATACTGCTCAAGGTAATTTACAGATTCAATGCCATCCCCATCAAGCTACCAATGACTTTCTTCACAGAATTGGAAAAAACTACTTTAAAGTTCATATGGAAACAAAAAAGAGCCCGCATAGCCAAGACAATCCTAAGCAAAAACAACAAAGCTGGAGGCATCACATTACCTGACTTCAAACTACACTACAAGGCTACAGTAACCAAAACAGCATGGTACTGGTACCAAAACAGAGATATAGACCAATGGAAGAGAACAGAGGCCTCAGAAATAACACCACACATCTACAACCATCTGATCTTTGACAAACCTGACAAAAACAAGAAATGGGGAAAGGATTTCCTGTTTAATAAATAGTACTGGGAAAACTGGCTAGACATATGTATAAAGCTGAAACTGGATCCCTTCCTTACACCTTATACAAAAATTAACTCAAGATGGATTAAAGACTTAAACCTAAGACATAAAACCATAAAAACCCTAGAAGAAAACCTAGGCAATACCATTCAGGACATAGGCATGGGCAAAGACTTCATGACTAAAACACCAAAAGCAATGGCAACAAAAGCCAAAATATACAAATAGGATTTAATTAAACTAAAGAGCTTCTGCACAGCAAAAGAAACCATCATCAGAGTGAACAGGCAACCTAGAGAATGGGAGAAAATTTTTGCAATCTACCCATCTGACAAAGGGCTAATATCCAGAATCTACAAATAACTTAAACAAATTTACAAGAAAAAAACAACCCCATCAAAAAGTGGGCAAAGGATATGAAGAGACACTTCTCAAAAGAAGACATTTATGCAGACAACAGACACATGAAAAAATGCTCATCATCACTGGCCATCAGAGAAATGCAAATCCAAACCACAATGAGATACCATCTCTCTCACACCAGTTAGAATGGCAATCATTAAAAAGTCAGGAAACAACAGATGCTAGAGAGGATGTGGAGAAATAGGAATGCTTTTACACTGCTGGTGGGAGTGTAAACTAGTTCAACCATTGTGGAAGACAGTGGAAGATTTCTCAAGGATCTAGAACTAGAAATACCATTTGACCCAGCAATCCCATTACTGGGTATATACCCAAAGGATTATACATCATGCTACTATAAAGACATATGCACACGTATATTTATTGCGGCACTATTAACAATAGCAAAGACTTGGAACCAACCCAAATGTCCATCAATGACAGATTGGATTAAGAAAATGTGGCACACATACACCATGAGTACTATGCAGCCATAAAAAAGGATGAGTTCATGTCCTTTGCAGGCACATGGATGAAGCTGGAAACCATCATTCTCAGCAAACTATCACAAGGACAGAAAACCAAACACCACATGTTCTCATTCATAGACGGGAACTGAACAATGAGAACACATGGACACAGGGCAGGGAACATCACACACCGGGGCCTCTCGGGGGGTGGGGGGCTGGGGGTGGGATAGCATTAGGAGAAATATCTAATGTAAATGACCAGTTAATGGATGCAGCAAGCCAACATGGCACATGTATACCTAATGTAACAAACCTGCACATTGTGCACAGGTACCCTATAACTTAAAGTATAATAATAAAAAAGGCTTATACATTTATGTTCATAATGATATTTTATGCTGGGTGGAACTTGCCTGTAAACCTACCTTTTTGAATTTCTTTTTTAAAAATATACTGATCAAAAGAATGAAAAGATGACCTCCAGATTGGGAGAAAATATTTGCAAAAGACACATCTAATAATGAACTGTAATCCAAAATATACAAAGAACTCTTAAAACTCAGCAATAAGAAAACAAACAATCCAATTAAAATAATGGGCCAAAGACCTTAACAGACACCTGAGCAAAGACAATATAGAGATGGCAAAGAAGCACATAGAAATATGTTCCACATTGTCATATTTAATACAAATTAAAAAAAAAAAAAACTGAGACACCACTACGCATCTATTAGAATGACCAAAATCCAGAACACTGACAACACCAAATGCTGGCAAGGATGCAGAGCAACAGGAACTCTCATACACTGCTGGTGGGCATGAGAAATGGTGCAGTCACTTTGGAAGGCAGTTTGGCAGTTTCCTACAAAACGAAGCATACTCTTTCCATGTGATCCAACAATTGCCTTCCCTTGTATTTATCCAAAGGAGCAGAAAACGTGTGTTCACACAGAAACCTACATACATATGTTGATAGCAGCTTTATTCATAATTGCTAAAACTTGGAAGCAACCTTCAGTAGGTGAAATGGATAAACTAACTGTGCTATATCCAAACAATGGATTATTATTCAGTGCTAAAAAGAAATGGGCTATCAAGCCATGAAAAAAACATGGAGGAACCTTAAATGCATATTACCAAATGAAATAAGTCAATCTGAAAAGATTACAGACTGTAAGATTCCAATTATATGATATTCTAGGAAAAGTAAAGCAATGGAGACAGCAAAACAGATCAGGCCGGGCGCAGTGGCTCACGCCTGTAATCCCAGCACTTTGGGAGGCTAAGGCAGGTGGATCACCCGAGGTCAGGAGTTTGAGACCAGCTTGGCCAACATGACGAAACCCTGTCTCTACTAAAAATACAAAAATTAGCCAGGCGTGGTGGCGTGCACCTGTAGTCCCAGCCACTCAGGAGGCTGAGGTGGGAGAATCGCTTGAACCCGGGACGTGGAGGTTGCAGTGAGCCGAGATCGCACCACTGCACTCCAGCCTGGGCGACAGAGCGATACACCATCTCAAACAAAACAAAACAAAACAAAACAAAACAAAACAAAACAAAACATAACAGGTCAATGGCTGCCATGGATTGCAGAGAGAGGGCGGGATGAATAGGTGGAGCACCGAGGATTTTTAGGGCAGTGAAGCTATTCTGAATGATACTATAATGGTCGATACAGGTCATTATACATCTGTGCAAACCCACAGAACCCATACGCCACCAAGAGAGAACCCTGATGTAAACTATGGACTCTGGGTGGTAATGATGTGTCTGCATCAGTTCATCTATTTCAATTGTACGGCCCTGGTGGGGGATGTTGATGATGGGGGAGGCTGTGCTTGGGTGGGGGTTGGGAGGGGACATGGGAACTTGTACCTTCCACACAGTTATGCTATGAACCTCAAACTGCTTTAAAAAACAAAGTCTGTTTTTTTGCTAGTCTATTCCCTTTTTGGTCTATTTTTCTAGAAAATATTAAATCTATCTAAGTTTCCAAAATTTTGGCATAAAATTGTGTCACAATATTCTATTTTTAAGTATTTTTCTGTAGTTGAAAACCCCTTTTATATCCAGTAAATGTTTGTTTGTGCCTTCTTTGTTTTCTTGGTAATTATTTCCTGAGGTATGTTGATTTTATTAGTTCTTTTTTAAAACCAATTTGTCCTTCGTTGATCTCTATTTTAGTTTTCTTATTTAATACATTTCTAGGTTTATCTTTATTCCTCCTTCTTTTTTTCATTGGAGTTAATGTTATATTTTATAACTTCTTGAGTTTGGTAATTATCTCACACATTTTCCCAAAAAAGATATTAAAAGCCTTTAGGGTTTCCTAAAAAAGATGTCTATGCTGCTATCAACATATGTGTGTAGGTTTCTGTGTGAACACAGGTTTTCAGCTCCTTTGGGTAAATACTGAGGAGGACAATTGTTGGATCATATGGTAAAGATGCTTAGACAAGTATCTTTTCTAACATAAGCATTTAAAGGCTATGTATGTCTGCCTGCATTCCTATACATATGTGAGTGCATGTGTGCACACACACGTACACACACAAACTCACACCACACATGCTAAATGTTTTTATTCACATTTAGATATCCAGTTTTCCATATATTTATTTTCTAGTGGAATGAGGATGCATTTTTTCTATATCTGTATCTATATCTATATATTGGGTAAGACTTGTTAACTGTGTTGTTCAAAACTCCTACATACTTACATTTTTTTTCCCCTTGTTACACTATCAATTACTAAAAGAGGTACATTAAAATCTTCTACTGTAATTGTGGACTTATCCAGTAAACTTTAAATTCTACCAATTTTTCTTCAAAGCAATTTTATTAGATATATACATGTAAGATTTGTTATATATCCTTAGTTTTAAAAAATCACTATCACCTGACCTTATTTAACCTTAATTATACTTGTTTTTCTTACTGTGTTTGTGTGGGGGGGGTGGTGTTGTAAACATAGCCACTCACATTTTATTTTTGTTCCTGTTTTTGTTTTTCCTTTTTTGCGTTCATCCTTTACGTATATATGGTTTAGTTTCATCTAAACAGTCTATCGTTCGATTTAAATGCATAGAGATATACTGGGGAGATCTGTGTTTTAACCAGCTGGCCATCCCATTTACTTTTATCTTGTCTACTGTAATATTTGTTTTCATTTCTACCATCTAATGTTATGCTTTTGACTTCTTCCTCCTTGGATTGCATTTAGGTTTCTCCTGTTTTCTTTTTTTTTTTTTTTTTTTTTTTTTTTTGAGACGGAGTCTCGCTCTGTCGCCCAGGCTGGAGTGCAGTGGCGGGATCTCGGCTCACTGCAAGCTCCGCCTCCCGGGTTCACGCCATTCTCCTGCCTCAGCCTCCCAAGTAGCTGGGACTACAGGCGCCAGCCACCACGCCCGGCTAATTTTTTTGTGTTTTTTAGTAGAGACGGGGTTTCACCGTGTTAGCCGGGATGGTCTCGATCTCCTGACCTCGTGATCCGCCCGCCTCGGCCTCCCACAGTGCCGGGATTACAGGCGTGAGCCACCGCGCCGGCCTTCTCCTGTTTTCTTCATCCCTTCCCCATTCGACCCCTACTTGTTTGGAAGTTAAATATAGTATTCTTAATGTGTCTGGTCTGGTGGTTATTCTCACACTTTAACCTTGTATATTTCACTTAAAGCTGACGTCTCCATGGCCTTCCAGAGTCATATAAGTACACCTGAGGGTTTTACCTCCAAGCACTGTCCAAGTTACTATTTCATGCTATATTTTCCAGTATTTTAATTCCATCTTTTTTTTTTTTTTTTGAGATGGAGTCTTGCTCTGTCACTCAGGTTCCAGGTTGGAGTGCAGTGGTGCTATCTCAGCTCACTGCAACCTCTGCCTCCTGGGTTCAAGCGATCCTCCTGCCTCACCCTCCCAAGTAGCTGGGACTACAGGCACACGCCACCACGCCCGGCTAATTTTTGTATTTTTAGTAGAGATGGGGTTTCACCATGTTGGCCAGGCTGGTCTCGAACTCCTGACCTCAGGTGATCTACTTGCCTTGGCCTCCCAAAGTGCTGGGACTACAGGCATGAGCCCCTGCGCCCTGTCCCACTTTGTTTTTAATACTCTCAAATTCATCATTATTATTTTATATAACCAAATCTGTTTACATGTACCTGAATCTTTGCCAATTGCTTCGCTCACTGCTTCTCATGCCTAGTTCCTAAACGTCTTCTGGTAGTTTTTTAAAATAGTAGCACAGCCCCTGCACGGTAAACTCCTTTAGTATATGTTTTCCCGAGAATGTCTTGATTTTGCCCATCAGGTAAAGAATGGTTTAGCTCAGGATAAAACTCTAGGTTGACAATTATTTCCTTTCATACTTAAAAGACGTTATTTTCGTTTATTTTTCTGGCTTCTACTGTTGCCTTTAAAAGGTCTGCAGTCAGTCTAATTGCCATCTCTTTGTTAGCAAGCTATCTATTTTTCTCTCATCGCTTCTAGGATCTTTTTTTGGCTTTGGACATTCCTGCAGCTTTTTTGCACAATATGTCTTGGGCTCATTTCCTATCACATATCTTTCCTCAGACTTTTATCTCCTGAAGCTGAGGATGTATGTTTTTCATCAATATTATTACATCCTCAGCTGTTCTTTTGGGACATGGCTTCTGTTGAAAAAAATCATTGTATTTCAATGGAAAACGATGTGTCCCCTACAGCACATAGATCTCACTTAGCAAGTCTCGCCCTGTTCACTGTCTGAGCTGCTTTGCCACTGTGCGCGGACCGTAAGCAGCTGATAGATGCGGAAGTTCTCAGTCGCCCAGTAGTGATTTAATTGGTAGTGCCTTGACTTCCTGCCCCTTTAGATAAACAAGTTCTGTGTCCATTTAGAATTCATCTCGAAATTCCTTTACTCTATATAAATTTGTACTAGTTTGACTTTCCCATTGAACTGAGAACATCTGCTTTGTTTCCTCATGTGATATGAGTCAAATAGATTCTTCAACATGCTCATTTTTATATCTGTATGTGAGCCATAACTTTACCTGTTTTCTGAAAATAATCTTTTAATATTTCTCCCACATGCAATTTATTATTGCCTTCTACTATTCTAGCCAGTGTGTATGGGAGCACCTATCCCCGGCATGAGAGGAAGCAGCCCTCCTTGTCAGGCACAGCCTCTCCTGGGGGGTGCAGGCTTCCAGACCTGCTTTCTGCATGACCTTGGCCACAGTGTGCTCCAGCTGTCATATCTGAAAATAATCACAGCGCTTTCCTCAGAAGGTTGTTAATATATGTAAAGCATTTGAAACAGGACCTGGTGCACAGAAGCACTACAGAAGTGTTGGATATTATTGCACGACCGTAAATCATTCTTTCCTACTTTCCATCTATTTAGCTTTCTATGATTCACGCAGGAAACTGCCTCTGCTCCTTCAACTGTGTCTCATCTGACATTCTATGCCTCCACTGTCTTTAATTTTGATGGCTATATTATTTCTCATCTCTCTTAATTTTACTTGATTCTTTTCAAAGTTGCTTTTTAAAGGGTTTCTCTCATTTGTGTTTTTAATTCTTACTTGAGTGTAATTATTTTCAAATCATTTGTCAGTTTCTATTGTCTTAAGTGTTTAAGAGTCCAAACCTGCCTTTTGCTATGTTTGTGAATGCTTGCTCAAAGTGAGATGTTTCTGTATGTGTTTTAATTTGAAGTTCATTTTTAGCTGATTTTTAAAAATTGAGTTTCCATATTATTTCTTATAGTGTTTCATTCCTCATACAGTTTTCATCTGTAATGTTTTCTTAAAAAAATTAATGAAGGCTAAATGGCACAAGAGCTTAAAAATATAGATGCAGGCCAGGTGTGGTGGCTCACGCCTGAATCCCAGGAGTTTGGGAGGCCGAGGAGGGCGGATCACCTGAGGTCAGGAGTTCAAGACCAGCCTGGCTAACATGGTGAAACCCCATCTCTACTAAAAACACAAAAATTAGCCGGGAATGGTGGTGGGCACCTGTAATCCCAGCTACTCAGGAGGTTAAGGCACAAGAATTGTTTGAACTTGGGAAGTGAAGGTTGCAGTGAGCCGAGATCCCGCCACTGTACTCTAGCCTGGGAGACAGAGCCAGACTCAGTCTCAGAAAAAAAAAAAACACACAAAAAAACCCACATGTAGTCACAGGGGTGGGACAGGATGGATGTGGAGGGAGGAGGACGCAGGAGAGAAAGGGGCAGAGCCCTTGGCTGCCCTCTCACAGCATTGCCTGCACACCTGGCCTCACACCTGGACACTTATCAGAGCATGGAATATTTGTCAGGCTGCAGAAAACCCATGTCTCAAACCCCAATCACCATCTGCAGAGCATGTTCATGGCACATGAACCTTGCTGACTGGACATACTGGAATGAATCCCCAACCTGTGTTGCTACCGTGTCTATGGAGATCCTGTGGACCTGGCCGGAGGGGGACTTCTCTCCAGGTGCCCTGCACTCCATTCTGCCAGGTGCCCAGAGCCTCACAGATCAGACCACTTTGCATGCCACTACAATTGGTGCTGGAATTTCCTGGGTTCTGCTGGACATATCAAACCAGCACCAGGAGGCACCCCTTCCCTCATCTGTTGTGAATTCCCATGGAAGACTCTGAGCCCTGACTGAGCACAGCCTAAAACAGTCATGCTTCTTTTTCATCGTCTTGCACTGGATGGTAGATTTTATTTTTTTCAATTCCAACTTCTCAGGGAGAATGCAGCATTTTGAAGGTCCTGGCCTTCTCAGTTCCAACCCACCTCGTACAGGGCAAGAGGGCAGAAGCACGAGTTTTACTCCCGCCTTCTTGGGTAATGACTTTTGCGACCCAGGATGGTTGACTGAACTCCCAGGGCCTCGTGTGGGAGAGAGCTGGGCTCCACGGGCCCCACCCTCCTGCCTGCTTATAGCTTGTAGCCTGGGCATTCCTTCTAACAGTTTTACGTAGCCTAGATAAATGGACGTGAAGGAGCTCATGAAATTTTTTAAAAAGTATGTCCATTTCTAAACTATGTGACCTGTTATGCCTTTTCTGGCTCCAGATGTATGAAACAAAAGAAAAAGGAAGCTAATTATCCCCAGCAGTGGAAGGAGAAGATGTTCTGACACTGGGATTACTATGCACACAAGGACTATTCATCATGGGTGGAAATTCATCCCTATGAGGAAAGGGTCACTTGGAGACACAAAGGTGAAGGGAACAACATTGCACCCTGCCAGCTCGTCCCCCAGTGACAATGCTGACTGGGCAAACAGCCAGCCTTGAGAGCCTCCTACACAATCGGATGCCCAAAGTCCACACCAGAGGTTCATTGAAAAATGATCAGGCTGATTTTTTAAAGAGCTTTTCCTTCAGATTGAGTGAAGAAATTGACCAACCTTAATCTGAATAAATATAAAGTCTAAATAAACTAAGCATATGCTTTCAGAAAAATGCCACTTGCTATGACAGCATAAATACAAGAAAAACGATAAGGAGGTAATACAGCTAAAAACGATAAGCAAGAGCTGACCAGGGTTAAATCAGGTCACAGGGGTAGGGCCCTATTCTGATAGGACTGGTGGCCTTATAGGAAGAGGGAAGCCAGCACGTGCCCCTCTCTCTCCCTCTCCCACTCCCTCTCTCTTTCTCTCTGCCATGTAAGGACACAATGAGAAGGAAGCCATAAACCAGAGAGAGTTCTCTTCAGGGAACCAAATCCAGACCCTTGATCTTGAACTTCTCAGCTCCCAGAATTGTGTGAAAATAAATTTCTATTATTTAAAGCCTCCCAGTCTATGGTATTTTGTTATGACAGGCTGACCTGAGTAATCATTATTACTCTTGCTAAATATGACTAAGAAGTCTTCACATAATCCATAAATAAACATAAGAAGGCTGTCAACAGTTCAGAGAAGAAGGCAGAAGGGATCACACCTTTGTGACAGGCAGAACGGCATGGTGCTGACATCCCTAGGTTTACTATTTATCTTACCTATTCCAAACTGGGTTCTGGAGAAGAATGCACCAAAAAAACCCCAACAGGTACAGACCAAAGAAGTCCTGAGGAAAGCTTGCCCTCTCTCGCCAAATGGTCAGGAGAGAAGCAGCCTGACAGCTGGACCGTGTCTAGCCAAGAGCGCTGCCCCAGGGAAACACCAAAGGAAAAAGCTGGACTCCACCAGCAGCCTCATCAGCAAAGGCCCAGGGAGCACTCTAGATTCAAACATCCCCAGGCAAAAGGGAGACACTCCTCCCCATACTTGCAAGAGGTGATGTCAGAGAAGGCCAAGCAGTGACCTCATCTTGACCCAGCCGCCTCCTGCTGTTTCAGTGGAGAACACTTGGGGAGCCTGGACTTCCACTCCCACCTAGCAGTACCAAGGTCCCCATCCCTCCCAGGTGTCAACAGAGGCTGAGTGGGGGGCCTGAACCACACGACAGCAGGGGTGGTGTCCTCCCTCCTCTGCTAGCACAGTGTCAGAGGAGGTCTAGTGAAAAGGAACACTGAAATAAGACTTGGAGTCTCAAACAATAATACCCAAAATGTCCAGGATATAATTTTAAAAATCACTTGTAATACCAAAATCAAGAAAAAAACCTCAACTTTAATGAGAAGAGAAAATTAGCAGATGCCAAAACAGATAATTCAGAAAGTTGGAATTCTCTGGATTTTAAAACCTCAATCATAATAATGCTTTGGTAGGCAATTAAGAACATGTTTGAAACCAGTGAAAAAATAGAAAGTCTCAACAAATAAATAGAAGATATAAAGAAAAACTAAATGAAAATTTAGAACTGAAAAATACAGTAACTGGGATTACCAACATGTAGGCTGGGCTCAATAGTAGAGTGGAGATAGCAAAGGAAAGAATCTGACTTGAAGACAGAATAGAAATTATGCAATCGGAGCAACAAAGGTAAAATAGACCAAAAAAAAGAAAAAAAATCGACACAGCCTGCAGGGGTGTGAAGCCATAACAAAATCTGATATTTGTGTCATGAGAGTCTCAGAAAAAGAAGAGAAAGAAAATGAGAATGAAAAATGTTTGAAGAAATTATTAAAAATTTTCCAAATTTAGCAAAAGATATACATCTACAGATTCAAGAAGCTGAGTAAAACCCAAACCAGATAAATACAAAAAAATTAATGCCAAGAATCATCATAATCAAACATCTAAAAATTAAACACAAAGAGAAAATCTTGAAAGCAGCCAGAGAAAAATGATCCGTAAGGGGGAAAAACAAAACTAAACAACAACAACAAATTTAAATGACAGCAGAATTTTCAACAGTAACCACGGAGACCAGCAGGAGGTGGTATGACAGTTTCCGAATGCTGAAATAACTTACTGTACACTCAAAATTCTAAATCCAGTTAAAATATCTTTCAGGAATAATGAAGAAATGTCAAGACATTTTCAGATGAAGAAAAAACTAAGAGAAATAGTGACCAGCAGAATCACCCAAGAAGTATGGCTCAAGGAAGTTCTTGAAAGAGAGAAAAAAACAATAAAAGAAGGAAGAGAAAATTTATCTACTTTACTTGAACCAGTAAGATGTTTATATCAGTAGTCAGTAACGTAATAAGTTACATACATAAAATGTAATATCAAGAGCAACCATGAAATAGGTGTACAAAGAGACATACTCAAAAACACTATAAATAAAAAAGATTCTAAAAATTCTAAAAAAGAAATTCTAAAAAAAAGTTAAGTACATCATAGGCAGGAAAGAAAAAACGAAGAATATATATATATAATATATATATATCACAGACACACATACCCTGCAAACATTACTCAAAAAACACAAGAGTAACTATATTATTATCAGATAAAGCAGATCTTAGAGAAAAGAAAATTATGAAAGATAGATATAAATTTACATAATGATAAAAGCTCAGTCTACCAAGAAGATGCAGCAATCATAAATCCTTTCTCAAACAAGAAAGCTTCAAAATACATGACCCCAGAACTGATGGAAATTTTCAAAAGATATAGACAAGTTCACAACTATATTTGGAGGTTTCAACACTCCTCTCTCAATAATTCATGACAGGGCAACTAGACAGAAAATCAGCAAGGATATAAAAGAACTTACACCATCAAACAACAGGACTTAATTGGCATTTAGGAAACTGTCTACCAACAAGTACTCATGGAGCATATACCAAGATAGACCATATCCTGAGCCTAAGAAAAACCTCAATACATTTAAAAGAAGTGAAACCACACAAAGTGTGATATTTGCCCACAATGGAATCAAACTAGACATGAATAGCATTAAGATGACAAGAAAATCTCCAAACACTTGGAAACTGAATGCCAAATTGCTAAATAATCCATGAGTCAAAGAGAAAGTCTCAAGGAAATGGAAAAAAATACACTGAACTGAATAAAAATGCAATGTATCAATATGTATGACATGCTGGTAGTGCTAAGAATAAATTTATAGTACTGCTTATTTTAAGAAAGAGAAAAAGATTCAAGTCTATATCTATGCTCACTCGGTAAGAAACTAGAAAAGAGAAGACAAGCCCCACAAGTAGAAGGAAGTAAATAATAAATATAAAAGTATAAAATCACTGACACGGAGAAGAGAAAAAAAAGAAAAAAAAATCAATGAAATGAAAATCTTCTTTGAAAATATCAATAAAATTGACAAACTAATACCACGAATGTATTCTATGTGTCACTACACAGACATTGTAGACATCAAAAGAATGATGAGGAAAGCTATGAACAACTCTTTACATAGAAATTAACACATACATTTAGCAACTTAAATGAAATGCACCAATTCCTTGAAAAGTACAAACTACCACAACTCAACCAATAGGCTATAAATAAGCTGAAGATCCCTAAAACAATTAAACACATTGAGTTCATAATTTTAAATGTTTTTTAAAAAGGTATCTCCACATCCTGAATGGCTTCGCTGGGGAATTTTAACAAACATTTAAGGAAGAATTAATATCAATTCTATAACTGTCTCCCAGTAAATAAAAAAGGATAAAACACAGAGGCTTTTATTAACCTCATAACCAAAACTAGACAAAGACAGTAGAAAAAATTTATAAAATGCAAAACAAAAACTACAGACCACATTCTCTCATAAATATACATAAACCACCCTTAATAAAATATTGGCAATACAACTTAGCAGTATATATAAGGAATTACACACATGACCAAGTAGAGTTTGTTCCATGAGTGTAAAGCTAGTTCAATAATTGAAAACTGATCAATGTAATCTACCATATTAAGATGCCAAGGAAGAAAAATCACCTGATTATATCAATTGATGCAGAAAAAGCAAGTAATAACACTCAACACTCATCCATATTAAAAAGTCTCAGAAAACTGGAATAGAGGGAAACTTCCTCATCCTGATAAAAGCAATTCCACAAAAAACCTACAGCTAGCATCATACTTAATAGTGAAAGACTGGATGCTTTCGCCATAAGATCAGAAACAAGATAAAGTTGTTCACTTTTAACATTCTAATTCAGCATAATACTAGAAATCCTAGCCAGGAAAGTAAAGGAAGTAAGAGGCCTAGAAATCAGAAAGAAATTTAAAAAGTTACTATTTTCAGGTGACATGATGGTCTATGTGGAAAATCCAAAGGAATCTCAAAACAAAAACAATTAAAAAAAAAACTGCTAAACCTAATGAGTAAGTTCAGCAAGGTCAGAAATACAAGATCAACATAAAATAATTGCTATACTAACAGTAAACATGTGGTTACTGAAAATGCAGTATCATTTACAACTGGTCAAAAATGAAACAAATATAAATTTAACAAAACAAGCATAAATCTCACATGTTGAAAACTACAAAATACTGATGGAAAAATCATAGAAGATTGAAATAAGAGGGACATACCATGATCATGGATTGGAAGATTCAACATAATTGTCCCTACGAGAACCTGTAGGCTTAACACAATTCCCATTAAAAACCCAGCAAGAGTTTTGTACATATGGATACACAAAGTCAGTCTGAAATTTATATAAACAAAGAAACTAAAATAGCTAAAACAATTTTGAAAAGGAACAATAAAATGGGAAGAAACACTCTACTCAATGTTAAGCATTACTATACGATGAAAGCAAAAGACTATAATAGAGGAAGAGATATCTAGATTAATAAAACAGAATTGAGAACCCAATAGTAGACCCACACAAATATACCCAACTGATTTTTTCAAAGCAATTCAGAAGAGGAATATAGTCTTCTCAATGAGTGGACCTGGAATAACTGAAAATCCACAGGCAAAAGGATAAACTTTGATGTAAATCTCAGATATCATACCAAAAATTGACATCAACTTAAAGAACAGACTTAAATGTAAGACTTAAAAATGTGAAACTTTTAGAACAAAACATAGGAGGAAATCTTCAGCACTCTAGGCTATGAGTTCCAAGACTTGACATCAAAAACACAATCCATCAAAGTAAAATTTGATAAAAAACTTCACTGTAATTTTTAAAAAGAACATGTTTACTCTGTGAAAGACCCTGTAAAGAAGATGAAGAGATAAACTACAGAAAGACAAACTATATTTTCAAAACACATATCTGACAAAAGGCATATCTAGCATAAAGAACTCTTAAATCTCAAGAGTAAAAATAAAACAAACAAAACCCCACACAATCTAACTAGAAAACGGGCAAACAGACATGAACATATATTTCAATGAAGAGGATATACAAGTGACGAACCACCACATAGTAAGATGTTCAACAGCATTAGCCACCAGGAGAATGTAAATTAAAAACACAATGGGTTATCACTACACACCTACTAGCGTGGCTAAAATAAAAAAAATAGTGATAACACCAAATTCTGGGGAGGATGCGGAATTACTTGATCACTTAGGTGGGAACGGCCACTCTGGAAAAGAGTATGGCAGTTTCTTATAAAATGAAGCATCTGCTTATTATACAACCTAACAATTGCGTGCTTATGTAATTTATACCAGACGAATGGAAACATCTTCAAAAACAAACAAACATGGACATGGATGTTATAGAAGCTATGATTGCAATAGCGAAAAACTGAAAACATCTCAAATATCTGTTAATGGATTAATAGTTACACAAATTGTGGCACATCCATACCACAGACCACTACTCAGCCACCCTCAAAAGGTTACAAACTATATTAGTCTACACATAAAATATTCTTGAAATGCCACAATGACAGAGATGGATTAGTGTTTGCCAGTAGTTAGGGACAAGCGGGATGTGGCTATAAGGGTATAGTGCAAGAGATCTTTACAGTCGTGGAACAGTTCTTTATCTTAATTTGTTGGTGGCTACATGAATCAATACATGTGATGAATTTGCTTAGAATTATATATACTACACAAAAATGCATGAATGTAAAACTGGTGAAATCTGAATAAACTTTGTGGAATATACCAATGTTAATTTCTTGGCTTTGATATTACACTAGAGTTATTTAAGGTGTTACTGCTGGGGAATATTAGGAGGAATATGAAAATGTACCTCCCTATAATTTTTTTTCCATTTCTTATGACCTATAATTATTAATCTGTTAGAAACATACTAAATCCAACAATGGTGAACTAGAAAGTATCATCTCTATGAATTATGTCACTATTAAAATGATGATGAGAAAAACCCATGGAAAACAGGATGAGTGAAAAATGCAGTCCGTCTAACCACATAAAATATATTAAGTAGATGGACTGAAGGAAGATATATAAAATGAAATTTAGCAGTTTAGGGAACGAGGAACAGAAATTAACCAATTTGACTGTGTCGTGGCTACCCATCTTGTTCTTTTGAAATACGAAGGCTTCTTTCTTTGCCTTGCCCTCAACCTGAAGTCAGCTTTCATAATAAATGAGGCAGAGTTCAACAAAGCCAAGATAAAGAGATTGTGTCAATGTAGACTTAAAAGTCAGAAATAAATGCAAACTACAAACTCAGATGCTACCTACCACAGGTCTTTATGAAGCCATGAACCCACTGGTAGGGACAAAACATTTAACTAGCTCATAGTCATAACCTTTAGAGGCACCATCTGGAAGTCAATAAAGTAGAATCCATACTACCTTCTGCTTACTAAGAACATCAAAGGAGCTATGTTACAGGCACAACATATTTTGCCTATTAACTACAAAATGCATAAGTAATTCTGTAGTGATTCACTAAAGTTCTCTAGCATTAATGCATCCCTGGGAAAATGAGAAGCACAAACTAGGTATCAGGGAGAAGCATTCATTTGTCAAAATGAAGTTCTGGATCATTTTTTTTTTTGCTATCAGCTACCAATGGTGAGAGCACTATTCATCATTCAGTTGGTTTTCTCTGGACAGCAGGAGGGAGACAAGCATGTAATTGAAGGAAGTGTATGGGCTGAAATTCATGACTTCCAGCCACCAAATACCTCCTAGTTTCCATCTAATTAAAGGAATGCAAGCTGGCATTCACGCCCAGCAGGACAGAGTCTTTCACAAGTGATCCAGGGGGACCATGTATGACCGATTCCTGAGCTGTACTCCACACCTGCTGTATCAGACCCTGAGGAGGTAAAGATGCAGTTTCCATTGTTAACAATCACTCGGCAGCTTCTTAGCCAGAGCAGATATTGGAACATCGAATCAGAAGAGCAAACCAGGCAAGCAGGATCTAGATCCTGCACATGGAGCCCAAAGCACTATCTAAGAACTCCCTGAGCAGCCTGAGAGTTTTTAAAGCTCTTTCCGATTGTCCCCTCTTGACCCCAGGAAGACTGCAGCGGAGCGTCTCTAGAGTCTACTAGGCAGCCCGGGCACAGCAGTTCTAAGTCCTTGACTCTGGGACCCCAGGCAGTAACCCTGCTGCTACTCCAGGCTTCCAACACATGGCCCAGCTGCAGGGGAAGGAGAGCTGGCAGACCCCACATGCTGCTTCCTGACTCTTTTACTCTTTCAGGTGCTTTGGTGAATTTTTATCGTTTTCCTCAGAAGGGTTTGGTGCATGGGCACCAGGTTGATTCTTTGGTATTTTATGGTTATCATCATGAGTGTAAATGAGGTCTGTTCTTTCCATTTCACTTCACTGTTCTTCACTCACACCTAGCTCAGCTATTGTCTTCTTTCTTAAATCTTTTATTAGTTCAAAGTTTGTCAGCTGCGTCTGCCTTTAGGTGACTAATCAACTGGAAGTAATGATAGTGTTTTTTCTTTCTCGTAATATTTAGATATCTTTCTTTAACTTGCTGTCATAGGGCTCCGGCTAGGGCATCCACCCGGCAGTTGAAAGCAGTGATAGCTGTTGTCTTAGTCAGTTCTGGCATTTATCTTCCACAGTTCTGGAGCCTGTAAGTCCAAGATCAAAGCACCCACGGATCTGATGTCTGGGGAGGGCAACTGTCCTGGTTTGCAGATACACATCTCCTCCTTGTGTCCTCAGATGGCCAAATAAGCAGAGACAGGAAGAAAGCCCTTGTGTCTCTTCTTATAAGGACACTAATCCCATTCATGAAACTCCACCTTTATGACCCAATCCCCTCCTAGAGGCCCCACCTTCTAATTCCATCACCTTGGGGGTTAGGATTTCAACATACTAATTCTCGAGGGGACACAATCATTCAGTCCTAACATTTCTCATCTTTGCCTTATCTCTGACTTTGAGGTGGATTCACCTGACTTTTCAACAGTCAGCTTTGTTTGCCAGTTTTCTTCTGAGTAATATTTATCTGCTTATGAATTTTCTTCCAGTCTTAGTTTATTTTTTGTGAATATTACTACTTTTGGGAAATATTTGTTAGATACAAATCTTTCTATATATCTTCTGGGTTAGTTTTAACCACTGTTTTATTTCATTCCATGTAAGCATACTTACCCTTTCTTGAGATCCTGGTTTTTGTTAATTTCTCCTTTGACTTTCATCAGCATTGACTGTATTTTTTGCAGTCACACTGCAACATAATTATTCATGAGCACTTTGTTTTCTCAATAAATTTTCCTTTAATCAATATAAAATATTCATTTTGTCCCTTTTTACGTATTTTGTCTTTCATCTATATTTGTGAAATAAGAACAATGCTAAATCTGTTTCTTCTTATGGCATTTGGCAGACATGGTTTTTCGATCCTTTTCATTTCAACCTTTTGGATTATTTGATTAAAATCTACCTTCTGTATATACAATATAGTTGGATTTTGATTTTTTGAAACCCATCTAGGAGTCTGTTTTGGTTTGAGAACTGTTATGGGATTTAAATCCATTTGAATTTTTGTGATTAGTGATTGTTTTAACTCGTTTCTGCTAGTAGGTTTGTTTTCTGGTTTTTTGTAGGCTGTTTTTTTTTTTTTTTTTTGGCCAGATTTTCTCATGTTAGAGAAGAAATGCTCTTCCTCTACCCTTATAGATTCTTTTGGCGGGGGGGAGCTTAGGAATTAAACTGACAAAAGACAGATGAGCAAGAGAAAACTGACTTTTATGCCTACATGGGCACAGGGGCACAAAGAAAAATGCAACTCTTCAAACAGCTAAAGGTGAGATTATATACTGCACAGCGGAGAGAGAGGGGAGAGGAAGGGCTTCTATGAAAAGAACAAATCGGTTTCTAGGGGAGCAAATGGGAGATAAGAAGGTCTGTGGGAAAGTTTTGTTTATGCAGGTGCAACTGGTCTTTTCCATCTTCTTTCCAGCCAGTAAAGACTCCCCTAGAAAGGAGATTTATGCCAGGCTCGCTCCCAGAAGTTTTTGCTGTAGTCTGATAAGTAAGCTCTGAAAAAGCTTCTTTCCCTATCTGTTTAATCTCAAATGTCTTCAGTTTAAAATAATGTTCATACCCATGCCAGGGATCCATGAGAGACCTCATACTTACACTGTTTCTCAGTTTTCTGTTCTTGCATTAGAGGTATCGACTTCAGGTTTTGGTCCCTTATTTTATCTCTAGTGGTCTGGAAGTTATGACACTATTTCTGTTACTCTGATAGCTATTCAAATATTTAACATACATATTTACTTGTACTTTTTTTCATTTTGTGCATTTAACGAGGTTTATCTTTATCATGCATGAACCAAAGAAGGCCGACACCAAACGTCTGCTGTTACTTCTTCTACTTCTTAGTCCCCTGCCAACAAAAACCATTTAACAACATCATCAAATAATTAGACTGAACTATGCCTTTTAGTGATTCCATCACTCACGAGTGCTGATTATATTCCAGGTTTGCCTCTTTCTTGGTTTCTTCTCATTTTGCTGGAATACAATTCTGAGTAATTCTTTCAGACTTGAGTCTTTACATATTTAAAACTGCTTTCATTTTTGCCCAGAAAGTTCAGTTCAACAAAATATTTTATTTTAAAAATAATTGCCCTTCAATATTTGAAAGTAGTCCTCTACTAGGCTACTGTTTCTTGCTATTGTGATTTTTTTTTTTTTTTTGCTTTGAGAGCTTATAAGGGTTTTGCCTTTATCATGAGTGTTTTAAAATCGCAGCAAGATATTCAAGACATATGTCTCTTTTTATTCACCCTGCTTAGCTCTCAGTATGGTATTGGCACATGCATAAATGAATATAACCATCCCACTTCAATGCCATGGGGAGAAAGATGTATTGCTCAATAAGTGCTGTTAGAATTATTTTCTATCCCTTAAAGAAAAGTAAAGTTAGACCCTTACCTCATAGCATACACAAACATTTTAGGGAAAAAAAACCATACACAATAAAAAACAAACTATTTAGTAGAATAAATGGATAGTCTCCTGGTCTGGGACCCCAAAGCCATAAAGGATCCATAAAGGAAACAACACAAAAATGTGATTAGCTAAGGATGTAAAATTTATATTAAAAAAAGACCACAAATAATGTGAAAAGATGACTAGAGTAATTTCAAATGCATAATCCTTCAAGATAGATTGGTATGGGTAGTGGAGGAGAAAGGAGAATCATTTCTAGACTAATTTGCTTCTCGGGATAGGACCCATACCCTACATCCCTGCCCCACACAATCAGAACTTACTTATTTTTAATCTAAGGGTGCTAGAAGATGGCTCTCTTGATCCAGACAGCCTGAGTTCCAAGGTTCTGCCCAGGTTCTGGCCTCCAGCAACTCCCTCCTGGAACAGGGTAGTGGCCCCACTAGTCCCTCACCCACTGCGATGTGCTGCTTGCCATGTGCTACTTGTCACACTAACTTGGGGGGATTACAAAATGTGAATAGAACTTGGTTGCTCCCAAGGAGCTCACTGGACAGTGGGGAAAAACAAGAGTATCAAACTCACATCCGCAGCATCGTGTGATGTTTACAAAGAGTCCTCCAAGGTACACAGCAGCCCAGAGTAGGCGACTGTGGCCAGGCGTCAGGGACAGATTTCCAGAGAAGTCCAGTTGGACTGGTGGCAATTCCTTAGATTATAGCTAGTCCCTGACCTGATTATTCTGTTCTTTTCCCTCTCCCTTTCATTCCAAGCATATGCATTGAGGATCCTGCCACATTTAGTCCCTTCCAAGGTGATCTCTCCCCCTCCCCGCTAAGGGCCCTGTGCCATATGACCTAACTTACATATCTTTCCATGAAATGCCCCATCTTAAAAGTGAAAAAAGGCACCATTAACAGCAGTGCCAGGACCTCAGGCACAAACCCGGGCTGTCCCAGACAGACCAAGACGTATGGCCACCCTGCCGTGAACAGTTGCCCACACCCTCCCACTGGATGAGGCTCTCTCTCTTCCAGATCTTTCTAAGATGTTATGTCCCTGACATACGTCATCTTCTGCTCTGCAAGATGCACTTTGTGCCCTTGTCTTACAGCCACAAAGAGCCTGTCAAGGACTGGGAAAGGCACGAGGATGTGGAGTCAAGGCCTCAGAACTGCGTCAACAAGCCATTTAATTTCAGGAACCATTTCCTCAATTGTGAAGCAGAGTAATTTTAGATGACTTCACTGAAGGACACAAAAATACGTCAGATGAGACCACCCACGGTAAACTGATTTGCTACTGATTACACATGCCTCGAGGGCAGTGAATGTGCGTCTTCCTAGAAGCACAGTGTCTTACACAGAGTAGGTCCCCAGAAAATACCACCCGGCCGACTGACAGCATCAGCTCCACCGACCATGTGGCCCTGGCCCACAAGGAAAGCTCTGTTTCTCCAGGTTTTGATACAAGCAATGGGGCACATCCAGCTCGGGCCCCACACCCTGCACTGCTGAGGTCTTAGCATGCTGGGGAGGCCCAGCTGCCTTCTGATGCCTCACACACAACTTCCTAAGTCTCCTCCTGTGCAGACAGCTGAAGAGCGCATCTCTAGTGGGCAGTGGACACGCGCAGGGACCCCACAGCAGGCTCGGGAAGGGGCGGGGTGGCGGCGGACCCTGGCCCTCACCTGGCTGCCCGCACTGCTCCCTCAGGCAGCTCATGATGAAGACTGAACCGCCCATTGAGTTCCTGTCTCATGTATTTATCACACAGCCCTTACAACCGTGCTGGCTCTGTGTTCCACATCACAAAGATCAATAAGCTCATCTCCAAAAGCCGTGCTCTTGGGCACGATTAGCTTCAGGGCCCTTGGGGGTGCAGGGGGTTGGGGAGCTGCTCCGTGGACTGGCCCGTTGCCACATGCCAGAAGACAGCCTCACCCAGGCCACCTCAATGCAACACCATCCCCACAAAATTCTATTCACCGCAGCACCTGTCCTCTGCTTGAAATTCTGCTCAAACTCTTGCACAGACAGCAGTTGGGTTCTGTCATTCCACGCTCTGCTGTGGCACTGCCCTGTGGCCCACACTGGCTGGCAGGGGATTTGGTCAAAGAAAAGAAAATGTCAGATGCTGAGTGAAATCAGTCAAGAGGCGACAGTAAACCCCACAGCAGCTTCAGAAAAAGAAAAGAAAAGAAAAGAAAAGAAAACCCCACAGCAGCTTCAGAGAAAACAAACTCACTCTTTTTAGGAAGTGGAAGGCTGAGCCTGGCAGAGCAGCCCAGAGCAGGTGCGAAAGTGGAGCCAGCTCAGAGGGAGGGAAAGGGGATCTCTCTGCTTTTTAACTTTAGAAAATAAAGCACAAGAGACCGAGCTCTTTCCTGATGTGTCGAGAGACTGGCCAGTAATGAGTCAGACTATGGAGTCAGGCAGACCCAGCTGAGTGACCTCGGGCAAGTGGCTGAACCTCTCTGAGCACCAGCTTCCCGCCCTGAGATTTGTGGACACTCAAACAGACTTCATAAAGTCCAGAAAGAAGGCATAAAGCCACAATTTCCTGGCTATCATCTGCTGGCACTGGGCGAGTGCCCAGTAAAGGGGGCTTGGCTCCAGGGTGCTGAAGACCAGGAGCTGCGGGCAAGTAGGCTGAACGCAGTGCATGGGACCTTCAGTAAGCACCGGATGAGGCAGACAGCATTAACAGTCAGCCAGCGACAGTCCACTCACTCTGGTGCAGACAGGTGGGCTCCGAGTTAGCCCGAGGCAAACAGCTGGGCCATCAGAGGCTGATTAAGGACACACACGCACTTGCCCTTCCTCCCTTCCTCTTGCTGAGATGTCAGAAGAAACAACAAAAGCAAAACCTGCCCACTGCCACAGGCTGGGAGGAGTGTACAAGCAGAAAAGAACAGATAATAACTTCTGGACAAAATCACCTGATGGGAATCAATTGCTAACAAGTCAAGAGGAGAATATGAATAAATATTTTTTTTTAAAATGTTCAAAGCAAAAAGGAACTGAAACAAAAATTCTGTCAAAGGTATCAGGGCCTCTCCTGTCTCACAGTCAAAGCCAAGGCCTCCACGACTTGGTCCCCAGCTCCTCCCATCATGTCTCTGACCCTCTCTCTGAACCCTGGCTTCCCCATCCACCAATTCTCTCCAGCCACAGCAGCTGAATTTGCTCCTAGGACAGACCTGGATAGCATGTTCCCGCCTCAGGGCAATTGATGGATTTTTTAAAAGATAAAATCATGACACTTGCACAAATATAAAGTGATCGTGTGTCAAAGACTACTTAAGTCATTAATGAAGGAAGGAACCAGGAAAATGTTAAAACCAATTCTGCAGAGCATCCTAAAAGCAGACACATACAAAGACAACCAGGCACACTGATCTGAATCTGTCAACAGGGGAATTGGTCCACCAGCAAAACACATTTGCTTCTCCGTGGACTAGAATCATTGGTTTTGCCATCAGTTTTCTAGAAGTTAGAGTTGAAAACTAGTTTGAAGACCATGACAGGCACAGTCCACTACAGACTCAGATGACCAGGAAGGTGCCTGTGACCATGCCTAGTATTCTGTAGGAACCGAGGTGTCTTTTTTTCTCTTCCCTCACTATTTTTTTTTTTTTTTTGCATTTCGAAGTCTTTCACAAGCCTTCTTGACAGGGCCCCTGCACTGGCTGTTCCTTCTGTCAGGAACACTCTCTCCACTTGATATCACAGGGCCTGTTCCTTTGCAGCCCTCTAGTCTGTCTCCTGGTCTCTCCCTGACCTCTGGCTCAGCCCTCACTATTCCCTTTCCTGCTTCATTTTTCTGGGATCACCTACAATCTGGCCCATGCCTCCCTCCTCTCTTCCCCATCTCTGTTTCTCTGGTGGGTTTGGGTCTGGCTGGATCACTGCTGAATCCTTAGTTCCCAGAACAGTGTGTGATTATGCTGAGGGAGCCTTCACTAAATATTGGTTGAGTGAATGAACAAATTAAAAACAAACAGCAAGAGCGACCATGATGAGACCTGGGAGAGTGAGATGGACAGTTCGGAGGATGACTTTGAAGATGCAAACATAGGTTGGCTGGCTCCACTCACTGCTTTAAAACAAGCTGCTGCTCCCCCTCTTCCCACAACACATGATTTAGAAACAGCCTCCCTCCAGCTCAGGTGTGAATATCTGATTAATACAGAAGCTGTAACAGCACATCCTCAAAACTCCTTCTCTGAGATCTCCAGCAGCAAAATTACCTCTGCTCACCTGGAACTACTACTGTCTTAGTTTGTTTTCTGTTGCTTATAACAGGATGCCTGAAACTGGGTAATTTATAAAGAAAAGAATTCATTTCTTACAGTATGGATGCTGGGAGTCCGAGGTCAAGGAGCTGCATCTGGTGAGGGCTTCTTGCTGGTGGGGACTCTCTGTAGTGCCAAGGTGGTACCAGGCATCGCATGGGGAGGGGCCTGAAGGTGCTGGCTCAGGCCTCTCTTCCTCTTCTTATCAAGTTATCAGTCCCATTCCCATGATATCCTATTGATCCATTAATCCATGAATAGATTAAAGCATTCATGAGGGCAGAGCCCTCATGACCCAGTTGGCCTTCAAAGGTCCCACCTCTCAATACTGTCATATTAGGGGTTAAATTTTAACACAAATTCTGGAGAAGACAGATATTCAAATATTTGTAAAGGACAAATATTCAAACTATAGCAACCACATCACCTTCCAGTGATGCCCTTGGGCCCTCCAAGAGCCTGGCCATGACTGCATTATGAGCCTTTGAGCACCAGCAGGCCAATCTCGGTTAGGCTGAGGGATACCACAATTTCAGGAGCTATTAACCATGACAACACTACATCTCACAGATTCACTCCCTAAGATGCCATTCCATGTGTGCACTGCCATGACTCCATAATAGATACATCGCAGCCCACGTAGAATAGGCACCCCTTGCTGGGATGCAGGCTTGGGCTCTTCTTTAGTCCAGTGAAATTTGCCACCTGCCTGCCTCCTCTGCTCTGGCTGAGAACACCCTCACCCCTAGGACCCTCAAGTCCTAGGACTCTCTCCCTTCCACCCATATTGTTGCTATGCTCCCTACCAGAAGCTGAGATTGGATCTACAATCAAAGCAGGGTGAAAGCAACTAGAACTTGAGTGGATGGCTCATCTGCGCTGTAGCAGACCATGTCGACAATCATCCTCCTGTGCCCAAGGCCCTGACAGCTGCCTACTGCAAGCATCTGCAGCTCTGCACTTGATCCACACATGGGGCAGGCAAGCCAGAGGTGCCAGGGAGCTGACACCCCTGGAAGCAGCTCTCAGCCTATGATGGAAGGCAGCTGGCAGATAAGCATCCCAGTTTCCTCAGAACAAGGCTGAGATGTGCTATACACAGTCTCCCAGAGCTCCCCAGTAGGAATGGGCTCTGTTTGCCCGCAGTATGATTTGCTTTTCAATGCTCACTCCAACGGCTTGCCTGCCCTCCCTATCTCACTCCCCCTCCCCTCATCCTGCTTCCCAGGATCCCTTCCCAAATAAGCTACATGCTCAGGAATCCTTGTCCTGGGTTGGCTCCCCCAGGTTCCCTAAGACGCTTGGCAACAATGATGAGCACAATTATGAGTGCTTACAGGCTTGGCCACACTGCTCTCAAGTGTGTCCTGCATAGAGGTCCCCTCTCCAGCCTCTGCTATCAGCCACAGGGTCAGGAAAATGAGTGAAAGACACAACCCTGCAGATGACAAATGCAGCTTTGCACACTCAATGAAAATGGATGGCTGAAACCCCATGCTGTTCTAAACTTTCAGAGCCAACAAAAACATCTTTAAATATCTTCATCAAAAAAGATTTCCATTATTGCAATAGAATTTTCTGACCGAGCAACTCAGAAACAGAGAAGCCCAGAGAGGGTGAGGCAGTTGCCTGTCTCTGCACGGTGTAGGGGCATCCGCAGAGTTGCGGGATTCAGACTGTCCTTCTGCAAGCGGACTGCTGATCCCAGCAAGGCCTTTAATTCCATCCAAAGGGGAAAATCACGGCAAGCCATCCATAATTGCTACCCACTTTAGGCAAGATGGTGTTCAGAAAACTCCTTGAGCCGCAGGCTTAAAGTAAAGCAAAATAAAGCAACAAAGAAATGACTGGGATCAGCACCAGACAGAGACGCTTTTATTCGTGCCCATCCTCTCCTCAGAGCGACCTGGCCAGCTGGCTGGCAGCAGCATGACTTGTTACCCACCCATCAAGGAAATACAGCAGCCCATTCCACAAATGATGCAGAGATGGCTGTTTTGCAGTGACCCAGCCACTTTAAAGCATGGAAAATGCATTATATCTCAAAAAGCAATAGTGACTCACGTGGGGACTCCAATATCAAACGAGAATAGAGTGAGAAATAGGACAGACATGTTTGGGAGGCTTCAGCTGAGCTACATCAACACTGCTTTCAAAACTGGGGCTTACACAGGATGCATTTAACCCCCTCCTTTAGGAAAAGCCCCTCGACTCCATTCAGACCATAATGAACTAACAGATGAGTCTACTAAGCAGAACATATTATTTTCCACGCCTAGAAGCTGGCAGAAAGCATTAAATTCGGTATCTCTCAAAATCCCCAATAACAGAATATCAGAGGGTTAGGATATTAGTAGTGAAGACTATTTTTGCTATTTCCTGTGTGAATTTTTGGACTCAGTCTCAGTTGAATGTTTTCTAGGTTGCCTACATGATTTCTTTCCTTTGCTTTCTTTCTTCTCTGGCTGTTCTTAGCCGCACTGTATTACACTGATCCATCTTCTTCGCTCCTCCTCCTAATAATTCCTGCACCCTCCCTTCCTCTCTCCATCTTGTCTTTGCATAAATGTGTATCAAGTGCCCTGCTAGGTGCCCCTAAGAGGTAGCAGACCCTAAGTGCCATCGTGGACAGGAATCCTTTTCTACGTGACAGAGAAATGTGTTCTAGACTTGGCAGGGGTGAGGGTGTCAGGGAGGTTTCCCTTGCTAACTGGGAGTTAAGGGGTGGGCATTCCTCGCCCCGCAAGACGCTCATATAAACACTCTGCCTGGAAGCATTGGTGCATCAATGAGCCAAAGGACAAGCAGTAGGGCTGGAGAGTGGACGAGGCTACAGGGTAGGGATAGGCTGGTCAGCACATACCTGGGGGCTGCACAGTGTGTCCAGGCAGGAAGGGGAAGCCAGCCAGCAAGGGGGGGCAGAGATGACAAGATCTGTCTTGTTTAGAAGCTCTCTCCTCCTGCCTGCTTCTCCTCCCACATTGCCAATTTCAGCAGGCACATGGCGGAGCGTGCCTTCCCCTTCACAATGCACGCCTCTTCTGGTCTTTCGGTTTCCTGGGGCTTTACTTTGACCCTTGCAGTTCCACCGCTTTCCTTCCTTAGCTGTGATCACTAGTGTCCCCAGAGCACCCTGTGGCCTCCCTCTTGCCCTAGATAGGGGTGCTGATTTCCCCTTTCTTGACTCCAAGCTGGGCTCCTGCCTACTCTGACCAACAGAATGTGGAGAAGGGCTGTTGCGGGACCCTCACGCTCAGTCCTTAAGAGTCCCAGCAGCCTCTCCTTCCTTCCTGTCAGAGCACTGCTGGCCACCAAGCTGGGGGACACCGAGCCTTGTGGAAAAGGCCCAGAAGGGGTGGGTGCACAGTCCCCAGCTGAATGGCTGAGCTTCCTGCCAGGGCCGGCGTCCCCACCAGCTCAGCCCAGACCTGCCCCGCTGTGGAAGTGTACCCCTCAGCACATCGGCCCAGTGGAGCCCCAGCCCATGGCTGTGCCCAATGCCACGTGAAAGAGACAACCAGCCACATGGGCCTGGACAGCCCACGGCATCATGAGGAATAATCTGAGTTGTTTGCTTTAAGTCACTCAGTTCTGAGGAGTTTGTTCTGTAGCAATAGATAAGTGTCTATGAGTGGTTTAAATATTCTCTGAAATCTATTCATTCCACGTTGGGTTCATGTGGACCTGCGGGCCATATATTTAGCAGTTACTTCAAAATATATTTAGTAGTTACTTCAAAAAGAAAGTCCTACATTCCATGTCTCAGGAAAACAAAAGCAGAAATTGAAGCAGCCTCTACATCCTCCATGATGAAGCCTGGCGGACGTGGTCTATGTCCACCATGGGAAAGAGGAACGAGCAGGATCCTTCAGTAGAGCTCAACAGATGTGTGAGCGATGGGGTTCTGCACCGGCAGCTGGGTCAGGCATGTGGAGGTGGGGATCATTTCTAAGGGCCTGGACCCTGGTAACATTTGTCAGGTAGAGACTGCTCTATCTTTGCTCCTTGAAATTCAATTACAACTTGGAAATTCCTCATTAGCCAGAGCATTTGGAATCATCAAACATTTTACATTTTGGAGTTAAAGATCCTACACATAGGCCATATAAACTGCCTCTTGTAACCGTGTTAATAAGATTCCACCAACATGTTATACATATAATATGGTGGGGTGCTCTCTCTCTCTCTCTCTGTGTGTGTGTGTGTATGTATATGTATGTATGTGTGTGTGTATATGTGTGTGTGTATGTATGTATGTGTATATATATATATATATGTATATATATATATATACATATATATATATATATATATATATTTGGAGATAGCATCTCACTCTGTCACCCAGGATGGCAAGCAGTGATATAATCAAAGCTCACTGCTGGGCTCAAGGGATCCTTCTACCTCAGCCTCCTGAGTAGCTGGCACTACAGGTGCAGGTCACCATGCCCAGCTAATTTTGTTGTTGTTGTCGTTATTGTTGTTAGAGATGGGGGTCTCGTACATTGCTCAGGCTGAATGTTATAAAATTTATTCTTGATTTCAAACTTAAAAAATCCGAATTGGAAAATGAAAAACATTGATTATTTTTTTCTAAATTGTTAAATTACCATCTTGTTCTAAAAGCAGGAATCCTCATCATTCTGCCTGTAAACACACAACTGCCTTTACGGAATGTGTGCTCTTTTCCAAGTGCCAGACTAAGTGTGCTACACACATCCACAGAGCGATCCTCCGAACTCTGTGAAGCCGGCACTTTCCCCGTTTTTCAAAGGAGAAATCTGAGACTCAAAGGTTATACAGACTGTAAATATTACAGCTAAAATTAACACGGAGACTTCTTCAACCCTGACCCTTTGCCCTCAAAAAGTCAGATACAATGCCCTCATTATGGACTGAGTTGCATCTCCCTCAAACTCACATGTTGAAATCCTAATACCTGGTGCCTCAGAGTGTGGCTCTATTTGAAGACAGAACCTTTAAAAAGGTAATTAAAGTAAAAGAGGGTCATGAGCATGGGGCCCTACTCTAATTTGACTGCAGTGCTTACAGGAAGAGGAGACTAGGGCACGGACAGAGACAAGCGAAGGTCACGTGAACCCAGTGAGATGGCAGCCATCTACCAGCCAAGGAGAGAGGCTCAGAAGAAGCCAGTCCTGACAACACCTTCATTCAGACTTCTGGCCTCCACAATTGTGACAGGGTAACTTCTATTGTTTAAGGCTCTGAGTCTGTAGCACTTTGTTACAGCAGCCTTGGCAAACTAATACAGCCCCCCAAGAAACAGAAGACCCAAAGTCCAGGCATGGAAAGGCACATGTTTGATCCATTCAACAGGGGACCACTTACTCCTATTTTAGACGTTTTTCAAAGCTCAGTTGTCTGAACTAATTTGAGAAGCAGAAAAGTGGCAGCAAATGAGAAGAGGATACTCTTCTAGAAACGGGCCCAATGATTCAAGTGAAATGTGGCCGGCCCCCAGATGCAAAGACAGAGGCAGAATGAAAAGTCCATACAAGAAATAGCATCGCCCAGCCTTCTGGAAGTAGCCATGTAGGACAACACATTGCTTGTCCAGCGGGATCACCGAGTGACCATGGAGGGCAATTTGGTCACACTGTTCCCTGCATCAGGAAAGCCTGGGCTTCCTTCTTCATGACCAAAGGTAGCGGTCATGATTAGGAAATAACTTTCTTTTCATGATGTTATTTATGAGGTCTGACACCTTATTAGTCAGAAATGTTCTGGGATCCCTTATTTGACTATGCAGTTTAACGAGAAATTTTACTGCTTCTAGAAACTTACCCTGCCTGAATAATTGCCTTTTAGGCATCTGGTCTGCAAGTCAGACTGTCTTGGTTTACCGACGTGTCCCTTATTTCCTGACCTCAGGAGAAAGACTATTAGAAATCAGGTATATACCCTGCAGGGGAAGTTTCTGCATGCAGCTAGAGATGACAGTCCTCACGCTCACCTGCAGCCATCTCTGCCACAGAACTCTCCAATGCACAACAGGGAACATAGACGAGGATGTGGGTCCAAACTGTGGGCTCCAGCAGTGCATCCCATAGGCCAGCACTTCCTGCTGTTGGTCATAACTGCTGCCATTCAGAGAACAAAGGTACTGCCTTATGCAAGAATACTCCATGTGCCAATATGCACAGAAACAACACTAGGCCCCGAGAACATACAACTTCATGGGCGTCTTAAGTAGCAGGCTAGCCAGCGTGTGCACGTGTGCATGCCAAACCAGGGAATGCTGGCTTACAGGGACAGAGCTGCTTCTCAAAGGCCTGGCCGCTCGGAAAGCCGTGTAGGGAGCAGTGGCCCCAGATCATAGATAACATATCCAGCATCTCTGTGAAATATTCAAATATACGTGATAGCTACATGTATGCAAGCATAAAATCATTTTTTTCCTTTGTTCAATATGCTTACCTGTTATAGAGAAGAATGTCTGGTTTCCAAATCTGGCCATCTGGGAAACGAACAGTCTTCACCCCTGGATATTCTGACACATTCCACTGTAAATAGTGATCTGTCCAAGACTGACACACACAATGACATTAGCAGCACTTCACTTCCTTGGCTACTAATATTTCTCATAAGCGATTATTAGGTAAGTGCAAAACCAAAGAGAATTCCAGACATTTATTATAACTGAATTGCTATTTATAAAATATAATGAAAATGGGAATTCAAAAATCCTTTCCAAAATGACTGTGAAGAGCATAAAACTCACATTTAAGGTTCTGCTGTCACCATGAACACATTCAGATGGTATCATTAAAGTTAATTCCAACCCTCTGCATGTCCCCGAGCCTTCTCCTCCTGCAGTAGATGGGTTACTTCTAGCCAAATGAATAACTGTTTTGCCTTAGAAGTTTTCACTGTAAGAATACTTCGAAAAAAGGAATTCACTTATTTCCACTGGACTAAGAACCAGGCTGGAGAAATGTGGAATATTTATTTCCATAAAGCAATACTGTGCAGCTGCATGGGAACCTCTCAGAATTTCTAAAGGAATGTTTTCAGATTTGAATTTTTATTTTGTCACAGGGATAGTGCTTCCGACACCCGACAATGCAAATCCTGAGCCCTGATGGTGAAACGCAGAGTCAGGACGAAAGGAGGCAGGTGAAGACTCAGGAAGCACTCACACAAGCTCACGGCCAGGCCTTAATTGAGGTTATCGAGTGACTTTTGCCAGAGGAATACCCACGTCTGGGGTCATCCCTCCGAGGATCAGGTGCTAAACAGCCCTTCCTGGAGCCCACAAGCTCTGCAGAGGATGCTCGGGTGGGATCCCACCTGCAGCTGCCACATAACCAGTACCACCCCACAGGAGGCTCAGGGCTGACAAGTATGAGCCCAGAAGCTCCTATAATTGCACCATTATCCTGTATTCTGTCCCCCTGGTACCACCCATGCTCTGAAGCTCAGGCTTTCCAAGATCCAGAAAGGTATGTGATGCACCACCCCAACCTGGGACCAGGGTGGCTCCTCACAATCAAATACATGGTAATTTCTGCAGCAAAACATGCCTATTTGCACTAAGTGAGACAAATAAATGCCTCAATTCACATAGATTTCAATTTGATTTTAGACCAAAATAATTTGACGCAAAGTTACGAAAACAACATCAAAGGAGGGGGAAAAATTTTCAGAGCTGCTGAGATTTGGGAATTGCAGATGAGGGGCTGTGGGCCTAGAGCTATTGATACAACAAGGGAAGCAAAGGGCATGTCCCAGACCAACCATTCTCTGAGGAGGGCAGGCAGCATCCAGAAAGATGGTCCCAAGTCTGGAAGGATCTAATCTGACATCAAAGGAGAGGAACTATCCAGGTGAGTGACATCATTTTGCAGCCAGGGACCTCCAGGAATGAGGATGTGTTAATGGGTGATGTGCAGAAGTATCCTCTGGGGCATTCAGGATCGACAGCTGCCTGCTGGGGTCTCTAATGAGATGGAAGTGGTTGGGGAGGGGACAGGAGGGGCACACCCAGGAATGGTGGGTCTTGTCCTAGTTGTCTTCCAGGAATGCCTGGGCACCAACCAAGCCATGCTTCCTGCAGCTTGCTCCAACTTGGCACCTCTGCCCTGTGCTTCCCTTCATTTCTCTCCCTTGCCCTGGGCACAAGGCCCTGCCACAGCCAACACCTGTGCTTTCTGTGCCACAGTCTTGCATCTCACCCTGGGATGCTTCTCTGTGTCGGTCACTAATTATCACAGAGCCAGTCACGTTCACCATTATTACCACACAGGTCAGGGCCCCAAGATTCCACGAACTGCCCTGGAAAGTGGGCATGGTAGGCCAAGGCACTTCTCTCCTTCTCCTCTGCCTGCTGAATGATGGCCAGAGAGGGAGGGGAGACAGGAACTGGGAATGGGAATGGGAGTGCTTGGATGGTCAAACCCAGACCTCGTCCAAGGCACAGCCAGAGCTGTACGCTGCCTCCCCACACCCCGCACACCCCACTGCGTAAACCACGGGCTCATCCCCTCCCCGGCCAGATCACAGCCTTTATGCTAGTCCAGTGTCCTGTGTATGTCCAGACTCACCATAGCAGACTCACCATAGTTCGGGGGGGTCAGTGATATGACTGCTTCCATTTACAAGAGGACGCCAGGGTTCAGAAAGCTAGGATGTTTTAGTCAGTCACTGGGTCAGGGCTTACCTGTGTTATTTGACTTTAAGCAAACTGATCTTTGGGTTCTACCAGAGCTGGTTCTTCTGGCTCAATCTCCCTGATGCTGCTGCCCATCTGCTGTTTTCCCTTGCCCCAAACCAGGCTGACCATTGTGTCAGAGGCATTTAAACCAGGGAAACTCCATCTTAAATAGGAGCTGGGTAAAGCAGGGCTGAAACCTCCTACTGGGCTGCATTCCCAGATGGTTAGGCATTCTAAGTCACAGGATGAGACAGGAAGTTGGCACAAGATACAGGCCATAAAGACCTTGCTGATAAAACAGGTTGCAGTAAAGAAGCCGGCTGAATCCCACCAAAACCAAGATGGCCACGAGAGTGACCTCTGGTCATCCTCATGGCTACACTCCCACCAGCTCCATGACAGTTTAGAAATGCCAAGGCAACATCAGGAAGTTACCTTACATGGTCTAAAAAAGAGAGGCATGAATAATCCACCCCTTGTTCAGCCTATCAAGAAATAACCATAAAAATGGGCAACCAGCAGCCTTCGGGGCTGCTCTCTCTATGGAGTAGCCATTCTTTTATTCCTCTACTTTCCTAATAAACTTACTTTCACGCCCTGAATTCTTTCTCACACTAGATCCAAGAACCCTCTCTTGGGGTCTGGATCGGAACCCTTTTCAGGTAACCGTAGTGGCAGAAAAGGTAGGGGGAGCTGCCAAAAGCATCCGCATCAGACAGACCTGGGTTTGCACCAAGGGTCTGGCAGAGACTAGCGGCGTGAGCTTGTTCAGGTAAATCATTGTCTCTGAACTGCAGTTTCCTTACATGTACCCTGCCTCACAGGATGAGATGAGATAATGTGTGCAGCAGCAGATTAAAGTCATATGGCCCTGGCAGGCAAGTGATGAATGGTGGCTTAAAAAAAGAGAGAGAGATTTCCCCATTTTACAAAATCCTGCTGGACTTGGGAGCTGTAGTAACAGTCATAACATAGCTGCAGCCAAGGGTGGGGAAGACTGAGTGCCAACATGCAGTGGGAACCTCATGCTGTGTGCCCTGGAGCCCAGGTCCACAATCCTGAGCCCGGGGGCCCCACCAGCAACCCCCACAGGCTCCCATGACGGTTTCCCAAGAATGGATATGGAATAAGGCCCTACAAACAACAAACTTCTAGAAAAAAGGTTGTTCTCTGAAAGCACTTGGTTCCTAGGTCCCTCGGGAACAGGGGGCATCAGACAAAATCTTTGTAGACAGCACCTGACACGTTTTCCACAGAGTGGGGATCTGAAAAGAAGCGTCAATGAACCTAGACTCCCAGACAATCACATTTAGAGGAGTGTGTGCTCTTCCTTCTCTCCCTCCTTTTGTGAGATTCCTTCTCATTAAATCTTCAAAAGAAGAGTGTGTGGAGTTGTGAGGGGACACTGAAGGGAAGGGAGGAAGGGGCCATTGATCTAAAAGGCACTGGGGGAATCCCAATTCTTCCATGGCTCTGGCACCTGGGCCCTATTTGTGCTGCTTCGAGCCCACAGGAAACTCTAAATGTGTGTGGATGCTAGTGGCATGGAAGCATTGAGGGAGGGCGGAGGAGGGGAAAGGGATGAGAGAGGGGAAGGGAGGGAGGAAAAAGGAAAGTTATCTTTCATTAAAAAAATACATTATGGTGTAATAAGAAAATAGATTTGGTTTTCCTGGCACAGAGCTTCCAAAGCCCTGGGAATTTCCTGAGTGAGAGGAGTGTCTTTTGTGATTCATACAGAGCCCCTTCTGACCATGCCTGAGGCCTGAGTTTACGCTGATGAGGTGACTTAGGGTTGGGCACCTAGATAGCTTTCATGGGGGCTGGTCACCTAGTGACTGGAGTAAAGAGCTTTCTGCCCATTGCACTCACAGCTCTGGGGAGGGGTGAGAAAGGGGCTCGAGACGGGGTTATAAACACTCTTGGTCAGCACATCCACTTGCAGGGAAGGTGGCCACTGGCGAGAAGTTACGACAACAGCTCCGCGCACCCTTGCGGCCACGACGCCCTGTCCGCTGCGTCCTTCCACTTGGTTCCTGAGCTGCATCCTTTAGAATAAGCCAATAAACCTAAGTCATGGGTTTTTCTCTTCCCGAGTTTCATGTTGCTGAATTCCTGTTCTGAAACTCTGAATCCATGTAATCTTTTCTCCAGGGTATTTTATATAAGTAGATATTAAATATTTATTTAATAAATATATTTTATTTATAAATATATTAAATAAGTTTGTATATTATTTAAAATTTTATTAAGTAAGCAAAGTATTTTCCTGAGCTCTGTCAGTCATCTTAGAAAGTTATTGAACCTGGGGGAGAAGGGTATGGGAACCCTCGAATTTTCAGTCACCTGCTAGACATGTGGGTAGCCTGGGTACACCATTTGCAGCTGGTATCTGAAGTGAGACTGAGCCCTTTAACCTGTGGGATCTGATGCAACTCCAGGTAGATAATGTGAGAAATGAATTGAATTGGTGGACCCCCAGTTGCTGGTGGAAAATTGGTTGTTGGTGCTAGAAAAGTCATCACACGTTTGATGTCAGAAAACACTGATCTTTTCAAAATTATTCCCGTCCATTATTTTGTTAGTGGAGGAAAGCAGCCTTTCCACCCCACTGACCCTGACGCTTTCTTCTCTTGGTGAGACATAATGATTGACACATCGCTCTTCACCTTGAGATGCCGTCACAGCCCTAAGCAAGCCACTAGCCGGCTTGTCTGTAAACAGGAAGCGTGGCATTTCCATGTGTCAGAGATCAAGTGATGATGAATGCAGAAATTAAAAAGGTAAATATTTTAGAAAAAATAACAGCTTAAAATCTTATCATCTATGGTGTGAATGCTATTAGTACCATAATTAGAATTAGGAGGTTAAAGTTAGAGAAGGACCCAGGAAGGCTGGGACATCAAATGCCAGGAGAATGGTCACAATTGCAAAATGACAGAAGACAGATGTTTTAAAAGCAAATGTAAGTCTCTGGATGGTTCAAATGTCTCTTCAGAAACTGAAATGGCTTCTGTCATTTTTTTCTCATAGATTAAATCAGATTATGTCTGACAACCCTCTCAAAATGATAAAAACTAATCTGCAGAGAAAACTGGCTGCAGAGGAACCGGCTGCAGAGGAACCAGCTGCTTCCTCCTCGGAACATGAAGAGGTGAACAGAGAGATGAAGCCTCTTTCTCCTCCCTCACGTTTCTGAATGATCAAAATCAAGGGCAACTGGGAGAAAGAATAACAAAACCAACAAACTGGAGGTCAAGGAGAGTTTTTTTCTTTTTTTTACCTTTCTGCCTTTTCCATTTTTAATAAACAGAAAATGTATCATTTGCAGAGTTTAAATACCCTAGAGAAAAGATTATGTGGATTCAGATTTTCTGGACAGGAATTCAGCAACATGAAACTCGGGAGGAGAAAAACCCATTGCTAGAGCCGTTTTTATGGCTCTCTGCCCCCGGCCCACATTTGCACCCCCCTCAGAACCCTGGCCCTGAGAGCCTTCAGTACCCAGCTTCACTTGTGCATGTCCATTATCGTGCTGGGTCAAGCCAGGCTGGTCCCCAGCCAGGGAACACAAGAACAGCAATCAATGGAAGGTTGCTTAGAAGTGGCCTCTGGGCAGCATCCAAGCTTGCTCTGGTGACTCCTGAGTTCCTCATGTCCATGCTGTGGACATGAATAGAAATGCCAGGGCTTCCAGACTGAAACACTGGGTGGGGGCGGGGAGCAGAGAGACACAGGCACTGGCTAGATGACTGTTAAGGTTTGTTTTAAACCCAGGATTCTTGTGAGCCCTTAAAAATTCAGTTGGGAGACAGTGTTACAACTGCTAGATCATCTACAGGTGCCGCTTTCCAGATAAATGTTATCACCCAGCTTTATGAGGGCACACCTTCTAAGGGAATCCAGCATGTTTCTCAATCGGTAGGCACCTAAAAGTAAACATTAATGACAAAATACTCAGAAATGCCAGTGCTCCCAGATCTTCACGTTTAGGAGAATTTGTGCCTCTCCTTCTCTCCCATTTCTTTAAAGCAGAGATTTCTCCCACGTCTGGCCTCTACTATCTGACCACCAGCTGTCATCTGTAATATCCCTGGGGAGATACTTGTTCTTGCTATTTTAATTTCCTCCTCCTCCTCTTTTCCTCCTCCTCCTCCTCCTTTCCTCCTCTCCTCCTCCTTTCCTCCTCTCCTCCTCTTCCTCCTCCTCTTCCTCCTTCTCCTCCGCCTCTTTTCCTTCTCCTCCTCCACCTCCTCCAACTCCTCCTCCATTTTTCCTCCTTTTTTCCTCCTCCTCCTTCTCCTCCTCTTTTCCTTCTTCTTCTCCTCCGCCTCCTTCTTCTAAACGTGTTAATTACACAGCCTGATCATAAATGGCTTAAAGGTAGAAACTGGGTTATGTATTTCTGGGTCCCCTCACCTGGCCCAGTTTAATACCTTCCACAGAGTAGGTTGCTCCAAGAGGAGGTGAGTTAAAAGGTGAGTTTTCAAACAAATGAAGCTGCAGATGCTTCTGCAAATGTAAGCCTTAATTAAAATTAGCTGTGCTTGAAATAAATTTAGAGGTCTCTGGTGACACCCTCTGAAGCAAGGATGTTTATTTGTGGAGCATCTGAATTCCATACTGGAAGTAATAATCCAGTTACATTTTTCTTGGAAACCACCATCCTTTAAATAAAATTGCCAAATCATATACATTGCTGAAGACCAGTCACTTACTGAGGGCTAAGGAAGATAGGCACCAGGGAGAGAGACCTCTCCATAACATGCATTTCTCTCTGTAAGAAAAATGTCAACAGCAGCGTTGTTCCTTAGAGGGCATGGCAAACGTCCAACTTTAATTAAAAAGGGAAGCACTTGCCTCATTCTCCGGAGCCTGGCCTTATACACACAGTACGAAAGTGCTGCACGGCCATTCAGGAGATGGCTTTATGTTGTGTCACGCTACCCAAGCACCTCAAGGTTCACCTTGAGTTTTTGCTTCATTCTCTCATTCGGCAAAAGTTCTTTGGTGCCCGCTACAGGTGAGACAGTGAACTAGGGGCTGTGGGTACGGCAGTGACCGAATGCACCTGGAGCCCTGTCCCCCACACTGTGCACACATTCTAAGGGTGATGAAGACTCAGAACCAATGAACAGATAGACGAGTGAACACAAAGCGGGTTACATGGTGAGAAGCCTTTGGGAGAAAAATGAAACAGGATAAAGAGAACAGAGTGGGCTGGAGGTGGAGGGGAGGGTTTGGGACAGTACATCGGAGCTCAAAGAAGACTCAATGAAGAGTTGACCTTTAGGAAGAGATCAGTGAGAAGTAAGGGGGAAATCAAGTGGTTCTTAGGGACGAGTCTTCCTGGCAGGGAGAGCAGCCAGTGCAAAGGCCCTGAGGGGGGGGCACGGGCTCGGGTGACGTGTGTGTCACCCAACAAGTGGACAGTGAGTGCAGCCAGGAAACAAAGAACAGAGGGGAGGGGAGAGGAAAAAGGAGCCAGGCAAGAAGGGAATTGAATCCAAGGCCACTTCGAGGACTTCAGTTCCTATGCTGTCCAGGGAGACAGGAGCCCCTGGAGGGATCTGTGCCAAGAAGGTATATGCTGGCTGCTATGTTGAGGACAAGACACCACCAGAAGAGGCAACACTGAAGCAGGAAGGCTGGATGGGGACTCCTAATAATGGAGGTGAGAGATGACACCCATGTAGACCAGGGTGAAAGCATCATGGTTGATGCCCAGTAGTTAGATCCTGGATCGGTTTTGCAGGTCAAGCTGCCAGGATTTGTTGATGTATCAGAGGTGAGGTGTGCGAGACAAGAGTTAAGGGTGACTTCAAGGTTTTTGGTTTGAGCCAATGGATCCATGGCTTTAACATTTATCCAAATGAAAAGTCTGTGGGAGAGACAAGAGTGAGAATGACCCACGGACACTATTTTGATGCTACTGGCAGCGAGGACAATCATTAATGCCAGGCTCTCAGCAGGGGCCAGGAGATGAGTCTGTCCATGGGAAGAAGGCCTGGGCCTTCCAGGAGAGCACAGATCATGTGTCCTGGGCAAAAGGAGGGAAGCTAGAGTAGGTGGCAAGGGATATGCTCACTGAAGTATGCTGCTTTAAATCCTGCAAGGGAATATCTCAAGGGCTCTCACCTGACTGTTAGGTTCTGCAGGAGTCTCACATGTAGCTATGGGTGCACCTTGGAGACCTAGCAATGGCTTTAAGCACATCCATTTTCTTTTTCTTTCTTTTTTTTTTTTTTTTCTTGAGATTGAGTCTTGCTCTGTTCCCCAGGCTGTAGTGCAGTGGTGCAATCTCAGCTCACTGCAACCTCTGCCTCCCAGGTTCAAGTGATTCTCCTGGCTCAGCCTCCTGAGTAGCTGGGATTACAGGTGTGCACCACCACACCCAGCTAAGTTTTGTATTTTTAGTAGAGACAGGGTTGCACCATGTTGGCCAGGCTGGATGCAGATCCATTTTCTATCCCTCAACTCCACGTGTATTCGCAGGATAACTCAACTGCCCAAGAACCACATGGGACTATCCTTTGCCTCCATTTTCACTTCTCCCATTCAACTTTATAAAGAAGGGCACATTTCTCTTATCTTACCTCAACTCCCATCTTGGGACACTGACTCAAGAACCAAACAAATGGTCAATTCAAGTATCAGCGTTTGTGTCTGTGTGAATTACCTTACAAATTGGGTGGCAAATACTTTCAAAGGTCAGGTGGGTTTAAATTCTTTTCTTTGTTTTCAACAAAATTGAAGGAGAAACTAATCAAGCTGTCAGCTGATACATTTGATAAAAACTACATTATTTTTGGCATATAACCTAGAAGAAGTTCAAAGATGGAGTAACATTGCTTTAACAAAGTGGCTTTCATGTCCAACTACTCATGTTACTACACCTAGTTAAAAAACAGCAACAGAATTGAAGTGAAAACTATCATTCTCTCCATTCAAGTAATAAAAAGTCATCTGTGGATACATGAACTAATTTAAAACAAACTCATCTTGGGCAGAGATATAAATTGCCAATAAAAATTTATGTTTTATAATTACTTAAAAATTTTAATTTATGTCACCTTGATGAATTATAATACCAATAACAATAGCAAACTTAAATCAATCCAAAAGAAACAAAATTTAATACTTACGGTGTAAAGGAATAATTCTTGTGTAAATATTTACATTTGAAAAAACCAAGGCACGATTAATAAAAGACTTTTGGCCCTGCACGGTGGCTCATGCCTGTAATCCCAGCACTTTGGGAGGCCGAGGTGGGTGGATCACCTGAAGTCAGGAGTTCAAGACCAGCCTGGCCAACATGAAGAAACCCTGTCTCTACTAAAAAATACAAAAACTAGCCGGGTGTGGTGGTGCCTGCCTGTAATTCCAGCTGTTCGGGAGTCTGAGGCAGGAGAATCACTTGAACCTGGAAGGCGGAGGTTGCAGTAAGCCAAGATTGCGCCACTGCACTGCACTCCAGCCTGGATGACAGAACAAGGCTCTGTCTCAAACAAACAAACGAACAAACAAACAAACAAACAAAAAAGAGACTTTCAAACATAAAATTATATTACATTAGGATAAAATTCCGTATAGAAACTAGAATAGAAATGCATGTGCAAAGAGAAAAAAGGGACTACGTTAAATATCTGACAGTTTAAAAAAAGGCTTGTTCATATGGTGTTTGAATGAGATGGGCACCAAATTATTATGGTATTTTGAATTCCATTTAAAATAGAGACTGACTGTTTCATTTTTCAGTGTTAATATTTACAATTGGATGTTAAGTGGCATCATTTGCAATTAATCAAATTTAGATTAGTATTGCAGATGTCAAGTTAAAAATCTACAAATGATAGGTAGCATTTCAAGATTCTTATAAGCATTGCTAGAGCACAAAGTACGAGGGCCTCTGGTTTCGGAACACTCCACCTGATTCAAACATGCAGCTCCGGAGGCCACAGAGGGCAGGGATGGAGCTTCTGAGTCCTGGGGACTGGCTGTGGTGCAGGTTGTGGACATCTACACACAGCCCTGTATCTTCTTGTCTTGCCTGAAGTGCTTCTGAAGTGTCCCCACATTACCTTGTCCTATGTGTTGATCTTGTGCATGTGTTGAGCACTGCAGACTGTAGTGTCATACAGCCAGCATTCATTGTTGGCAGGTGTGGAGTTGGTGTGACAGCCATGGCCTTTTGTTTTTTTGTTTTTTTTTCCTAAACAGGACCTCTCAGAAGCAAGCATCTCAGGTATCAGAACAAGAATCTTGGGTGCAAGATCTTGCAGCCCATGGGAGAGATTGTCATTCTCTTAACTTACCATTTGCAGCCAAATGTTGGTGGTTAAAACTTGGTTCTTCTCATCCTTCAAAAAAAAAAAAAAAGCAGCAGCATAAATAATATGGTTTACAAAAGAAAGAATGAGACAATTATTCACATGGGGATCTGACTGTCGAGAGCGTTGTTGTGTGTGGAAATTAGAATGCACCAAGCACTTCCAATATATGCAAGCAGCATTTCCCTAGAGTTAAGCTTTTCTATTTATTCCAAAGTAAGACACATTTATTATACAGCACTTAAAAAAGATGGAAAAGTATAAAGAAGAAAATTAAAACTCTGCAACCTTACCATCCAGAAATGATGCCTGCTAATGATTTAGCTATTTATCTTTGTATTTTTAAATAATTCATATGCTTAAAAAAAAACATAAAAGTAGGTGAAAATACAAGTTTTTAAAGTCAGGTTTGTTTCCAAAATATATATGCTTTTAAACAAATACAAGTATGTTATGCCTCCCTCCCCCAGGAAAGGGGCCATGGCCCTGTGTGGAGCTGCTGCACCCTGTGTGAGTGGTGCCATGAGGGCCATGACTCTGCCTTGTCCCTGCAGATCTGGGCTTTTCTCTCAACCTCTAACTTCTAGGAGGCACATCGGGCTCTTGAAATACACCTGAAGGTAAAGCCTACCCAGGTGATAAACTAAAGGTGAGAAAGATGAGGTGACTTTAGAAGCAGCCATTCAAACTTGGATCTTTCTGACTCCAGAGCTTATTTTCCTACATTTCCAAAACACCTCCCTGAGTTCTGCCTCCAGCTAAGCCTATGCACTAATCAGGGAGCTTGGCTAGTGTACCAGCTGTGACTTTGCTCCAGCACAGGACGTACAGAGAAGAGACCCGTCAAGACTGGCCTTTCCAAATGGGAGGCAACTTGCGTTTTAGTACGGCTGACCAAGCCCAGTGAAAGGAGGCAAATGAGTGAATTCTGTACAATAGTCATACTGAGAATGTTGTGATTCAGCATGAAATAATCAACTCCAACGTAAAGGACTCTGTGAATTAGCAATTGACACCCTCTCCAGGGAAAATATTAATTAATGCCCCTGTGAAGATGTTCCCAGAAGCTGAAACCTCAAGCTCCCGCAATAGAATCTACTTGGCCTGGTTCACCGATGGGAAGTTTCAAAAAAAAAAAGACCCAAAGGCAGAAAGAACGTGGCATCTGCTGGGGCATGTCAGTGAGCAGGGATGCAAATGAAAAACGAATGCTGCCTCTCATTAAAATGAAAATGCGTTCAGCATGTAAGCAGTTGACAGGGACATCAGTGCCCCAGCCCAGTTGCTCACATGTTGGGCACCTCTGGGGTGAGATGGGCCAGGTGGGGCAAATCCCACAGAGAGGAGAGGGCTGCCTGGGGAGGGACATGGGATGATGTCTCAGGGGACCCCAGGCCAGAGGCAATGTCCACAAGATGCTGAACATTTATTCAGTTACAGGAAAAAATATATCCCATTTTCCTAATAAAATGTGCCAGGAGTTTTTGGTGGGAAAAGCTGTAGAGCTAACATGTCTCTGTACTCTGCACTGAGCAAATGATCCCCAACAGAGCTATCCATTTAAGTGGCTGGAGCACTCCAGTTCCAGTTCAAGCTCCAATATTATTGGGAAGCACTGTTAAAACTCTTCAGAACGTGTATCTGTTGCCTCAACTTATTAAGGAGTTGTTGTTTTTAATGGACTTAAAATTAGCAAGGGTTCCATTTAGGTGCCTTTCCTTCTTTTAATTGCATTTGTGTCTTCATCTGCTGAGAGAAAGGCTTCTGTGGTTTGGGAGCTCAATTACTACGAATCTAATTAAAAGGCTTTCTTCTTTCCAACATTCTAACAGAAACCCCATTAGAGAACACTGAATTTCAGTGGTGTGTGGCAACTTGGGACCAAGTGCAGCTTTTCAAACTGTAATCAACAAGCAGCAGCCACCACCACCTGAGCATGCAGGGATACCCGTTAGGGGAACCCCCCACAAAGACTCAAGAGGGAGAGAGGAGGGCATGAGGAACCATGCTCCCAGAACAATCTCCCTCCTCTTGGCACCTGTCCGGGCCACACACGGTCTGAGTCTCTTGGCTCTCTGTTTGCAGTGACAAGGTCCCTCACCTCCTTCCCATTCCCACTGTGCAGCCTGCTGCCCCTATGCACATGCAGGTGCACACACACAGAGGCTGTCCTCTACTCATCTTCACACTGGACTTTCTGACCATCCATATGATCAGATCACCCTCCTCCAACTGCACTGCCCAAAGGATCAAGTCAAGAATCTTGAGTGAAGTGCACAAGCCATTGCTACAAGCCATGGTCCAGCCGAGTTTTCATTCATTCGTTCATGCAACATTTATGGAACACCTCCTGTCCCCAGCATTATGCTTGCCTGATGTGTGCAGTGGAAATTAATATTGCTCCTGAGCTCCTAGAATAAAAAGTGTGTGTGTGTGTGTGTGTGTGTGTGTGTGTGTGTGTGTGTGTGTGTGTGTGTGTTGGTGGGGGGGGATGAGGTAGGATTCTACAACACAATAATGATACACTTATAACAACATATAACAACAAATGGTAACAAGGATCACGGAGGGAGGGAAAACAGGGTCCCTACAAGGAGGAAGACAAGGACATGGACTTCACCCAGAGTGACAAGGGGTGGCGTCCTGGGGCTGAGCCTCTGCTTTAACCACCTGTGATCCTGCAATACCACAGTATGTGGATCCCCTCACATCCACCATGTGCACCCAGTCCTGAGCCTTTATCCCTCGGTTCCCACCACCAGCTCTGCTTTCCAAGGCTCTATCCAGGCATTACTGTCTCCAGGCCCCCACGCCTGTGACCACAGATGAGAGGCAGTTGCTGCAGGACTCAGTCTCCTCATTTGCAAAATGGCTCTTGACTTACCCCTTTCCCCCTTCTCAAAGAGGTTCTGTGGGACTCTGGCAGCAATAGGTCTGCAGGTGCCGTGTCTTCTCCTATAAGACCTTGACCGGCTGGCAAGAAAAGCCCTCCCTCCCCAGAGGCTGCTCCAAAAGCAGGTTCAGAGTCCATCTGTCCCCTCCCCTTTCCCCACAGCCTTTTCCTTCCTCGATCCTTGGCAAGCACGTCCCGACCCTGCTGCACTAAAGCTGAGCTCAGCCCCCTGCTTCCTGACAGGCTTCTTTCTGCACAGAGGACCTGGGGGAGGGCTTCAGCTCTGCACTCAACTTCCTTGCCTCGGGATTTGTACTTGGCCACACAGGCTGCAGGTGAACTGGGAGACCTGGGGATGGTGGCCACACCTCTGAGTGTGGAAAGTCCCCAGATGGAATTATAGTTCCCACATGGCCCTCTGGCCCCCGGCAGAAGGACATTCAGGGCAGGTATGCAGGGGCTCCACTCCCACTGCCCAGAATTTACCTAGGGACAAAATCCAGTTCCTCACCCCAGGAGGGAAGTTTCCTTCTCTTTCACCCAAATATCCTTCACTGCTGCCAGAGCCCCCAGCCTGCCATGCAGCACTTGAGCATGAAACCATGAATCAGCAGGCAGAGCTGCCTACAGCAGTCACTCCCTCCCAAGTTGGAGGCCACCCGAGTCAAACAAGGGGGTTCCTGCAAGAGAGGGGACAGAAACATCCAACCCTGGCCCAGAGGCCTGTGAATAAATATGCACATTTAGTCTCCCGAAGAACAGTATTCCACAGGAACCTAGGGGCCTGCAATTAAGTAGCACAGACTCTATGTTTAATTCCATTTGGACGCTTATAACAAAATATCATACACTGGGTAGCTTATAAAAAATAGAAGTTTGTTTCTCACAGTTCTGGCGGCTGGAAGTCCATGATTAACCTGCCACTATGGTTGAACCCTGGTGTCTGGTGGGGGCTGGCTTCCCGGATCATAGGCAGCCACCTTTCACTGTGTCCTCGCATGGTGGAAGGGGCGCGGGAGGTCTCTGGGGCCTTGTATATATGGGGACCATCCATCATGACTGCACCGTCATGGACTAATCACCTCCTAATACCATCGCCTTGGGGATTCAGATCTCAACATATGCATTTAGTGGGGGAAAAAAACATTCAGACCATTGCACTGTGAAAGTGGGTTTCAGCAATTCCAGATCCTCAAGCTGCCCCCCTGGCTATTCCTGCCCTCCCCAACTGGGCAGGAGGGCATGGAGGAGCAGAGTCCACACAGGCAAAAGACCCTGGGGGCTCCCGACTCAGCAGGCAATTGGCTTCTGTGCATTTCAATGTTCTCTCCTCCGAAACAGGGATGCAAACAGCTGCCCTGTCTGCTACAGCAGGTGGGAAGAGGAGGAGCATGCTGCAATCTGTGCGATGTCACTCAGTGCCAATGGCTGTCACCACGTGGCTACTCACACACACGGCTCTCCTGCAAGATCTACACTCCCCTCTCCCTCTGGGATGAAGACAGGAGGAGGCAGGGTCCCCAGCCCGCCACAGAATCCCAGAAGGCCGGTGTGGCAAGGCACCCTCGAGTCAACGCGCCTAACTCCCTTCATTCTTTTTCCATCTGAGCTCTTCAGTTGAGAGCATGCTTTGATTTAAGTGATCGTGCTTTTTAAAATCAATCTCTCTGAATAATCGTCTATCTGGTTTAGAGTACAACTGTCGTGGTAATGCGTAATGTGCTATCTTGCATTTCTGCAGCAATTATTCTTTCGTGAATTACTGGGTAACATCATTCCATGTGATTTTACAGAGCTCCCATCACATTATTTCTTTTTCCTTTGTGTAGATGCTGAGGAAAAAAAAAAAGCAAAAACATAACAATAGACCTAACCACCACCATTTCTAAATTCTTGTTTGCAGAGAAAATAGCTGGATAATATAAATTCATATTTGTGTAGCAGTCTAAAGTTTATAAACGGTGACTTCTTTTATCTAATTTAATCTTTACACCAACCATATTTTTTTCTTAGTTTTACAGCATAACAAACTGAGGTTTTCCCTGAGTCAGCAAGATAGTAGGTCTGACAAAAGACTCATATCCAGAATAAGAAATAAACTCCAAAAAATCAATCAGAAAAGGGCAGGCAATCCAATAGAAAAATGGGCAAAAGATGAACAAGTACTTTACCAAGAGGATATCAATAAATATCAGGTATCAGGTATTGACGATACCTGAAAATAACAAAGCTAACCCTTAAACAGAGTTTGCATTTCTAAATGTCACATGCACACGCAAACAACGCATTTTGGCTTCACGACAATAATCCAGCAAAATAAATACTATTATTTTTCTCATTTAATAATGGAGATTATGGGAGACCCCCCAAATTTAATTTTATATGTCTCTTTTCTGTTTGAATGCTTTGCTATGAGCAGGTATTACCTTTATAATCAAAGGAGAAGAGGAATGCATAAATATATCAATTATGAAACAAACAAGCTCCTGGCCCTAGGTCACACAGCTAAGTACAGAAACCTGTTTAAGAGGTTAGGGGGTTGGATTTCAGTTTCATAAAGTTTAGTTTTCAACACTTGTGTTTTGAACCATGATGTGATTCTGTCCTCCTTGTTGTAACAGCAAACACTGTGATTACGATCACGGAAAATAATTCCCTTTGGTAATTGTACAAGACAGAAGTTTTCAAAGTATGGGCTTGGAACCCCTGGGTTTCTGAAATGCTTTCAGAGGACCAGTGAGTCAAATCTTTTTTTCATAATGGTTAGACGTTATTTCCCTCTTTCATCCCCCTTTTCCCTTGAGTCTTCCATAGAGCTTTGCGGAGGCTACAGGACGTAGGGACCAGCAGCAGACTGAATGCAGAAGCTGGTCAGAGAGTCCAGATGTCTTCTATTACATGAGGCATTAAGGAGATTTGCAACAATAAAAAGCAACGCCACCCTTCCCACTGATTTCTTGGGTGAAAATATGGTTATTTTCCATAAAATGCTATTTATGTTAACATCTTGCTATTTATGGAATGGCCTTATTATATTAAGTGAATTACTGAACTTTAAAATGCTTCTTAGTTTTATCTCCAATGTGTTAAATATTGATAGATATAATCACATAAACAAAACTTAGACGATCTTCAATAACCTTAAGGAGAGCAACGGAGTCCTGAAGCCTGGATGTCTGAGAGCTGCTGATGGGGAGCTTGGCATTTCTAGGACCATCCTGGTCCTCGTACCACAGGGCCTGGCCCTCTCGGGATACAGAGCTCGGCTCTACCTCTGCTCACATTTTGGGATTGCTCAGGGTCTGTTTGTTGGGGACACAATGTGAAAACTATAGATATCACAGGCTCTGGGCTCTGCTATTCACTAGCCATGTGGGCTAGGGGTAGTCCCATCCCCTGAACTTTTCTGAGACTCAGTTCCCTTATTTGTAAAAACAAGGGTAATGGCTATCAATTGCTCTCTCTGCAGCATGCTGCAAGGACTGAATAGGTAGCAGGAAGAAAAGTGCCTAAGAGCTGGGTGCGGTGGCTCACGCCTGTAATCCCAGCACTTTGGGAGGCCGAGGCAGGCAGATCACGAGGCCAGGAGATCAAGACCATGGTGAAACCCCGTCTCTAATAAAAATACAAAAAATTAGCCAGGCGCGGTGGCAGGCACCTGCAGTCCCAGCTACTTGGGAGGCTGAGGCAGGAGAATGGCACGAACCTGGGAGGCGGAGCTTGCAGTGAGCTGAGATCGTGCCACTGCACTCCAGCCTGGGCGACAGAGCAAGACTGTCTCAAAAAAAAAAAGAAAAAGAAAAAGAAAAGTGCCTAAAATATAGCAAAATTCTCCACTGTTAAATTATCGGAAAAAAGTTCCTTTGATAGAAAGGTACTGAAAAGGCTAAGAGAATTGGCCCGAACTGGCAATATCTCCTCACTATCTGCGGCTGCCTATTTTTAGGGGTGGCACATAATTACTGGTTGGTTTTCTGTTTCTAATTTAACTGTGTAATAATTTGTTTTGATTCTCAGTTTATTCATTTAGCTCTGCAATGTTCCTTTTATTCTGTTATTTTATTGGCTCATCTTTGAAACCTGGTTGGTTTGGTTCCCACTGAAAATTAAGGCTTAGGAATTAAGTGTCTAGAGGTCAGCATTTAATATTCCCAGTGGGTTCATGGTTATTCTGCGATGCATCAATGTGCAGATGAGAATCTTTTCAAAAAGTGTGTGCAACCTGACTTCCTTCAAGCCTTGGATCCTGGCCTCATCCACCAGCTAGCCACCTTGGCAAAGGGTTAAGCTAAGGAACTTCACTATTTCTAGGATTCTGGAGCTCCTTAATCACAGCCGAACTGTTTACAGATATATGCTTATTTCTGACGGTACCGTTAAACCTGACAAATAGAGGAAATGCATTATGCTTTAAAACACAGCACCCCGAAGATCCTGAGATTGGAGACGTTGCTCCAAAGAGCCACTGAGGCAGAGACTGCAGTCTTTGGAAAAACTTCTGCCTCTAGAACTCCCCCAGCAGAGTGATTCTGAACTCTTTGATTCTATTTTTAACTACCAAAGTTAATCCTGCACAGTTCGAGAACACTGATTTCAAGAACAATGCAACGTATAAGGCTTAAGGGATTTAAAAAATCAGACCACAGTGTAATACGTGTATATTTATATACATATTTTTTTTCCTCCCAACAGGTCAGCATGTGATTCCTTGAGACATAATCCCAGGAAAGACCCATGATGACAAGATGGAAAACTGGCTGATCAGCCTGGCTCCTTTAGGGAGAATAAATGCCAGGTGAACAGAGGCAGGTGGGTTTCCTGAGCTTAGGACCTGGATCCGGGCAACACCACTGACTTTTGTTTCCCCTGTGAAATCCAGATCCAATTTGCCCAATGCCAGATTGAAGGGAGCAAGGCAGACCAAGGTGTTCAGCTGCCTGTGTGTGCAGGAATAAGAGAGCTTGCCCGGGGGAGGTGAGCCCCACCCAACCTGATGTCCACTTGGTTCTCGCTGGGTGGACTCCCATGCCCAGAGCTGCCCCATCCTTCTCAGGGAGGGAGGAAGAGTTCAAGCATGCACTTTTCACTGCAACTGAAAGGTTTCCTTTCCTTCTATGAGAAAGGGCCCCCTATCTCCCTCAAAGGACCTACCTCTTGGGGAATGAAGCCTGGAAGGTGGATCATGAGAGCAGACCCTAACAGAGAAGGAATCGATCTTGAATTAGCAGAGCTGACAATGGGTAGTGATAGGAAGATTGTGGAGTAGAGGAGAAAGAGGAAGAGAGATGCTGGGTTTCCGGCATACTGAGTGGAGCAGGAATCAAACTTCATCTGAACTACCCTTGAACAGAAAGGATAAATCTCCCTTTAAGTTTAAGCCATCATCCCAACTGAATCAGTTTTCAGGAATTTCCTTGAGTGTTTACAAGTTGTATCTCTCTGGACTAAAAGCAAACACCTATACACACAGCCAGACTCCCACAAATGCCTTGGTTACAAAATTTCTGTAATTTCAATATCAGGCTTTTTCAATGAATTGTCAGAAAGCTAGCTGCAACAAATCTCATCACAATTGGGGTCCTCTAAGGAACTGAGTTAGAGATAAGGAGACCCCAACAGAGCCCTTGGTATGGAACCGGTGCAAAGTGGGTTCCAAAGGCCAATAGAAAGGGAAGGGGATAAGATGAATGAATGGAAGTTAGGAGCAGGATTTAGAAGCAGTCATTTATTTTTCTTGGTTTTGTTTTTGTTATTTGATATTTCTAATACTTCTATAAATAATATAGGTTAATTGGCTTAAGAAACAAAGACAAAAATAAATCAGGCCACGAATCAGGAAAGTATAACATAAAAATAATGCATCTCTACTACATCACAGAAAATACGAATGAGGCATGGGCCAGATGAAAACAAATTGGAATGACAGCCACAAGAAGGAAGTATGAGTATGAATGAATGAATGATTAAATATATACATAAATAAAAATTTTAAAATAACAAGCACAAAGAAGAAAGGCAGCCAGGCATACACACACAACTAATATACAAAGTAGCCTGGAAAAAAGCCCAAATAAGAAGGGCATGCTTCTCATGAGTTCTTTATATTACACTATATAAGTCTTGGATCAAATTAAGCATGATTTCAAAGATGAGCTAATAAAATAACAGAATAAAAGGAACATTGCAGAGCTAAACAAATAAACTGAGAACCAAAACAAATTATTACGTAGTTAGATGAGAAACAGAAAGGAACAAAACAGACACAGCTAAAAAATTAAGTTACTGGCATGAAGGCAGGACCTGAGATAACCACGGTGTAAGATAATCACAGTGTCTGCAGAGCAAACACACCAAGAGATTACATCCATTACAGAAGTTGGAAATGGAAGTGAAACAAAGAAGCCATAGCTAGAGCTGAAATGGTGACTACAACACAGAGAAACTAGTTAAGTATGCCGGGATAATACATGGGGGCCCTGCTTCTGGTCCTAGCAAAACAGGAGACTCTATAATGTTAATACTATCCTGCTACAAACACCTGGAAATTCTGGAGAAAATCAAACAAATGTCTTTTTAAATGCTGATTTTGGCTCACAAGAAAGCACAAGAAATCCTTCAAAACAACAACAACAACAAAATCCAAGAGGAAATTGAAAAGAACATTGTAAGTACGTGAGCTGACACCATAGCAGAGTGCAGGAGTATGGAGACCAGTGGCCAGTGTTATTCACAGAGAGCCTAAACAATGCCTAAGTGGGACTATAGAAAAGATTCTCTTTCGTAGGTGGAGAGCTGAACCAAACCCCCCACCTACTTCTACCAGCATGGTCCAGGAAATTTGAAGAGACCATTGGCCAAGAAAGAAGCAAGTTAGTCTGTGTCATTCTGGGCTGAAAGTGGAGAACCAGGTCAGGGTACACTCTATTTCCTGAAAATGTATCAGCCTTCTTTCTGATGGAGAATTCAAATGTAACCAATTCACAAAGCCTAGGAACTTTGCAAGTCATGGCATTAGCTTAGAAGTTGTTCTAGACCAGTAAAACTTGAGGACCCAGACAGACGCAATGAGAACAAACAAATTAGCAAACCACAAAAAAGACAAAAGAAAGAAAATAATAATAAAAAATTGTTGCATAGAAAACACAATGATTATACCCTCCTGATCAAAAATACAAAATACATAAAGTATAACATTTTCCATGAGTGAAAGAGAGAAAACCAAGTCAGGAGGAATAAGCCCCCAAAAATACAGACAAGAGAAATATCAGAGGGATAATACTGAATAAATATGTTTAACGTGATTAAATGCACTACAGAAATCAAAAACATAGTAAAAGAATAAGATATTCTAGGGGTAAAAACGCAGATTTGGAAGAAAACAAAAGTAAGAGCTTTACAAAATGAAAAATTTAGTAACTGAAATAAAAGCTCAATGGGTGGGTTAAACAATGAATTGGAAAGAACAGAAATGATAATTAGTAAGCTGAAGACAGACTCAACAAAATGACCTAAAATGTAACTCAGAAAGATAAAGAGATGGAAAATGCGAATGCTTGAAAGACTTGAAGGACACAATGAAAAGATTCAATATGTGTATAAAATAGTTTCATAAAAGAAAGGTTAAAGAAATAATGGCTGAGAAATTTCCAGAATTGGCCAACTTTTCCTCAGATTAAGGAAGTATGAGTTCCTCAAAAATATAAGTATAAATCAAAGACTAATTCAAACCTCCATCATTTTTTAGCTCTGGCATGTAAATAGCTTAGAATTAATCACTCTCATAACAACAGAAAAAAAAAATGAATGAAATGAAAAATCAATGACATTTATTGGACTCAGGAGGGACTGCTGCTGCAGGGTAAGTACCACACTGAAATATGGAGAGACATGAAATTCAGGGCACAGCCAAAATCTGCTCACTCAAAGCAGAAGCCACTGGAGCTATGAACTTGTGGTAATGCTTAAATGGTAATTTCAGTGAATCTCTGGTTGCTGAGTGTGAACCAGCAATGAATGAGAGTGAGAAGCCCCCAGACAGCCACAGTCTTGCTGAGGTCTCTACAATTTCATGGGTTTTATGTCTAGAAACTCCACCAGGTTCTCATAGTAAATGTGCAAGGAAGATCTCCTTGTGGCTCCAGCAAGAGAAGGGGAGAAGTAATCACTGGGAAACAGGTCACCCAGAGCCTTCTCCACAAAAAAGCCTACTCTCCAGGGTTTCTCAGAGCTTATCCCTGCTAGGGAAATTACACTGGTCCCACTCCAGCAGCCTGTAGCCTTTCTGTCTTACCTAAGAAGGGAAAAAGCTATACCACTGCTATACCACTAGAGAAACACTTGTGAAGGTCAGAGCCCAGACACACAGGCCTACTACAATGCTACCATGTAACATAGGATTACAGAACACTTCTTCCCCTCATCCCCACCTACCACCCCACCAACAGGGGTCCAGTATAACTACTGTGAACTACAGTCCAAAAAGCTGTAGATTCTCTGAGAAAGAGTACTTAATTAAGGAAGACAGACATCAAGAGGGAAGACAAAAACAGGAACACTAGAAGAACCTGAAGGCTCTGGCAGTTAAAGCTATAGCAAACATCAAATAAAGCCCAACTACTACCTGTCACATGAATTCGCACACTAAAAAGCTACTTATCTAAATTCATAATGTCATGACCATTTCTGCTTTATTACAGAAAAATTACAAGGCAATTAAAAGACAAGAAAAAACAGTCTGCAGAGACAAAGCAAACATCAGAACAGGACTTAGATATGATACAAATGTTGAAATTATCACATAAGAAATTTAAAATAATGTGATAAATATGCTAAAGGTGCTAAAGGAAAAATAAACAACATGCAAAAGCAGTTGGGTAACATCAGCAGAAAGAAACTCTCAGAAAGAATTGCAAGGAAATACTAGAAATCAAAACCAGTGTAACAGAAATAAAGAATGCCTGTATGCAATTTGAACATGTTGTGTCAAAAATGTAAGTTAAATGAAATTTAAGCCTTGTAAAGTTTCAAAAGAAAAAAGAAAGAAAGCGTTTGATGGCCTCATGAGGAGCCTGGACACAGCCAAGCAAGGAATCAGTGAGCTGGATAATGTGTCAACAGAAACTTCCAAAACTGAATTGCAAAAAGAAAAAAAAAACAGATTATCCAAAAATTGTGGAACAATTTTGAAAGGTATAACACATATATAGTTGAATCACCAAAAGCGAGAGCAGAGCAGAAAGAATAGTTGAAAGAATAATGGCTGAGAACTTCCCAACACCATTGACAGACACAAATCATAGATCCAAGAAGCTCAGTAGACACCAAGTAAAATAAATGTCTAAAAAATTCAACATAGATCTTATTCTTATCACAGAAATTAAATCAAAATGGATCATAAGCCTAGATGTAAAATATAAAATTCTAATACTAGAAGAAAAGACAGGATTAAATATACGTGACTTTGGGTTTGGTGATTATGGTTTTTCATACAACAGCAAAGGCATGATGATCCATGCAAAGAAAAAATTAGTAAGTTGGACTTTATTAAAATTAAAAACTGCTCTATGGAAGATACTGTTACAAGAATGAAAAGAAAAACTACAGACTGGGATACAATTTTACAAAATACATCTCTGATAAAGAACTTATATTCAAAATATAGGAAAGAAACCAGCAATACATTAACAAACAACCTAACTAAAAAATGGCCAAATGATATGAACAGGCAACTCACCAAAGAAGATGTACAGATAACAAATAAACATATTAAAAGATGCTTCACATCATGTTATCATGGACATGTAAATTATAACAATGCAATACCACCATATACCTATCGGATAGGCTAAAATCTGAAAAGTTCACATTACCAATTGCTGGGAGGATGGGGAGCAACAGGAAGGCTCGTTCATTGCTGGTAAGAATGCAAAATGGTACCACCACTTTGGAAGACGATTTGGCGGTTTCTTACAAAACTAAACCTAGTGTTACCATACGATACAACAACTATATTCCTAGATATTTACCCAATGATTCAAAAACACATATCTACAGAAAACCTGCACATGTTTATAGCAGCCTAATGCATAATCACAAAAACTGGATGCAATCAGGATGTCTTATAACAGGTGAATGGAAAAACAAACCATGGCACATCCACACAATGGAATATTATTCAAGTATAAAATGAAATGAGCTATCAAGCCATGAAAGATATAGGTGATTCTTAAATACACAGTGCTAAGTGAAAGAAGCCAGGCCGAAAAGGCTACATATTGTATCATTCCAATAAAAAGACATTCTACAAAAGGCAAAACTTTAGAGACTGTAAATTTATCAGTGGTTGCCAGTGGTGGGGGTTAGGAGTAGACAAATGGAGCACAGAGTACTTCTAGGGCAGAGAATTCTGTATCATATTGTAATGGTGAATACAAGACATTAAGCATTGTCAAAACTCATAGAACTTTATAATACAAAGAGTAACCCAAAATGAATGCAAAATACAAAACAAATACTTAGGAGATTCGGTGATCCAGAATGGAATACAAAATGTAACAAAAGGATTCAAATGCATTACAAAAGTATAAAACGACCTTACTGACATGACTGGGAGAAAAAGGTGCTGGTCTAAGTAACTTTGAAACTGGGTGTATTCTGCAAGGAACTGTGTATCAGCATTGCACTCTAGTTGATGAAGTTGCTCCTCACAGAGTTGTAAGTTACCAATTCTGAAACTACTGTACATGTATATTGCAATCGAACAGTTAAGTAAATGGATGCCATGTGTAGAAATCAGTTTTCTCACTTTAGAGTGAGAGTTGGAGACTTAAGCATGAATTCACGTTTAGCTTAATAAGGATACATACGGTTACATACAGAAATACTTACAGATATTTCTGTATATATGAACTACTATATACACATATAACTCTTTGCTCTGTCAGAAAGGGCCTAGAAATGATGACGCCCCAATGGCAATGAACCCACCTAGCACCCAAACCTTGCTTTCTAATCATTCACCAATACAAGGAACCAGGATTTCTGGAGAAAGGGCTGATTCTAGGTGTTGGGCAGGAAATATACCAGATGAACCTGGAACATACTGTAGAGCCAGAAAGAAGGAAAATGAGTGAAAAAAATAAAATAACACCAGTGCTGTTAAGCCAGAGGGATACTGCAGCAAATTTAACAAGTACCTAGTGGTAAAAAACAGTAAACAATTTGAACAACAAAATAAGGTAATACTGGATTACACTCCAAAATATAAAATAAATACTGCTGAGTCCACACTAACATAAATAAATGATTAAATAAATAAATGGGGTGAAGGAGGCAAACTCTCCATGAAGAAGAATTTCAATTTATGTAGACACTTTGCCTTCATGGAGGTGAAACACTACTTTCCACTCCCTAATTTGGGCTGTGCATAGTGACTTCCTGGGCTGTGCATAGTGACTTCCTTCCAAAGAGTACAGTATATAAATAGGGGAAAAAGAGTAACTTTGCAGTCGAGGGACCTGACGAATACCATTTTAAGCCATTTGATTAAGGCCCACAGCAACAGTAAGTCATATTGATATTATGCACCCTGGATATGATATGATAACATATAATACTCTGCTGTCTGTCTACCCCAAAACACATTACTCCATTCTAACTTGGATAAAAACATCCAACAAATCCCAATGAAGAGACATGTTACAAAATATCTGACCAGTGCCCTACTCAAAACTGTCGAGATCATCAGAAACAAGGAAAGGCTGAAAAACTGTTACAATGAAGAGGAGCCTAAAAAGACACAAGGACTAAATGCTACATGGACTCCTGGATGGGATCGTGGAACAGAAACAGGAAATGGGATTTAAAAAGCCAATAAAATGTGAATAAAGTACGGACCTCAGTTTAAAATATCTATGAATATCCAATTACTAATTGTAACAAACAGCATCATACTGATGCAAGAGGATACTCACAGGGGAAACTGTGTGGCCTCCAGGGAAACTCCCTGCAGTACCTTCAAGTTTTCTTTAAAGATAGCTGTTAAAGTAAACTTGAAAAATAAAAGTGTTTATCTTTTTTTTTTTTTTTTTTTTGAGATGGAGTCTCGCTCTGTCACCCAGGCTGAGTGCAGTGGTGCAATCTTGGCTCACTGCAACCTCCGCCTCCAGGGTTCACGCCATTCTCCTGCTTCAGCCTCCCGAGTAGCTGGGACTACAGGCGCCTGCCACCAGGCCCAGCTAATTTTTTGTATTTTTAGTAGAGACGGGGTTTCACCATGTTAGCCAGGATGGTCCCGATCTCCTGACCTCATGATCTGCCCGCCTCAGCCTCCCAAAGTGCTGGGATTACAGGCGTGAGCCACCGTGCCTGGCCAAAAGTGTTTATCTTTAAAGAAAACTTGAAGATATTACAAGGGAGTTTATTTATAATATGTTTATTTATAATTTTAAAATTAACTAAGTCACATTGTAGTAAAACGATAGAATATGAAAAAGAATATCTTAAAAGTACAGAATCAAACAGTTTATCCACAGGGTAACAACGACTGGCCAGGGAGCAGATGGCAAGCCACAATAAGAGCAGCCAGGAATCAATGAAGTAACATGTTCAAATTATGGAAAGTAATTATGGACTTCAACTTTGGAATCTAAGACCAGCTACACTGCCGTCCAAGAGTAAAGTTAAAAGAAAAACGTTTTTCAGATAAACAAAGACAATGTCATTACTGACACTACTTCATTGGAGTAATTACTATCAGGTGTCCTCCTGGAAGGAGAAACTGAATTCAGAAGAATGGGATACAAAAATTGGAGTCAGCATAATTGAAACTCTGAAAATACTTTTAAATACAAACTCTTTTCAGGTTATTTTTAACATACACTCAAGGGATAATTCCAATTCCACTGTTAATCCTCTAAGCATTTATTCTAGTTTCACATGTCATCAAATCTAAGATGGTATTCAATTGTAAGACATGCCCAATTTTAAATAAAAAAGTTAAAATGTGAAACTAATGTGCATCTTAGAATGAATGGAATATGGTGCTAAGTTTCTTTGTATGCATAAGGATAAAGATACAGAAAATATATAAAGTAGCAGAGACGGCTAATGATCTATCACAATGTCAGGCACTCTAATGTTTGAAAAACATTAATTGGGATAAAGGGCCTACATGGGGGGTTTCTGCCAGAATCAACATTGATATTTTTATAAATTATCTCAAAGGCAGGAAACTTTCTAAGTTTGCAGATGCTCCTAAGCTTATTTAAATAGCAAAGACTACTAGAAGTGACCTACAGGGACATGTTGCTGAAATATAAGAATTAGGGGGAGGCCGGGTGCAGTGGCTCCCACCTGTAATCCCAGCACTTTGGGAGGCTAAGGCAGGTGGATCACCTGAGGTCAGGAGTTCGAGGCCTGGCCAACATGCTGAGACCCTAGCTCTACTAAAAATACAAAAATTCACTGAGCGTGGTGGTGGGTGCCTGTAATCCCAGCTACTCAGGAGGCTGAGGCAGGAGAATTACTTGAACCCAGGACGCGGAGGTTGCAGTGAGCTGTGATCGTGCCGTTACACTCCAGCCTGGGCCACAAGAGCAGAATTCCGTCTCAAAAAAAAAAAAAAGAGTCAGAGGTCAGCCGATGAGCATAGGTATGAGTGCAGGCCGTGCAGGCAGCGCCAGCCTGTCCTCGTGGCCACCTTCTAATGCACTAGCATGAGCAGTCAGCGAGGCTGCACTCGAGTAAAGTAGCCTGAGGAGTTTCCCAGGGCAGCTGGTCCAAACTGTCTTCCTCTTCAGGACAATTCTTGGACAAAATGTCCACCACTGGTGATTCACATTTATTAAAGACTTGCACATTTATTAAAAATATCTGATGGAGAGGAAGGAACATTGAACATGATATGCCAAAGCTTCAGTCCTCTACTGGAGCCACCACGGTAAATCCAACCCTGACCTAAAGGGGCTCTGCTCTTTGCCCAAAGTGCATGTTCTGAGACTGTATGTGCTCATGCACATTGCCGCCCAGTCAGTCCCCAGTGCTGAACTCCAAACGAGGAACACACTGGTGAGAGAGAATTCAATGGAAGTCCTACCTTGTGAAACCAGGCTGGGGTCACCCTAAATCTATGGTCTAAGAGAGCCCTATGTAAATTACAGACATTAAACAGAAAGAACTATAACCCCTCCTACCAATTCTTAGTTCATATTGCTGTCACAAGGATTCTAAGAAGTCCTGTAGAATCTGATTAAACTTGCAGTTTTCCAACATGTTTGTTTTTCCGTAAAATTTATAAATAGCGAGTTCCATACAGACTTTTAGGCTCTAATCCTTCTCTTATAGACTTGTAGGAAGATAATAAATTACTGGTGTCCAGAAACACCTTGGCAGTTCATTCTAATTAATCAAACAGAGTTTTAACACAAGGAAAACTATACCTCTCCCTTCTTCAGCCCAAAATTCCATTGCCCATCTAATCTAGGGCTTATACTGATGAATAGTGAGGTGCTAAAAAATCAAATACAGACCATTCATAAACCCTTTTCTTCTTCTGAAAAGGAGAATGAAGTGACTCCTGACATGAGGCCACTACACCAATTACCAAGAAAAATGTTCCTATCACAAAATCAGGAACCAAATTGCGTTGGAACTTTTTCATAATTTAAGTGATTAAATAGTTTGCATAAATTTCCAAAGTAATTCCTTCCTTCATAAATGACCTTTTGTTATATATGAGCCACTTAATATGTCAGGGAAATATTTTTTCATTATAAACCCTGAACTGGCTAGGAATAAATTGCTATGTGTAGATGACGTCCAAGTTTGAATCTATATAATAGTTAACAGTTGAATTTCTGTCCCACACCATCCACCCTCCTTATCTCATCCCTTCACATGTAGCCCAAAATAAATTTGCACTAGTTTTTACATTTATTATAACCTAGAACAACAATGTTTCTTTGCAATTTGATAAAGTGTCTTGGTCTGTTTTGTGTTGCTGTAACAATATCATGAAGGGAGTAATTTATAAAGAAATTTATTTCTCACAGTTCTGGAGGCTGGGAAGTCCAATTTCAAAGTGCTGGCATCTGGCAATGGGGCTTCTTGCTACAACATCCCATGATGGAAGACAGAAGGGCTAGAGAGTACTCGAGAGAGAGCAAGAGGGGACCAAACTCACTTTTTTAACACATCCACTCTTGAGATAATTTATCTCCCCCTCTCACAATACTCACTCCTACAATAACAATATTAATCATTATTAGCTAATCACCTCCTATTAGGCCCACTTCCCAGTACTGTTGCATTAGGAATTAAGATCCCAACATATGAACTTTGGGGGACACATTTAAACCATAGCACCAAGGAATACATTTGTCCTAATTTATATTTTATAGAAAGTCAGGTTATCATGAAAGATTCTCCCAAGTAGCTGGGACTACAGGTGTGCACCACCACACGAGGCTGATTTTTGTATTTTTAGTAGGAGACAGTGTTTCTTCATGTTGGCCAGGCTGGTCTTGAACTCCTGACCACGAGTGATCCACCTGTCTCGGCCTCCCAAAGTGTTGGTATTACAGGCATGAGCCATCATGCCCAGCCTGAGCTACTAATTTCACATTTAAGAAATTATACTAAAAAACAGTGATCATTAACAAAAATAGAAACCCAAAGATGTTCATTATAATGTTATTTATAGGGCTTGCAATATTATCAACAAAGTTAACTGCCCAGCAATACATCATTGCTTATACATAAAATGGAATATTATATAATTAGTATGTTTTTTCAAAATAATCATATTAAAAATAAGATATACAGTGGAAAGAAGACATTGCATAAAGTTGTACTAATTGCATTATCCAACTGTTGAAAGAACTGTTAAGTTCTATTCTATGATCCCCATATTTTACATCCTGTATTGCCACAAATATGATCTGATTATTTTCATGCTGAGTTGTTCTCTAAAACATTCTCATCTTACATATAACCTGCTTTACTAAGAATTACAGGTGGAGATTGTGAACACAAAGATAGAATAGAAATTACTCAATTTGAAAAACAAAGGTAAAATAAACTGAAAAAAAAGTCAGAGACTTATGGGACTACAAAAAAAAATCTAATAATCATATAATTGGAGTCCTAGATAAAAGAAGAAGGTGGAGTTGAAAAAGTACATGAATAATGACCAACACTTCACAAATTTGATAAAAGACACAGATCTATAGATTAAAGAAATGAACAAACCCCAAACAAGATAAATCCAAAGAAATCTCCACCACGACACATCATAGTCAAATTTCTAAAAATTAAGGACCACACAAACACCTTAAAAACAGAGAAAGAAAAATGACACATTACCTATACTGCAAAAACAATTCAAATGACAAAGTATTATTCATTGGAAACCACAGAGTTCAGAATGAAGAAAAACAACCTTTTCAAATGCTGAAAAAAAGATCACCTCAGAATCCTATATACAGTGAAATATATTGGTCAAAAATGAAAGAAAAATGAAGAAATTCTCAGACTGAGGCAACTAAAAGATTGTGTTGCCACCACATCTACCTTCAGAAGAATAGCTAAAGTTCAATAGATTGAAAGGAAACATTAAAAGAAGGAAGAGTGGAGAGAAAGGAGGGAAAAATATGGCAAGTAAAAATATGGGTAAATATAATGGAACTTTTTTTCTCTTGTTGAGTATTCTAAATTATGTTTGTTGGTTGAAGGAAAAAGTATAAAACTGTCTGAGATGGTTTTAATGTATGTGGAGAAAATAGTAAAGGTAACTACAGGAGAGGATAAAGGGAGGTAAAGTTTCTATGCTGCATGCAAACTGGTAAAATAACATTAGTAGACAGGAATAAGCTATTCATAAATAATATAATACCTAGAAAAACGACTAATATTCAAACAATAGAGTATTACTCATTGGAATAATTTATATATACACAAAGAGTTCCACTGAGACACACTATGAATAAATCAAATGGAATTCTTAAAAATGTTCAAATAGCCTATAGGAAAGCAGGTAAAATATAAAAAAGATAAACAAAATACAGAAATAAAATGGCACACATAAGCCCCTAACATACCAATAATTACATTAAATGTAAATACTCTAAGTACAGTAATTTATTTATTTTTATTTTTCAAATTTAATTTTATATTTTAAGTTTCGGGATACATGTGCAGGTTTGTTACACAGGTAAACATGTGCCATGGTGGTTTGCTGCACCTATCAACCCATCACCTAGGTATTAATCCCAGCATGCATTTGCTATTTTTCCTGATGCTCTCCCACTGCCAGGACCCCACCCGACAGGCCCTGGTGTGTGTTGTTCCCTGCTTTACCCCATGTCCATGTGTTCTCATTGTTCAGCTCCCACTTATGAGAATATGCAGTGTTTGCTTTTCTGTTCCTGCATTAGTTTGCTGAGAATAATGGCTTCCAGCTTCATCCATGTACCTGTAGAGGACATGATCTCATTTCTTTTTATGGCTCTGTAGTATTCCATGGTGTATATGTACCACATTTCTTTAGTCTATCATTGATGAGAATTTGGGTTGATTCCATGTCTTTGCTATTGTGAATAGTGCTACAATGAACATACACATGCATGTATCTTTGTAATAGAATGATTTATATTCCTTTGGATATATACCCAGTAATGGGACGGCTGAGTCAAATGGTATTTCTGGTTCTAGGTCTTTGAGGAATTGCCACACTGTCTTCCACAATGGTTGAACTAATTTACATTCCCACCAACAGAATACAAGCATTCCTATTTCTCCACAGCCCTGCCAGCATCTGTTGTTTCTTGACTTTTTAATAATCGCCATTCTGACTGGCATGAGTTGGTATCTCATTGTGGTTTTGACTTGCATTTCTCTAATGATTCGTGATGTGGAGCTTTTTTTTCATATGTTTGTTGCCCACATAAATGTCTTCTTTTGAGAAGTGTCTGTTCTTGCCTTTCGCCCATTTTTTTAATGGGGTTGTGTTTTTCTTGTAAATTTGTTTAGTTCATTGTAGATTCTGGATATTAGACCTTTGTCAGATGGACAGATTGTAAAAATTTTCTCACATTCTATAGGTTGTCTGTTCACTGTGATGACAGTTTCTTTTGCTGTGCAGAAGCTCTTTAGTTAGATCCCATTTGTTAATTTTTGTTTTTGTTGCAATTGATTTTGACGTTTTCAACATGAAATCTTTGCCCATGCCTACGTCCTGAATGATAGTGCCTACATTTTCTTCTAGGTTTTTATATTTTAGGGTTTTACATTTAAGTCTTTAATCCACCCTGAGTTAATATTTGTATATGGTGTAAGGAAGGGATCCAGTTTCAATTTTCTGCATATGGCTAGCCAGTTCTCCTAGCACCATTTATTAAATAGGAAATCCTTTCCCCATTGCTTGTTTTTGTCAGGTATGTAGAAGATCAGATGGTTTTAGATGTGTGGTCTTATTTCTGAATTCTCTATTCTGTTCCATTGGTCTATGTGTCTGTTTTTGTGCCAGTACCATCCTATTTTGGTTACTGTAGCACTGTAGTATAGTTTGAAGTTGGGTAGAGTGATGCTGCTCCAGCTTTGTTCTTTTTTGCTTGGAATTGCCTTGGCTGTAAGGGCCCTTTTTTGGTTCAATATGAATTTTAAAGTAGTTTTTTTTTTCTAATTTTGTGAAGAATGTCAATGGTAATTTAATGGGAATAGCATTAAATCTGTCTACTTTGGGCAGTATGGCCATTTTCATGATATTGATTTTTCCTATCCATGAGCATAGAATGCTTTTCCATTTGTTTGTATCCTCTCTGATTTCCTTGAGCAGTGGTTTGTAGTTCTCCTTGAAGAGGTCCTTCACTTCCCTTGTTAGCTGTATTCCTAGGTATTTTATTTGCTTTGTAGCAATTGTGAATGGGAGTTCATTCATGATTTGGCTCTCTGTCTGTTGTTATATAGAAATGTTTGTGACTCTTGCATATTGATTTCCTGTCCTGAGATTTTGCTGAAGTTTCTTATCAGCTTAAGGAGATTTGAAGCTGAGACAACGGGGTTTTCTAGATATAGGATCATATCATCTGCAAACAGAGACAATTTGACTTCCTCTCTTCCTATTTGAATACCCTCTACTTCTTTCTCTTGCCTGATTTCCCTGGCCAGAATTTCCAATACTATGTTGAATGGGAGTGGTGGGAGAGGGCATTCTTGTCTTGTGCTGGTTTTCATGGGGAATGTTTCCAGCTTTTGCCCATTCAGTATGATATTGGCTGTGGGTCTGCCATAAATGGCTCTTATTATTTTGAGGTATGTCCCATCAATACCTAGTTTATTGAGAGTTTTTAACATGAAGGGATGTTTAATTTTATCAAAGTCCTTTTCTGCATTTATCGAGATAATGAAGTGGCTTTTGTCTTTAGTTCTGTGTATGTGACGAACTACATTTATTGATTTTCCTATGTTGAACCAACCTTGCATCCCAGGGATGAATCTGACTTGATCATGGTGGATAAGCTTTGTGATGTGCTGCTGGATTTGGTTTGCCAGTATTTTATTGAGGGTTTTTGCATCGAAGTTCATCAGGGATATTGGCCTGAAGTTTTCTTTTTTTGTTGTATCTCTGACAGGTTTTGGTATCAGGATGATGCTGGCCTCATGAAATGAGTTAGGGTGGAGTCCCTCCTTTTTAATTGTTTGGAATAGTTTCAGAAGAAATGGTACCAGGTCCTCTTTGTACCTCTGGTAGAATTAAGCTATAAATCCATCTGGTCCTGGGCTTTTTTTTTTTTTTTTTGGTTGGTAGGCTTTTATTACTGCCTCAATTTCAGAACTTGTCATTGGTCTATTCAGGGATTTGACTGTATCCAGGTTCAGTCTTGGGAGGGTGTATGTGTTCAGGAATGTAACCATTTCTTCTAGGTTTTCTAGTTTTAAATAAAGTAATTTAATACAGGTTGGCAGAGACTAGAAAAACAGGTCCCAATAGTCTTTAAAAGACATGATGCTGAAATAACTCACATCCACATACGAAAAAATAAATGTAGATACAACCTTACATCCTTCACAAAAATTAACTCAAAATGGATCACAGACCTAAATGTAAAATGCAAAACTATAAAACTAGAAGATAACACAAGAGAAAACCTACATGACTTTGGTATGGTGATGACTTTTTAGAAGTAACACCAAAGGATGATCTACGAAAGAAAGAATTGATAGACTGGACTTCATTAAAATTAAAAACTTCTCCTCTGCAAAAGAAAATTTCAAGATAATGAGAAGCCAAGTCACAGAATGGGAGAAAGTAATTGAAAGAGACAAATCAGATAAAGGACTGTTATACAAAAACATCAAACAGTGCTTAAAATTCAACAAAAAGAAAACAAGCAACCCAATTTAAAAATAGGCCAAAGACCTTGCTATAGTTTGTCTGATCCCTCCAAATCTCATATGGAAAATTGATCCCCAACACTGGAGGTGGCACCTAAGGGGAAGTGTTTGGGTCACGGGGCAAATCCCTCATGAATGGCTTGGTACTATCCTCCTGGTAATGAGTTACCACTGTTTTAGTTCCCATAAGAGCCGTGAGTGCTAGTTGTTAAAAAGAGCCTGTCACCTCTTTCTCTTTCTCTCTTGCTTCCTCTCTTATCATGTGATCTCTACACATGCTCCTCCTCCTTCACCTTCTGCTATGAGTAGAAGCAGACTGAAGCCCTCATCAGAAGCAGATGATGGTGCCATACTTCCACAGCCTGTAGAACTGTAAGCCAAATAAAACTCATTGCTTTATAAATTACCCAGCCTCAGGTATTCCTTTATAGGAACACTAAATGAACTAAGACAGATCTTAACTGATACTTCACCAAAGAAGACATACAGATCAACATATGAAAATATGTTCCACATCATATGTCATCAGGGAAATGCAGAGTAAAACAACAATGAGATACCACTACACATTTATTGAAATGGCCACAATCCAGAACACTGGCAACACCAAATGCTGGCAAGGACAAACAGAAACAGGAATTCTCATTTATTGCTGGTGAGAACAGAAAATGGTACAGGCACTTGGAATGACAGTCTAGGATTTTCTTACAAAACTAAACATACTCTTATCATTTAATCCAGCAATTGCCCTCTTTGGTATTTACCCAAAGGATTTGAAAACATATGTCCACACAATACCTATACACAGATGTTTATAGAAGCTTTATTCATAATTGCCCAAAACTGGAAGCAACCAAAATGTCATTCAGTAGGTAAATGGGTAATCTGTGGTACATCTGGACAATGGATTATTATTCAACACTAAAAAAAAAAAGAGCTATCAAGCCATAAAAAGACATGGAGGAACTTTAAATGCATATTACTATGTGAAAGAAGTCAAATCTGAAAAGGCTACATTCTGTATGCTCCCAACTGTGGGACCATACATTCCCAGAGCTGACATTCTGGAAAAGGTAAAATTATAGATACTATAAAAAGACCAAGGGTTTTCAAGAGTTGGGTGGAGCAAGGGATGACTAGGTGGAGCAGAGAAGACTTGGGGGGCAGTGAAACTATTCTGAATGATATTATAATGGTAGATACAGGTCATTATACATTTACCCTAACCTACAGAATGTACAACACCAAGAACAAACACTAATGTAAACTATGAATTTTGGGTGACAATGATGTGTCAGTGTAGGTTTGTCAATCGTAACAATGTACCACTCTGGTCAGGGATGTTAATAATGAGAGAGATTATGCATGTGGGGTGACACAGGATATGTGGGAAATCTTTGTACTTTTGTTCAATTTTGTTGTAAACCTAAAACTGCTCTAAAAATAAAATCTACTAAAAACAGCAACAAAAAAGCATGACCAAACTATAAGCTGTCTACAAGAAACTTATATCAAATAAAACAATACACACGATTTGAAAATAAAACAATAGAACAAAATACAGCATGTAAACCTTAATCTAAATAAATCTGTTGTGGCCTGATATAATATCAAATAAAGCATTCAGAGCAAAGAAAATTACCATAGATAGGGAGAGACAATATCTGACGATAAACAGGCCAATCTGCCAAGAAAACACAGCAATCTTAATTGTGTGTCATCAAACTTCAAAACACATAGATGACAAAACTTACAAAATTGAAAGGAGAAACAGAAGCATCCACAATTATAGCTGGAGATGTTTATACTTTGTCTCTCCACAATTTAAAAGAGAAAGAGACAGAAAATCAGCAAGGATACAGACAAACTTAACAATATCAACCAACAAGATATAACTAAAATTTACACAACACCCCAATGAACAAAAGCAGAAAATACTCTTTTCACGTGGCCATGGAGTACATACCAAAATGTGCCATACTCTGGACCATAAAACTCAAAAATGTAGAATAACTGAAATAACACAAAGTATAATTTGGAATCAAATTAACAATGGAAGAATAATAGGAAAATATCCAAAGGCTAAAATATTGAAAAAACACACATTCTAAGTAATCTGTAGGTCAAAAAGAAAGAATCAAGATAATTTTTAAAAATATATTTTGAATATGAAAATACAACATATTAAAATTTGTGAGATAGAAAGCAAGCAATGCTGAAGGAAATTTACAATAATAAATGCATATATGAGAAAAAAGGAAAAGACTCAAAAAATAATATAAGCTCCTATCTGAAGAACCTACAAAAAGAGAAAAAAAAATTTCCCAGAGAGCAAGAAGGATGAAGGAAAAAATAGAGGTAAGAGCAGAAATCAATGACATTGAAAGCAAGCAATAGAGAAAATCAATGATACAAAGAGCTGGTTCTCTAAAAAGAACAGTAACATTGAAAAACCTTTAGCGAGACTAATAAAGAAAAAAGAGAGAAGATTCAAATAAGCAGCATGAGGACTAAAATAGAGGATATGAATGCAGATCCTGCAGATATCAAAGGATAATAAGAAAGTACTATGAAGAATTTTACACTCATAAATTGGACGATTTAGACGAAATGAATAAATCCCTCAAAAAAGACAAATGATTACAACTCACCTAATACAAAATAAATAATTTTAAAAGTCCTATAACATTAAAGATGCTGAAATTGTAATTTTAAAACTCTTAAAAATAAAGTCTCTAAGCCCAGACGATTTCACTGTATCAAATGTTTAAAGAATAATTTTAACACCAATTCTACACCATTGCTTCCACAATTTGAAAGAGGAAACACTTCTCAATTCATTTATTAAGCCAGTATTACCCTGCTTACAGAAACAAAGAAAGTATAAAAAAGAAAATATAGATGAATATCTCTCATAGACACAAAAATCCATAATAAGTGTTAGCACATTGAATTCAGCAATATATACAAAAAAATTATGTTCCATGACCAAACCAGGGTTTATTCCAGGGATTTAAGGCTGGTTTAATATTTGAAAATCAATCAATATAAAACTTAAATAGAAAAGGCAAAAGAAGAAAAACTACACAAAAAAATTCATATCAAATAATGTGATTCTGGCCAGCCGCGGTGGCACATGCCTGTAATCCTAGCACTTTGGGAGGCCGAGGTGGGTGGATCACCTGAGGTCAGGAGTTCAAGACTAGGCTGGCCGACATGGTGAAACCTCATCTCTAATGAAACTACAAAAAATTAGCTGGGCGTGGTGGCGGATGCCTGTAATCCCAACTACTCGGGAGCCTGAGAATCACTTGAACCCAGGAGGCGGAGGTTGCAGTGAGCCGAGATCATGCCACTGCACTCCAGCCTGGGCAACAAGAGGGAGACTCTGTCTCAAAAATAATAATAATAATAATAATAATAATATTAATAATGTGATTCATATCAAGAGCCGCAGAAAAAACCATCTGACGAAATTCAAGACCTATTCATTATAAAACTCAAAAAAGTCGGAATAAAGGCAAACTTCCTCAACTTGATAAACAGCATTTACAAAACAGTTATAGCTACAGTTATATTTAGTAGTAAAATAATCAATAATTTCTTCTTAAAATAGGAAACAAGGCAAAGACGTTTGCTCTCTCTACTTTTATTCTATTTTCTTGAACTTATTGCACTGGCTAAAACTTCTAACACTATGTTATGTTATGTTATACTGTTAGAAGTTTTAGCCAGTGCAGTAAGTTCAAGAAAAGGCAATGAAACACATACAGATGGAAAGGAAAGAAATAACACTGGCTGTTTGCAGAAGACATAATTGTCTGCATAGAAAATCCCAAAGAATCCACAAAAACAAAACAAAAACAGAATAAGTGAGTTTAGCAAAGCTGCAGGATACAAAATTAACATACCAAAAATCAACTTGATTTATATACACCAGCAATGAGCATATGGACATCAAAATTAAATATACATTAACATTTACAATTTTTAACAATAAGAAGGAAGGAAAGAAGGAAGGGAGAAAATGGGAACAGGAAGAAGGAGGACAATGAAGGAAGGGAGAAAATGGGAACAGGAAGAAGGAAAACAATGAAGGAAGACCAATGTATTAGTCCCTTTTGCATTGGTAAAAAGGAATACCTGAGACTGGGTAATTTATAAAGGAAAGAGATTTATTTGGTTTCTGGTTCTGCAGGTTGCCCAAGAAGCATGGTGCCAGCATCTGCTTCTGGTGAAGCCTCAGGAAGCTTAAAATCATTGTGGAAGGCAAAAGGGGAGCAGGTGTGTCATATGGCAAGAGAGGGAGCAAGATAGAGGGCAAGTGGTGCTAGCCTCTTTTAAACACCCAGTTCTTGCATGAACTTATTACAGTGGGGAGAGCAGCAAGCCATTCATGAGGGATCCATCCCCACGACCCAAACACCTTCCACCAGCCCCTGCCTCCAATATTGAGGATCACATTTCAACATGAGATTTAGAAGGAACAAATACCCAAACCATATCATTCTGCACTTGGTCCCCTAAATCTCTTGTCCTTCTCCTATTACAAAATATAATCATCCCTTCCAAATAGTCCCCAAATGTCTTAACTTATTCCAGCATTAACTCAATCAAAAGTCCAAAGTTTCATCTAAGGCTCAAGGCAAATTTCTTTGACCTATGAGCCTGTTAGATCACAAACAAGTTATTTGCTTTCAAGAAACAATGGTGGTACAGGCATTTGGTAAACATTCCCATTCCTAAAGGGAGAAATCAGCCAAAAGAAAGGGGCAATAGGCCACACACAAGTCTGAAACCCAGCAGGGCCAACATTAAACCTTCAAGCTCCAATATAACCTCCTTTGACTCCATGTCCCGCATCCTGGGTACACTGTTGTGAGAGGTGAGCTCCCAAGGCCTTGGAAAGCTCTGACCCTGTGGCTTTGGAGAGTGTGCCCTCTCTGTGGCTGCTCACACAAGTTGGAGTTGACTGCCTGCAGCTTTGCTGGGCTCAGGGTGCAAGCTGACAGTGGCTCTACCATTCATGGGTCTGGCGGATGGTTGCCCCCTTCCTACAGCTCCAGTAGGCAGTGACCTGGTGGGGACTCCATGTGAGGGCTCCAACCCCATCTTTCCCCTCAGCACTACCCTATTAGACGCCCTCCATGGTAGCTCCACCCCTGCAATAGGCTTCCACCTGGGCACCCAGTGTTTTCCATACATCCTCTGAAAGCTAGGTAAAAGCTGCCAAGCTTCCTTCAATTTTGCATTCTGTGCACCTGCAGACTTAGTACCACATGGTACCACCAAAGCTTACGGCTTATGTTCTCTGAAGCAGTGTCTCAAGCTGTACCTGGAGCCCTCTGTGCCATGACTGGAGCCAGAGCTTCCAGGATCACGGATGCAGTGTCCTAAGGCTGTGCAGGGCAGCAGTGCCTCAGCTCTGGCCTCAGAAACCAGTCTTTCCTCCCAGGCCTCTGGACCTGTGATGGGAACTTCTGTCCCAAAGATTTCTGAGACCCCTTCAAGGCCTTTTCCCCATTGTCTTGGCTATTAGTGCTTGCCTCCCTTTTAGTCATGCAAATCTCTTTTGGGAGAAGTTGCTCCACTAGTGCTTGTAGTCCTCTCCTGACACAATCTGCTTATTGTCCTCTCCTGAAAATGCTTTTTCTTTCACACAGCCAGGCTGCAAATTTTCTAACTTTTACACTCTGCTCCCCTTTTAAATGTAACTTCAAACTCTGAGTCATTTCTTCGCTCCTGCATCTGACAGTAGGCTGTTAGAAGCAGCCATGTCACCTCTTAAATGCTTTGCTGCTTAGAAATGTCCTTTGCCAGATGCCCTAGGTTATCACTCTTAAGTTCAACTTTCCATAAATCCCTAGAACATGAATACAATGCAGCCTAGTTATCTGCTAGGGTGTAACAGGAGTGCCCTTACTCGTTTTTAATAAATTCCTCATTTCTATCTGAGACTTCATCAGCCTGGTTTTCACTGTCCATATTGCCATCAGCATTCTGGTCACAACCATTTAACCAGTCTCTAAGAAGTTCCAAACTTTCCCTAATCTTCCTGTCTTCTAAGTCCTCCAAACTCTTCCAACCTCTGCCCATACCCAGTTCCAAAATTAATTCCACATTTTCAAGTATCTTTTATAGCAACACCCCACTCCTCAGTACCAATTTACTGTTAGTCCATTTTGTGCTGCTATAAAGGAATACCTGAGACTGACTTATTGAGAAAAAAAAAAAAGAGGCTTATTTGGCTCACAGTTCTGCAGGCTGTACGAGAAGCATAGTGCCAGCATCTGTTTCTGGTGAAGCCTCAGGAAGCTTATAATCATGGTGGAAGGTGAAGGGGAGCAGGTGTGTCACGTGGTGAAAGAGGGAGCAAGAGAGAGAGGAGGAGGTGCCAGGCTCTTTTGAACAACCAGCTCTTGTATAAACTCATTATACTGGGGAGGGTAGCAAGCCATTCATGAGGGATCTGCTCCAATCATCCAAACACCTCCCACCAGGCCCCACCTCCAATACTGGGGATCACATTTCAACATGAGATCTGGAGGGGACAATCCATATCAAATGGCTTAGGTGTAAATCTAACGAAGTGTGTACTTGACTTGTATATTGAAAATTACAAACACCAATGACAGGAATCAAAGAAGAAATAAACAGACATATTCACAAACTGAAATAATATAATAAATATGCTAACATTCCTCAAATTGGTATCGAGGTTTAATGTAATCATATCAAAATCCCTGTAATATATTTGTTGATATACATACGATAGTTCTAAAATGTATATGGAAAGACAAAAGGAAAAGAGTAGCTGAAACAACTTTGAAAGAGAAGGAATATAAGCAATCATCCCACCAGATTTGAAGATTTACAGTGATCTAGGCTGTGTGGTATTAGTTGAGGGATTAATACATAGATAAATGAAACAGAATAAAGACTCTAGAAATAGACCTCCTGAAGTGGAGCCTAATAATTATGACAGATGTGCAAAAGCAATTCAATGGATAATAAAGGGCAATCTTTTCAACAAATGGGGCTGCAGCAATTGGACATCGATATAAAAAAAGGAACTAGGCCAGGCACGGTGGCTCATGCCTGTAATCCCAGCACTTTGGGAGGCTGAGATGGGCGGATCATGAAGTCAGGAGATCAAGACCATCCTGGCTAACACGGTGAAACCCTATCTCTACTAAAAATACAACAAAATTAGCTGGGCATGGTAGTGGGTGCCTGTAGTCCCAGCTACTCGGGAGGCTGAGGCAGGAGAATGGCGTGAATCCGCGAGGCAGAGTTTGCAGTGAGCCAAGATCGTGCCACTGCACTCCAGCCTGGGCGACAGAGCAAGACTCCGTCTCAAAAAAAAAAAAAAAAAAAAAAAAAAAAAAAAGGAACTAAACCTCACATGTTCACACACACAAAAAAAACTCAAAATAGATTGCAGACTTAAATGTAAATGTTAAACTATAAACCTTTTTAAGAAAACATAGGAAAAAATCTTCAGGGTCCTGGGCTTAGTGAAATGTTCTTGGACATGACACTAAAAACATGAGCTGTAAAAGAAAAATAAAATTAGACTGTATGAAAATTAAAAACTTTTTTTTTGCTGGAAAATACCTTGTTAAGAGTATTGGAAACCACTCTTACATTTAGAGTCCACATATCTGACAAAGTACTTTTATCTCTGGAATATATAAAGAACTCTCAAAATTCAACATTTAAAAAATCCAATTAAATAGTGAGCAAAATAATCCATAGTGACAAATCAGATTAGTGGTTGCCTGGAGGTTAGAGGAAGCTGAGGTGTAAGGGAGGAACTGCAGAGGGGCAAAAAACAAAACAAAACAAAACGCAGCCTATTACAAATGATGGAAATGTTCTTTATATTGTCGGAATGGTTTCATGAGTGTACAAACTTGTCTCAACCTATCAACCTGTATACTTAAACTATATAGTTTTTGTATGTCAATTACAGCTTCAATAAAGCTGGCTTATTTTTTAAAAAGGTTTATAATTCTTCTAAATAGACATCTATTAAGAAGCCACAATAAATGCTTCATCAATTGAGATAAATCTAGTGGGCGGGGGGAAAATCAGATAAAAAATAATTATAAAAATAGCATATGTAGTACTTTCAAGTTAAGTGCCCAGAGTGCGTTTCAAGTTCTGGTGTTTCGCTGATTTTCAAAATCTATGTTTGCTAACACAATATTCACAACAGACAATTCAGGAAGCTTTGTTTTAAAAAAAAAGCAACCTAGATCTCTTTTCACACTGAACAATTCAAGATATAAGAAGGTTTGGACACAAGCATTTATACTTAAAAAATGAGCCATAATTAATGTATGATAAAATTATCTTTTTAAAGTACAGAATTCAGTGGAGTTTTCTTAGTTTTTTGTTTTTGTTTTCTGAGATGGGGTTTTGGTCCATCACCCAGGCTGGAGTGCAGTGGTATAATCATAGCTCACTGCAGCCTCGACCTCCTGTGCTCAAGTGATCCTCCTGCCTCAGCCTCCTGAGGAGTTGGGACTACAGCCATTCACTACTGCACCCAGCTAATTTTTAAATTTTTTTGTAGCAATTGGGTCTTGATGGGTTGCCCAGGCTGGTCTCCAACTCCTGGCCTCAAGTGATCCTCCTGCCTCAGCCTCCCAAAATGCTGGGACTACAGGTTTCGGCCATCAGGCCCAGCCTCAGTGGCTTTGACTATTGCACTGAATAAATGTCTACTCATTTAGTATTTCATTGGATAAATATCCTTTGATCTTTCTTAAATTAGGTTGTATTTTTGTTGAGTTGTAAGAGTTTCTTTAACATATGCTGGATACTTGACCCTTAGGAAATATATTATTTCATATATTATCTCACATTCTGTGAGTTGTCTTTTCATTTTCTGTGGAGTGTCCTATAGATGTGTCTATTAGGTCTAATTTAAGCCTAATGGTTATTAACTCTATTTTTAAGTCTAATGTCAGTCAGATTTTAATTATTGCTTTATGTAGTTGTTTTAAAATTATACACAAGAAACAAGGGTATCACAAAAAAGGTGTCCATTAGCTAGCAGACGAAAGCCATTCAAGTCTTCCATTTATTTTTTAACTGTCTAGTGTTTCTATCATTATTGAAAGAGGGGTACCGAAGTCTTCAACTATTTTTGTTGAATTGTCTATTACTCCCCTTTAATTCTGTCTCTTTTTGCTTCATGTATTTGAGGGCCCCATTGATACGTCATATGTATTTATAATTGTGATATATTCCTGACCAGTTTACTTTTTATTACAATGAAATGCTCTTTTTAGTCTGTAGTAACACTTTTTTCTTTTTTTTTTTCCCTGAGATGGAGTCTTGCTCTGCCACCCAGGCTGGAGTGCAGTGGTGCGATCTCGGCTCACTGCAACCTCTGCCTCCTGGGTTCAAGCAATTCTCCTGCCTCAGCCTCCCGAATAGCTGGGATTACAGGCGCCCACCACCATGTAGAGATGTAGTAATGCTTTGAAGTCTATTTTGTCTGATATTGGTATAGCCACTGTAGCTCTAGCTTCACTACTGTTTGCATGGTATTATCTTTTTGCATCTATTTATTTTCAACCTATTTGTGCCTTTGAATCTAAAATGTGTCTCTTGCATATACAGCCAAATTATTAATTTATTCTGTCAATCTCTGTATTTTCATTGGAGTGTCTAATCCACCTACTTTCATGTGCAATCTGATAAAGTAGAATTTACAGCTAACAGGTTGCTCCTTCCTTCCTCAGGGTCTCACTCTGTTACCCAGGCTAGAGTGCAGTGTAATCACAGTTCACTGTAGCCTCAAACTCATGCACTCAAGCAATCCTCCCACCTCAACCTCCTGAGTAGCTAGGACTACAGGTGTGAGTCACCATGCCTACCTAATTTTTCTTTTTTTTGTAGAGATAGGGCCTCACTCTGTAACCCAGGCTAGCCTCCAACGATAGGCCTCAAGCAATCCTCCTGTCTCAGCCTCCCAAAGGGCTTAAAATACAGGTGTGAACCACTGTGCCCAGTTTGCTATTTTCTATATGTCTTAGGTGCTTTTTATGATTTTCTACATGCCTTGTGTGCTTCCCCCAATCCTTCCCTACTGCCTTCTAATTTGTTAAGCAGATGTTCTCCACTGTACCATTTTCATTTCCTTGTCACTTCACTTACTTCTTGTAAAGCTGTTTTTCCCGGGAATTACAATTAACATCTTGACTTCTAACAATCTTGTCTGGATTGATACTAACTTAAAGCAATAGTGTACAAAAACTTTCCCCCTGTATAACTCTGCTTTCTCCTCCTCTGTGTTGTTGTTGCATTAAAAATTACATTTATATACACTGTATGCATATCAACACATACTTATAATTATTGCTTTATGCAGTTGCATCTCAAATCAGAGAGGAGAAAAAAAGAGTTATGAACACAAAATATATTTACAGTGTCTTTTATGTTTACCTAGGTAGTTACTTACTGATATTCTTTATCTCTTTATAGATCCCAATTACCCTCCTTTCATTTCACCTAAAGTACTCTTCAGTATTTTCTTGCAGGGAAAATTTTCCAGCAGTGGATTGTCTCAGCTTCTCTAAAATTGGAAAATGCATTAATTGCTCCTTCATTTTGAAAGATATTTTTACTGGGTATAGAATTCTTAAAGTCTTTTCTTCCAGCACTTTGAAAATATCCTTTTCCACTGCTTTCTATCTTCCATGGTTTCTGTTGAGAAATCAGCTGTTCATCTGATTAAGGCTACTTTGCATGTGATGAGTTGGTTCTCTCCTGCTGCTTTCAAGATTCCCTCTTTGTCTTTCAACAGTTTGATTATGATGTATCTAGGTGTGGATCTTTGGTTTTATCCTTCCTGTAGTTTGTTAAGCTTTACGGATGTGTACATCAATGTTTTTCACCCAATTTGGGAAGCTTTTACTCCCTTTGGCTTCAAGTATTCTTTCTGCCCCTTTCTTTCCTCTTTCCTTCTAGGATAACTCTTTTGCGTATGTTGCTATGATTGTTTTCTCACAGGTTTCTGATGCTTAGTTCATTTTTCCCCATTTTTTTTCTCAGTTATTCAGATGGGATAAACTCAGTTGATCCGTCTTTAAGTTCCTTCTTTCTTCCACCTGTTCGAATCTTTTATTGAAACTCATTAGTTAATATTTCATTTTCATTATTGGAATTTTTAACTCCAGAATCAAATTTTTTATGTCTATGCATCTTTACTGGCATTATTTATTTGGTGAGATATTCTTATACTTTCCTTTAGTGTTTTAGACAGTGTTTACTGCATTGAACATATATAAAATAACTGGTTTAAAGTGTTTTGCTAGTAAACTCAACATCTGGGCTTTCTTAGGACAATTCCTATTGACTCTGTTTTGTTTTTCCCTCTGTATATGCCATCTGCTTTTTAAATTTTCACTGCATGTCTCATACATATATTTTTTGAAAATTGGACATTTTAAATACTACAATGTGGCTGGGCATGGTGGCTCATGCCTGTAATCCCAGTACTTTGGGAGGCCGAGGCAGGCATATCATGAGGTCAAGAGATCGAGACCATCCTGGCCAACATGGTGAAACCCTGTCTCTACTAAAAATACAAAAATTAGCTGGGCGTGGTGGCACATGCCTGTAATCCCAGCTACTTGGGAGGCTGAGGCAGAAGAATGGCTTGAACCCAGGAGGTGGAGGTTGCAGTGAGTGGACATCGCGCCACCGCACTCCAGCCTGGGCGACAGAGTGAGACTCCATCTCAAAAAAAAAAAAAATACTATAATGTGAAAAATCTGGAAAGTATATCCTCCAACCCTAGGTTTGTTGTTGCTGCTATTTGTTTATTCAGTAACTTTTCTCAACTAATTCTGTAAAGTCTGTATCTTTTGTTGTGTATACTCACTAAAGTCTTTCCTTTGTTATATGAGTTGCCAGCTATTTAGGAAACTGAGATTTCCTTCAATGCTTGGCATCCATGAATCCCCAGTGTTGGCAGTGGGCTGCATCTGTGTGCTGGAGCACATCTTCGGCACAGCCAGGCAGCTGACAGCTCTGTCCCCAGTGTTTGCAGTGGGCTGTGTTGTGTGCCGGGGCACACCTTCCACACACAGCCAGGCAGCTGACAGCTCTGCCCCCAGTGTTCGCAGTGGGCTGTGTTGTGTGCTGGGGCACACCTTCCACACACAGCCAGGCAACTGACAGCTCTGTCCCCAGTGTTTGCAGTGGGCTATGTCTGTGTGCTGTGACACACCTTCCACACACAGCCAGGCAGCTGACAGCTCTGCCCCCAGTGTTTGCAGTGGGCTGTGTTGTGTGCTGGGGCACACCTTCCGCACACAGCCAGGCAGCTGACAGCCCTGCTTTAGCCTTCACTTCCTGCCTGTGCACAGTCTCAAGGTCAGTCAGAGGTGAGAGTCTAAGGCCTTCTCAGATTTTTCCTGAGCATGTGCACAGCCTTACATGTGTTTTTTGGAGCTTTTCAAAGAACTTGTGGACATCGAATTCCCCAGCCTTTCCTTTTCATCTTTTTATAGTTTATTATCTTCCTCAGTTGATATCCACTGCCTCAGGCAGCCCCAAGGTTAAGCAATTACTTCTAAATTTTCAACCCAACAACCCAGGGAAAAGGCTTTCTAGACTGGGAAAGCTCTGCATTTGGTCAAGTAAAAATAGTCTTGCAAGTGGGGTCTTCTACTGAACCACCAGACAGACCAAATACTGACAATTCTCCAACAGTGAGACTCTGAGGAGCTTTAACTCTGTTCTCTCCACTTTGGTGACAGAAAGGCTGATGGTTTCATCATGATTGCAGCCTGAATTGCAGATTCAAGGCTACCAGGGAGCTGGAGATGGGAGAAGGAAATAGGGCAGGTTAAAATGTCACAAAAGTCACTGTTCTTACCAAGATTCGGCCTATTTTTATAAAAAATAAATGCTCCCCAGATTGCTGCTAGCTTTTGGTCTCCTCTTAGTTTATTTCTAAAGTTTTGAAAAACTTACTTTTGGCAAATGTTGGCAGTTTCCTTCTTCTTTCTGATTTTATGGAGGAAATAATTTTTGAGGCCATTATTCTGCTATTTTCACATACATACCTCAACACTCATATTTTAAAAGTTCTTCATAGGCTCTGTTGCATATTCATTTTAAGAACCACAATGCACAAGTGGCAACTGCCTCTCTTGGCCATGGCATAATATTAGCATTTTATTCTCAGAAGAGGAAATATGAGGAGGACTCTGTATGATGAGCATAGGTAAAGCAAGAGCACAGATGCATACTGACAACAGAGGTGGGTTAAGAATGCATGACCCCCAGCCCCTCCCTTGTTTTGGTTTCCAGAGCTCTGACTGCCAGGCACATACTGCCCAGGTAGCATACTAGAAAAATTTTCTCTGGGAAATGTGATCCAATGAAGAGAAAAGACCTAATCATATTAAGGTCCCCAAAATACGTTCCCATCCAAATCATGCTATGATGAAGCCCACTTCTCCAACATCACCACCACTACCATACAGACATATGGGAACCCCCTGCCTGCACACACCACACACACACATACACACACACACACACACACACTACACACACACAGCTTCTACCAAAGATCACCTATCATCATGAGAAAGGCTCTAATATGACAAATAGAGACCAAAATAAACAACAGATAAGGGACTTTGAGGATGCAGACAATACAGGAAGTAGAAGAAAAATTCCATAAAAAGCAAAAGCAAGAAGTAGAAGGATCAAGGAGCAGGAAGAAAATGAAGCAGCAGCAGAAGCAGAAGAAAGAAAGAAGAAGGGGAAGGGAAAGGGGCACGGGGAGGAAGAAAGAAGAAGAAGGAGGAAGACGAGGACAACTTCAGTACTATAACAGAGCAACGGCATTGCTTTAAAAATACTAACAAAAATCAGATACTTCCAACAAGAAACATTCAGAGAGCAAAACAAAGCTATTGGGAACTGGAACATTGGAATAAGAAAAGAAACAACAAAATTCTAAGAAAAAGTATTCAACTTATTCCTAGCCACACTATTCATCAAGTGTAAGGGTAAAAATAAGGTCTTCAAAATCCTGCTATGCTCCCTTTCCCAAACTGTAATAAAGGACACCATCCATCAACTGAGAAGATAAACCAGGAAAGAGGATCTGGATCCACAAATGGAGAATGGCAAGGGAAATTCTCTAGTTGATAGCTATTGAAATAATACAAAGTAGCTATTTGGTCTTTGTCCATGGTTCCTGACATAGAGCTTCAAAAACTCTTAGTGACAGAAATCAGAAATTCCTTGTTATGCTAATGAAGTGGCTCATGGAAGAGGTCCCTCAAGTGGTTTCAGGATGGAGGCTGGTTGCCAGAGAAACCAACCAAGTGATTGGAGAACTGGAACTTGAGGCTTAACCTCCAAGAAGGGGAGGGATGCTGAAAATTTAGCTCAATCATGTGGTCAAAAGTTTAATCAATCATGCATACAAAATGAAACTCCATCAATAACTCCAGACGGCAAGGCTTGGGGAAACTACCTGGTTGGTGAACACATCAATGTATGAAGAGGATGGCACTGCTGGTCTCCACAGAGACAGAAGACCCTGTGCTTAGGACTTCCTAGACTTTGTCCTATGTAACTTTTCACCTGGAAGCTCATTTGCATTTTTATAATAAAACAATAATCACAAGGACAATTATGTGTCACATAATGACATTTCAGGGAACTATGGACAGCGTATCTGAAAGTGGTCCCATAGGATTATAATGGCTAAAAAATTCCTATTGCCTAGTGATGTCATAGCTGTCATAACATCACAGTGCAATTACTTTTTTTTTTTAATTTAGTGTAGTCTAAGTGTACAGTGTTTACGAAGTCTACAGTAGCACACAGTAATGTCCCAGGCCGTCACATTTACTCACTACTCACTCACTGACTCACCAGAGCAACTTCCAGTCCTGCAAGCTGCACTCACGGTAACTACCCTGTATATGTATATCATTCTTTTATCTTTTATTCTGTATTTTTACTACACCTTTTCTATGTTTAGATACACAAATACTTACAATTGCATTACAATTGCCTACACTATTCAGTAAAGCACCATGCTGTACAGGTTTATAGCCTAGGAACAATAGGCTCTACCATATAGCCTAAGTGTGTAGTATGCTATAACACCTAGGTCTGTGTAAGTAGACTCTGATGTTTGTACAAGAACGAAATCGCCTAATAATGCATTTCTCAGAACGCATCCTCATCATCAAATGACTATTTAGCACCAAGTTCTGGGAGTTGTTATAGCAAATTAACAAATGTGAGGAAGTTGTAGGAAGCCCCAAATGTGTAGATGGCCAGGCAGAAGTGCAAGGTAGTGTCTGAATCGAACTGGGTCATAGAATACTCAGTTGATGTCAGAAAGCTGTTGACAAAAGGCAATCATAAAAGAAAATATCAGTCTGACAGCTGCAGAACAGAGCTAGGAAACAATCAATTTACATTCAAGCAGGAGGATAAAATGCTTCAAAAGATGTCTCTAACAACATGGAAGACACAGATCCACGTGTCTGAACATGGGGAGAGAAAATTACAGGTCTACTGGAGAGTTTGGGGATAGAATAGTGATCATTACATGAAAAATTCAACAACCGGCCAAAGATAATAGTATTAACTCTAAGGAAAAGGAATATAGCCTATTGCATGGCTCTCAGCTGTGAATCATGAGTTTACAGATTTTAATATAAACATTATATATTAATTTAAACAAAAATGATTATGTAATTTCATTAGGTAAATGTGATAAATGAAGGGAAGTGTGTTAATTATGCGTGGTAGTGGAGGTAGAGAGTGAACAGAGAACTAAGTCCTCACCTTCAGTATTGTGAGGTTCTCCATTGTTCAACAGAACTAAAGCAAAAAGTGGTAATATAAGCATTTTATTTCAAGATATGCACGTAAATCTCAAAGAAACAGCTAAAAGAGTTAGAATTGGTTGTCTATGAGAAATGTAAATGGAAGCAGAGAACAATAATCCTCACAGAATTATCTCAGCTTTTAAACTATGGGCAAGAGTTATATTACCAAAATGTTAATTTTAAAAAGTATCACCAATCATGAGTATTGTGACAATATCACAGGAATTATTATTACTTTAAAGAACAGAATGTAAGAGGTGTGGTAGCTTTCCCAAGCTCACATAATTACTGAGGGTCTCATCTTATTTGTTTTGTTTTGTTGTTTTTTTGGTGTTTTTTGTTGTTGCTGTTGTTTTTTAGATGAAGTCTCACTCTGTCACCCAGGCTGAAGGGCAGTGATGCAATCTCAGCTCACTGCAACCTCCGCCTCCCGGGTTCAAGCAATTCTCCTGCCTCAGCATCCCCAGTAGCTGGGACTACAGGCACCTGCCACCACGCCCGGCTAATCTCTATATTTTTAGTAGAGATGGGGTTTCATCATGTTGGCCAGGCTGGTCTCAAATTCCTTACCTCAAGTGATTCACCCCCCTCGGCCTCCCAAAGGGCTGGAATTGCAGACGTGAGCCACCGTACCTGGCCTTATCTCATTTTTAAATGTTGTTCTTGTGAATTCAAACATTTTGTCTCTCTCTGAATTGTCCTAATAGCCACATATAAATAAGTAAAGTATTTCGGTATTGTGGGAGTGCAAAAGGTTAATTCTGATGGGAAGGGATCTGGAAGTCTCTTTATGGACACCTCCATTTGAACCAGACCTTGAGCAATCTTAGGCTGTTCTTTCCACGCAGGAAACGTGCCTGGATGACTTTCCTTCCTCCTCTTCTGTTGCCACTACCTGGCTTCCTCCCAGGTCCGGGCTGGGTGAGGCTGGCACTTAAGTGAAGGGGTTTCCTGAGCCTCCACTGTTTGGCAGCTGTCTAGTCCCGCTGAGCATGGTGGTTCCACTCCTACAAGCACCATGAATCTGGCCAGCATTGGTATCCAATCAACAACATCGGGAGAATGACAGTACATCCAATGGGCTTGCCACAAGGACTGAGTGAGATAACATGCTTATTGTGAAACAGGGCTGCCATGCATCTCTTGCTCTTGTGATGAATCCAAAGCTCTCCTGGCCCACAATGCTCCTCGGGTAGGCAGCTCTGCATATCAGCCCTTGGTGGGTGTGCTCATCCTGTGGCTACGTGCTCTGTCCTCCTCTCGGACTCTGATGCCTGCTTCAGCAGCCAACAATGCCATCGCACCTCAGTGAAGACACGCCCTCCCGCCGCAGATGGTTTTCCTCAATTAGCCCCCATTACAGCAAGATACAGTTCTGTAACCACTGTTAATATCTGCTTGCTGCAGCTTTTCCCCATCTCCATTTGCCTATCTGCCTATTTACTTATTTTTGTCTGAGAATTTGTGATTTAAGTCTATCTCTTGAAAGTGGCCATAGCTGGAACATTTTCAACTGAAAATGTCCAATTCACAACATGGTGATTACGGATAAGATTGGGTTTCTGTTGTCATAATATGTTGCCTGTTTACCAGACTTTTCTTGTGTTTTCTTAAAGCATTTCTTAGTTTTATTGGATTGTTCAGTTTTCTTTGTTCCATTATTGCCCTTCAAGGTTTGAAAACTTTATATCCTATTTCTATTCTTACAGTGGTTATTTACAAGTTTATGTGAAAGTTATGTGAAAATGCATAATTTATTTTTTCTATATATGCCTTCATAAATCAGTCCATATGCGTGCGTGTGTGCGCGTGCACACACACACACAGGTATGTATATACAGGTATACATATAAATAGATGATATAGATATAGAAAAGTATCTTAGAATGCATTTCTTCTCTGCTTTTTCTACCTCTGAAATACACTACCCTCACTCCTCCAGGACCGTTTGTAGAGTGAATTCTGAAGTTTCAGTTATAGATTGCTGTTGATGTTTCATGGGATGTTTGACAACTGACAATTAGGCTTAATGCCAAATTTTCTGGACTCTAACTGCTTGGATTTATTATATCTCACTTATTCTGCTTAGAGTTTGATTTTGGTTTTGCATAACTGGATTACATTATTCCAGCAATTCTTTCAGATAATTTGTGGGTGGTAAACTTTGAATCCTTGCATACATGAAAACACTTTTTTTTTTTTTTTTTTTTTTTTTTTTTGCTTTTCTACTTGGCGTTTCAGAGATCTTAGGATACTAATCAGTTTCTCATCGGAGCTTGGGCGTTATAGCCCTCTGTAATGTCCTAAATAGCCTTTTTTTCCTTACACCTGATGTACTGGAATTGAAGGATGAAGTGGGTCTGCTGCTTCTAAGTATGTGTTTGTGTTTTCCCTCAAATCTAGAAGCTTTTAGAAAACAAACAAAACAAAAAAAAATCATTTCTCTATATCTGTACTTCCCATTCGCTCAGTTGTCTCTTTCTGAGATATCTGTTAGACTCAAGTTGGAATTTCTTCCAATACCTCCTGTCAGTCTGTGGCTTCTAAATTTAATTTCCCACTGTAATGCTCCTTAGCAAAGGCAGATTCCAGTCTGTGGTGGGAGGTACACACAGTGAGCCCAGGACACCTTATTTTATTTTCTGCCAGGAAATAGAAGAAATGATTAAGGATCACAGTGACCAAAGCAAAACAATGCAGGAGCCAATCTGACAGTTCAAGCATCAGAAAGAATAACTGCAATGGAGTAAAACATATCAAATGCCAAAAAAATCAATAGTTCAAACTGAAAATAAAATCTCACTGGTCACCTATTTCAATTATCTTGGCTACTGCATAATCCATTCATTTAATGAGCAAATAAACAGAAATATCCTGAAAACAAAAAAATACAGCACTTCAGAAGGCCAAGGCGGGCACATCACCTGACGTCAGGAGTTCGAGACCAGCCTGGCCAACACGGTAAAACCCTATCTCTACTAATAATACAAAAATGTGCTGGGCATGGTGGTGTGCACCTGTAGTCTCAGCCACTCGGGAGACTGAGGCATGAGAATTGCTTGAACCCAGGAGGCGGAGGTTGCAGTGAGCCAAGATTATGCCACTGCACTCCAGCCTGGGCAACAGAGTAAGACTCTGTCCCAAAAAGAAAAAAAAAATACAAAGAAGACCTGGGTTCAGGTCCCAAAATGTTCTCTGCCTAGACAGGTACAGTCATTAAGAACACCATTTCACATGATCATCAAAGAGACAAACATCAGTGAAAGTGCTTTAAAAATGTTAAAGTTCTTTAAAGTTATATACATATAGATGATGTTACTTTAGGGCTTTTTTCAAATATACACAGTGATATATGCATCCAAAGTCACACAACCAAAGCCACCTATTAGGAGGCCCTGAATACCAGCCCACTCTAGTTCTGCCCCCACAGCCCTTTCCAGATTTCCCAGATTTAACAATAAAGTAAGGAGGAAACTAATTTTCCTCCAAAAGAGTGGCATTTCTGAAATAAGTACAGCATTCCCAATCCAAACAATGCCACATTATGTATCCTACTCTGTGTTCATTTCCTCTATTTGAGACTAAGTTTCGAGCACTCTAACACTAAGTTTCAAGCACTAATTCAGTACACTTTCCAAGTGACACCTGGAAAAATCCAGGAAGCCAGTGGAAATCCAGGAAGCTGCCTTGTGCTGACACATCAATGACCAGCTGCTTCCCGCTGTTGCAAAACACCCCCGGAAAGGGAAAATTTCCTGTCATGAATATTCCTTTTCAGTTTTTACTTTAATCCAATGCCCATAACTGTCCCTGTCAGAAACAATGAAGGTACCATCTGTACACTGCTGTTTTAATGCATGACTGATGGTTACTGTCAAAGGATTGTCTTGGACCACGGAATTTGCATTAACTGCTTTGTGCATGGAAGAGGATGGAGGGTCCGAACAACCCTGCATGTTTCAGAGGGAAAGGAGGCAAGGAGGTGCACCCTGCAGCCACACATCATCTTCAACAGCATGATAGTCAATCCTAGAGTGCAGGAAGCAGAATTAAAAGCCTACTGCTCCTAGGACCACTAGTCAGTGTAAATCACTCCCTGGCCTAAATCACTAAGACAAAGGCCTCTGATACAGTTTCTGTTTAGTCTGAAGTTGTAAAATGCAAGACCGGTAATATAAAGAACAGGGAAGCCTCCAGGACAGATCTGGAGACATCTTCCTGCTTGAAACATTACAGGCTGTCTGAAATTTACCTGACTTACATGTATATCCTGATTTCTAGTTGTTTATAGGATGTGGCCCTGAAGAGTAACTACAAACACCTGAATGTCTGCAAGTATCAGGATTCTATGGACGTTGTGCATTTTTATCAACATATCTGTTATCCTTTCACTTTTAATCAGGAAATTTTCTTGATCTTTAACCTACAGATATTTTAGGCAAATTTAAAATATTGTCCTAAATGATTCAGTCACAAAGTTGAGGAGTATCAACATTTGATCAAAGGCTTAAAAAGTAGCACTTTTTATTTTTAAAGGAAAACTCTGCAAGAAAGTTTTTAAATGTTGTTTTTAAAAAGAATGTTTTTAAAGCTTTTGGCCAATTGATTTTCAAAACCCGAAATATATTTCAGTGAATATATTAGCTATGGCTATAAAGTTGGGGTTTTCCAAGTTAACACACCAAAATGTTCATTACCTAATTACAGCCTATCCTTAAAATCAGTCAGTGTAGAAGGCTTTTGATTTGCTAAGAAACTTAGGGAAATTTTTTTCTTTTCCTTCAGAGTCAGATAGGCATCCAAACAAAAACAAACAAAAAAACCCATCTCTATCTCAATCATTAGCCAACAACCTTCATCATCAGATCCTGATTTGAGGGACACACTGCCATTCCTAATAAACAAACTGCTAAATGAAATAAGCAGAAGGCCACTGGCTGGAGACTATCTCCCATCTTTGAGTTCCTACTTAACAAAGGCAACCTAATTTATTAAGCAAACAAACCAAAACCTAACTTAGGACTATAACAGCAGAGTTTCAGCTAACCATGAACAGCTAGATTTCAGCCAATCACAGGCAGCCAATTCATCACCCCATGCCAAGTAAGACAAGTGCCTAGTGGTAGCCAATCAGATTATCTAATTTGCTTCTGTGTTCAGCCTATAAAAGCTGGTTGCTCACACTACTGAGTCAAGCTCTCTGAACCTCTTCTGGTCCTGAGTGCTGCTTGATTCATGAATTGTTCTTTGCTCATATAACGTCTGCTAAATTGAATTTGCCTAATGTTTTCTTTGTTAACAAAATCCCTCCTAAAAATAAGAACATCCATACTGAAGATATTTAATTAAAGGCATTTTAATTTCAGTAAAGGTCCAGAGAATTTGATATTTTAATCAATCAAGAAATAGAAACATAAGCAGAATGTTAAAATATGAGTGATGACCTGAAACAGAGCCTGTTAAAAGTACCTGTCTTAGGATGGTGATGGGAAACCTGGGGCCAGGGGCTAGGGCTTCTCATAAGCCCTTCTTTACTACTGACTTTGTAAATAATGTGTGTGATGTCAACATTTTTAAATATTAAAAATTTCCATTACCCATACATTATTTTCATATCATACACACATTAAATAATTAAAATGTCCATTAGGGCACAGGCATAGTGGACAATACAATGTCCAAATGTGATACAGTTAAACAATCATGCATTAATTCCACTAACAACCCTTTCACAACTCTTGAAAAACAAAATAAATTAGTCACCAGTCCAATTTCCATAAAACTGCTTAAAAGTGATACACTTTATACACAAAAATCAATTCTAGGTGGGTTATAAACAAACATGAGAGGTAAAACAGTAACAAAAATTCACTAAAACAACAATGGAAAGCTTCTAAAAAATACAGAAAAATATCTTCATGAACTTGGGGAAGGGAAAGACTTTTAAAATATGACACTGTAAGCACTAAATGTAGAAGAAAGGATTTCTAAACTAGGCCACACTAAAATTAAGAATTTCTGTTCACCAAAAGACACCATTAATCTGTAAGCATGTCATACTTCAATTGAAAGTTTACAAAAGGAGAAAAGAAAGAATGTCAAAAAGTAAAACAATAAGCCAAAGAGTCTAAGATACCTGCAAAACATATAACTGCAATGGTTTTGTTTTTTGGTTTTTTTTTTTGATACAGAGTCTCGCTCTGTCACCCAGGCTGGAGTGCAGCGGCATGATCTCAGCTCACTGCAAGCTCCGCCTCCCGGGTTCACGCCATTCTCCTGCCTCAGCCTCCTGAGCAGCTGGGACTACAGGCGCCTGCTACCACGCCCGGCTAATTTTTTGTATTTTTAGTAGAGACAGGGTTTCACTGTGTTAGCCAGGATGGTCTCGATCTCCTGACCTCGTGATCCGCCCGCCTCGGCCTCCCAAAGTGCTGGGATTACAGGCATGAGCCACCACGCCTGGCCAACTGCAATGGTTTGAATGTTTGACCCCTCCAAAACTCATGCTGAAATTTAATTTCCACTAGGATGGTATTGGGAGACAGAACCTATAAGAGATGCTTAGGTCATGAAGGCCCCACCCTCCTGAATGGACTAATGCAGTTACCTTGGGAGTGGGTTCATTATGAAGGGAGCAGGTTTAGCCCTCTTGCTCTCTCTCTCTCACACCCACTCTTTGCCCTTCTGCCATGTGATGCCTTCCACCACATTGTGAAGCAGCAAGATATGCCAGATACTGGCACCTTGATATCAGACTTTACCATCCCCAGAACTATGAGAAATAAATTTCTATTTTTAATAAATTACCCAGTCTCCAGTCTGTTATAACAGCACAAAACAAAGACAATGACTACGGGTTTATATCTGTAATACAGAAAAACTCATACAAATCAATAAAGAAGAAAACAAACCAACACAAAACAAAAAAAAAAGAGAGAGAGAAATAGTAAAGAGACACGATTAGACACTTCTCAAAATAATATATCAAAATGGAAAATAAAAAAATGAAAATCTCCTCAACCTTAGCTGTAATCAGGGAAATGCTAATTAAAATCACAAGAAAATGTCACTCCACACCCACTAGAATGGTAAATTTAATAGACTAAAAATGCCAAGCGTTGGTGAGTATGTAGAGCAACAAGAATTTTCATACACTGCTGGTGGGAATGCTAATTGGTATAACCATTTTGAAAATTGTTTAGCATCATCCAGAAAAGTTAAAAACACGCTGCCCTATGGCCCCGCCAATCTACTTTTACGTCTGTATCAGAGAGAAATGCATACTCCTGTCCGTCAGAAGACATGTAACACATTCCTTGAAGTGTTCTTGAAAGCAGACAAAATCTAGAAGAAATCTAAATAGCCATCAATATAATAATACATGTTGTTATATTCATACAATAGAAATGAAGAAAGAAGAGCTACAGACAACAACTTGGGTGGCTCACAAAAATAAAAATGAACCAAAAAAGCCAGATCCCAAAGAACGCACGCTGTGTGCTTGGGTGATTCCTCTTATACAGAGTTCCAGAGAAGGGCAAAACTAGACTTTGGTGTTTGAAGTAAGGCAAACAGTTTAGCTCTGGAGGAGCGAAGGTCTGTATTGGGTGGTGACAGCTTAACGGGGTTCACTTTGTGGTAACCCACTGAATTGGTTTTGATATCGTGCCACATTAGTGTATATCTACTCTACTACAATTTAAAGTTTTAGAATAGGGTTAAAGAATAACTTCCAAAATAAGATGTGTGTCTCTCTACGAGAGACCTTTAACACAGTGTGTTAAAGGTTACTTCAAATGACAATAAAACTTCTTAATGGAGAACTTAAACAAACTGTTTCCTGACTAGTGATTTCAATTGTAAATTTCATCCATTTGCACTTAATGAAATATACTTTGGCAATCAGTGAGCAGCCTTACCCTAATTTGCTTAATCTAAATCTCTGATCATAATATCTTCTCTGTGTGGACTTCTTAAAATAGATACTTTAGATTATAAACTCATTTAACAATCCTGAAATTTGAAACCAACTAAAGAGTTAGCCTAACACGTGCCTTCTCTCCACAAAATAAAGTAAATAAGTTCTCCTCCCTCTCTAAGTCCTCTCCCCAGAGTATAGACACCATGGCTCTTTTATCCAAGACAGGAATATTTACAGACAATTCACTTCCAATGATGCAAGAGTAAATTTCCCATGCTGAGAATCTCTCACAGGTGGCATTCATTAACCATGACAACTGCAATTTCCTACTCCTCGTCCACTGCCACCTACAGCTTAGACAGGTCAGCTCCTACACCCACGAGCTGACGCAGAGCCAGTAGTCAGCCACACATCCAGGCCTTTCCCACAGCCCATTCTTCTGCACTAATTTTTAACCCATAATACAAGATTTTGTATAATTCATTGCTTAATTTCTTATTAGTTTCAGTCCATTGTTTTGGCTACCTGGGAGCTGTGACTCCAAGGCCTCTGCGGTATCTTCAAGCTTTAGATCTTGGAAACTTAATTAGCATAGTACATGATACCTTGTCTTGAGATATCAAAAATAAAATCAACAAGGAGAGCTAAGGATAACAGGGGTGTGTGTGACTGAGTGTGCATTTACACACACATAAATATGCCCAAGTACATACTATTTTACAATACTTTTTGAATTTCTTTGGCTATAACGGTTTATAACTGATGTTAACTGAATAAGGAAATCACTGAAATTAAGAGCATGGGAACTGCAATTAGAAGATGCCAAATGACTTCCCTCTTCTTTGAGGAGGAGTAAAACACTACCTAATCCTGATTTTAAAAATAAATCAATAAGGCAGCAGAGATTTTCGTTGGCCTTCCTCCATGACAAGACTATTTCTCTTCCTTTAACAGCATGTCAAAGATGAAACGAGAAGCTCTGAGAGAGCTGAACCCTTCAGGGAATATCTTCAGTGGTAGCCTTGAAAGGCAACATTTACAAGAAAGATTCCTTTAGTAAAAGTGCTTACAATTCTCAGTCTATACAGATTAAAAGAATTTTGTGGGTTTATCTCCCACAGCCCTCTTCAGGGCTCTGTCTCCTAAACCTCTTCAGGTTTTAGGAGACAAAATTTCAACCATAATAAATTGGTATCAATTATAAAGGTGCATTACAGATTTTTTTATTTATATCTAATAGCTGTACATATTTTGGAGGTACATGTGATATTTTGATACCCACAGACAATGTGTAATGATGAAATCGGTATCATCGGGGTATCTACCACCTCAAACATTTATCTTTTATGTTGGGAAAATTACAAGTCTGCTCTTCTAGTTATTTTGAAATGTACAATAAATTATTGTTAACTATAATTTCTCTACTATACTATTAAATACTAGAACTTATTCCTTCTATCTAACTATATCTTTCATCTAACTTTTTTATTTAATTGTATTTATTTATTTATTTTGAGATGGAGTCTCGCTCTGTCACCAGGCTGGAGTGCAGTGGCGCGATCTCGGCTCACTGCAACCTCTGCCTCCCGGGTTCAAGCGATTCTCCTGCCTCAGCCTCCCGAGTAGCTGGGACTACAGGCATGCGCCATCACCCCCAGCTAATTTTTGTATTTTTAGTAGAAATGGGGTTTCACCATGTTGGCCAAGATGGTCTCAATCTCTTGACCTTGTGATCTACCCTCTTTGGCCTCCCAAACTGCTGGGATTACAAGTGTGAGCCAACGCACCTGGCCTCTTCCATCTAACTTACTCCCTTTAACCAACTTCTCCTCTCCCCACTGTCTTCCCAGTCACTGGTAACCACCACTACACTCCCTACTTCCGTGAGATCCACTTTCTTAGCTTCCACAAATTAGAGAGCACATATGATATTTATTTCCACTTAGAATTTCTGTTCTGCTATCAGTGATGATCAACTAGGTGGTTCTCATCAACTCTCCAGTGAGAACAATTAGAAGAGCTTGGGGAAAAAAAAAAAAAAATCATGCTTAAGGGCACCAGAATACTAATAGAGCAGTGAGGAATTGCAGGGACAAGATCCAGGAAGGGAGGGGAGCCCTGAGAGAATACCAAGATTTGAGGCCACCTTTCCAGAGCCTGTGGTGATTATTTAATAATGCTTAAGAGGCTAAAATTTTAAGCAAACCTTGACAAACTTAAGAGAAAAGTGGAAAATTTTGAGCTCAAGACTTACTGAAGAGAGGGCCAGGTGCAGTGGCTCATGCCTGCAATCCCAGCACTTTGGGAGGCCAAGGCGGGCAGATCACTTCAGGTCAGGAGTTCAAGACCAGCCTGGGGAACGTCTTGAAACCCCGTCTCTACTAAAAATACAAAAATCAGCCAGGCATGGTGGTGCATGCCTGTAATACCAGCTACTTGGGGAGGAGCCAAGATGGCCAAATAGGAACAGCTCCGGTCTACAGCTCCCAGCCTGAGCAATGCAGAAGACGGGTGATTCCTGCATTTCTATCTGAGCTACCAGGTTCATCTCACTAGGGAGTGCCAGACAGTGGGCGCAGCACAGTCGGTGCAGCGCCCCATGCACCAGCCGAAGCAGGGCGAGGCATTGCCTCACTCGGGAAGCGCAAGGGGTCAGGGGAGTTCCCTTTCCTGGTCAAGGAAAGGGGTGACAGACGGCACCTGGAAAATCGGGCCACTCCCACCCCAATACTGCGCTTTTCTGACGGGCTTCGGAAACGGCACACCAGGAGATTATATCCCGCACATGGCTCGGAGGGTCCTACGCCCACGGAGTCTCGCTGATTGCTAGCACAGCAGTCTGAGATCAAACTGCAAGGCTTCAGCAAGGCTGGGGGAGGGGCGCCCGCCATTGCCCAGGCTCGCTTAGGTAAACAAAGCAGCCAGGAAGCTCCAACTGGGTGGAGCCCACCACAGCTCAAGGAGGCCTGCCTGCCTCTGTAGGCTACACCTCTGGGGGCAGGGCACAGACAAACAAAAAGAGAGCAGTAACCTCTGCAGACTTAAATGTCCCTGTCTGACAGCTTTGAGGAGAGCAGTGGTTCTCCCAGCACACAGCTGGAGATCTGAGAACGGGCAGACTGCCTCCTCAAGTGGGTCCCTGACCCCTGACCCCCGAGCAGCCTAACTGGGAGGCACCCCCAAGTAGGGGCAGACTGACACCTCACACGGCCGGGTACTCCTCTGAGACAAAACTTCCAGAGGAACGATCAGACAGCAGCATTCGCGGATCATGAAAATCCGCGGTTCTGCAGACACCGCTGCTGATACCCAGGCAAACAGGGTCTGGAGTGGACCTCTAGCAAACTCCAACAGACCTGCAGCTGAGGGTCCTGTCTGTTAGAAGGAAAACTAACAAACAGACAGGACATCCACACCAAAAACCCATCTGTGCATCACCATCATCAAAGACCAAAAGTAAATAAAACCACAAAGATGGGGAAAAAACAGAACAGAAAAACTGGAAACTCTAAAAAGCAGAGCGACTCTCCTCCTACAAAGGAAGGCAGTTCCTCACCAGCAACGGAACAAAGCTGGATGGAGAATGACTTTGACGAGTTGAGAGAAGAAGGCTTCAGACGACCAAACTACTCCGAGCTACAGGAGGAAATTCAAACCAAAGGCAAAGAAGTTGAAAACTTTGAAAAAAATTTAGACGAATGTATAACTAGAATAACCAATACAGAGAAGTTCTTAAAGGAGCTGATGGAGCTGAAAGCCAAGGCTCGAGAACTACATGAAGAATGCAGAAGCCTCAGGAGCTGATGCGATCAACTGGAAGAATGGGTATCAGCGATGGAAGATGAAATGAATGAAATGAAGTGAGAAGGGAAGTTTAGAGAAAAAAGAATAAAAAGAAACGAACAAAGCCTCCAAGAAATATGGGACTATGTGAAAAGACCAAATCTGCATCTGATTGGTGTACCTGAAAGTGACGGGGAGAATGGAACCAAGTTGGAAAACACTCTGCAGGATATCATCCATGAGAACTTCCCCAATCTAGCAAGGCAGGCCAACATTCACATTCAGGAAATACAGAGAACACCACAAAGATACTCATCGAGAAGAGCAACTCCAAGACACATAATTGTCAGATTCACCAAAGTGGAAATGAAAGAAAAAACGTTAAGGGCAGCCAGAGAGAAAGGTCGGGTTACCCACAAAGGGAAACCCATCAGACTAACAGCGGATCTCTCGGCAGAAACTCTACAAGCCAGAAGAGGGTGGGGGCCAATATTCAACATTCTCAAAGAAAAGAATTTTCACCCAGAATTTCATATCCAGCCAAACTAAGCTTCATAAGTGAAGGAGAAATAAAATACTTTACAGACAAGCAAATGCTGAGAGATTCTGTCACCACCAGGCCTGCCCTAAAAGAGCTCCTGAAGGAAGCACTAAACATGGAAAGGCACAACCGGTACTAGCCGCTGCAAAATCATGCCAAAATGTAAAGACCATGGAGACTAGGAAGAAACTGCATCAACTAACAAGCAAAATAACCAGCTAACATCATAATGACAGGATCAAATTCACACATAACAATATTAACTTCAAATGTAAATGGACTAAATGCTCCAATTAAAAGACACAGACTGGCAAATTGGATAAAGAGTCAAGACCCATCAGTGTGCTGTATTCAGGAAACCCATCTCACGTGCAGAGACACACATAGCCTCAAAATTAAAGGATGGAGGAAGATCTACCAAGCAAATGGAAAACAAAAAAGGGCAGGGGTTGCAATCCTAGTCTCTGATAAAACAGACTTTAAACCAACAAAGATCAAAAGAGACAAAGAAGGCCATTACATAATGGTAAAGGGATCAATTCAACAAGAAGAGCTAACTTTCCTAAATATATATGCACCAATACAGGAGCACCCAGATTCATAAAGCAAGTCCTGAGTGACCTACAAAGAGACTTAGACTGCCACACAATAATAATGGGAGACTTTAACACCCCACTGTCAACATTAGACAGATCAACGAGACAGAAAGTTAACAAGGATACCCAGGAACTGAACTCAGCTCTGCACCAAGCAGACCTAATAGACATCTACAGAACTCTCCACCCCAAATCAACAGAATATACATTTTTTTCAGCACCACACCACACCTATCCCAAAATTGACCACATACCTGGAAGTAAAGCTCTCCTCAGCAAATGTAAAAGAACAGACCACAGTGCAATCAAACTAGAACTCAGGATTAAGAAACTCACTCAAAACCGCTCAACTACGTGGAAACTGAACAACCTGCTCCTGAATGACTACTGGGTACATAACGAAATGAAGGCAGAAATAAAGATGTTCTTTGAAACCAACGAGAACAAAGACACAACATACCAGAATCTCTGGGATGCATTCAAAGCAGTGTCTACAGGGAAATTTATAGCACTAAATGCCCACAAGAGAAAGCAGGAAAGCTCCAAAATTGACACCCTAACAGCACAATTAAAAGAACTAGAAAAGCAAGAGCAAACACATTCAAAAGCTAGCAGAAGGCAAGAAATAACTAAAATCAGAGCAGAACTGAAGGAAATAGAGACACAAAAAACCCTTCAAAAAATTAATGAATCCAGGAGCTGGTTTTTTGAAAGGATCAACAAAATTGATAGACCGCTAGCAAGACTAATAAAGAAAAAAAGAGAGAAGAATCAAATAGACGCAATAAAAAATGATAAAGGGGATATGACCACCAATCCCACAGAAATACAAACTATCATCAGAGAATACTACAAACATCTCCACGCAAATAAACTAGAAAATCTAGAAGAAATGGTAAATTCCTCGACACATACACTCTCCCAAAACTAAACCAGGAAGAAGTTGAATCTCTGAATAGACCAGTAACAGGAGCTGAAATTGTGGCAATAATCAATAGCTTACCAACCAGAAAGAGTCCAGGACCAGATGGATTCACAGCCGAATTCTACCAGAGGTACAAGGAGGAACTGGTACCGTTCCTTCTGAAACTATTCCAATCAACAGAAAAAGAGGGAATCTCCCTAACTCATTTCATGAGGCCAGCATCATTCTGATACCAAAGCTGAGCAGAGACACAACCAAAAAAGAGAATTTTAGACCAATATCCCTGATGAACATTGATGCAAAAATCCTCAATAAAATACTGGCAAACGGAATCCAGCAGCACATCAAAAAGCTTATCCACCATGATCAAGTGGGCTTCATCCCTGGGATGCAAGACTGGTTCAATATACGCAAATCAATAAATGTAATCCAGCATATAAACAGAACCAAAGACAAAAACCACATGATTATCTCAATAGATGCAGAAAAGGCCTTTGACAAAATTCAACAACCCTTCATGCTAAAAACTCTCAATAAATTAGGTATTGATGGGATGTATCTCAAAATAATAAGAGCTATCTATGACAAACCCACAGTCAATATCATGCTGAATGGGCAAAAACTGGAAGCATTCCCTTTGAAAACTGGCACAGACAGGGATGCCCTCTCTCACCACTCCTATTCAACATAGTGTTGGAAGTTCTGGCCGGAGCAATCAGGCAGGAGAAGGAAATAAAGGGTATTCAATTAGGAAAAGAGGAAGTCAAATTGTCCCTGTTTGCAGATGACATGATTGTATATCTAGAAAACCCCATTGTCTCAGCCCAAAATCTCCTGAAGCTGATAAGCAACTTCAGCAAAGTCTCAAGATACAAAATCAATGTACAAAAATCACAAGCATTCTTATACACCAATAACAGACAAACAGAGAGCCAAATCATGAGTGAACTCCCATTCGCAATTGCTTCAAAGAGAATAAAATACTTAGGAATCCACCTTACAAGGGATGTGAAGGACCTCTTCAAGGAGAACTACAAACCACTGCTCAATGAAATAAAAGAGGATACAAACAAATGGAAGAACATTCCATGCTCATGGGTAGGAGGAATCAATATCGTGAAAATGGCCATACTGCCCAAGGTAATTTATAGATTCAATGCCATCCCCATCAAGCTACCAATGACTTTCTTCACAGAATTGGAAAAAACTACTTTAAAGTTCATATGGAACCAAAAAAGAGCCCGCATCGCCAAGTCAATCCTAAGCCAAAAGAACAAAGCTGGAGCCATCACGCTACCTGACTTCAAACTATATACTACAAGGCTACAGTAACCAAACAGCATGGTACTGGTACCAAAACAGAGATATAGACCAATGGAACAGAACAGAGCCCTCAGAAATAACGCCGCATATCTACAACTATCTGATCTTTGACAAACCTGACAAAAACAAGCAATGGGGAAAGGATTCCCTATTTAATAAATGGTGCTGGGAAAACTGGCTAGCCATGTGTAGAAAGCTGAAACTGGATCCCTTCCTTACACCTTATACAAAAATTAATTCAAGATGGATTAAAGACTTAAACGTTAGACCTAAAACCATAAAAACCCTAGAAGAAAACCTAGGCATTACCATTTAGGACATAGGCATGGGCAAGGACTTCATGTCTAAAACACCAAAAGCAATGGCAACAAAAGCCAAAATTGACAAATGGAATCTAATTAAACTAAAGAGCTTCTGCACAGCAAAAGAAACTACCATCAGAGTGAACAGGCAACCCACAAAATGGGAGAAACTTTTCGCGACCTACCCATCTGACAAAGGGCTAATATCCAGAATCTACAATGAACTCAAACAAATTTACAAGAAAAAAACAAACAACCCCATCAAAAAGTGGGCAAAGGATATGAACAGAAACTTCTCAAAAGAAGACATTTATGCAGCCAAAAGACACATGAAAAAATGCTCATCATCACTGGCCATCAGAGAAATGCAAATCAAAACCACAGTGAGATACCATCTCACACCAGTTAGAATGCCAATCATTAAAAAGTCAGGAAACAACAGGTGCTGGAGAGCATGTGGAGAAATAGGAACACTTTTACACTGCTGGTGGGACTGTAAACTAGTTCAACCATTGTGGAAGTCAGTGTGGCGATTCCTCAGGGATCTAGAACTAGAAATACCATTTGACCCAGCCATCCCATTACTGGGTATATACCCAAAGGACTATAAATCATGCTGCTATAAAGACACACACACACGTATGTTTATTGTGGCCCTATTCACAATAGCAAAGACTTGGAACCAAGCCAAATGTCCAACAATGATAGACTGGATTAAGAAAATGTGGCACATATACACCATGGAATACTATGCAGCCATAAAAAATGATGAGTTCATGTCCTTTGTAGGGACATGGATGAAATTGGAAATCATCATTCTCAGTAAACTATCCCAAGGACAAAAAACCAAACACCACATGTTCTCACTCATAGATGGGAATTGAACAATGAGAACACATGGTCACAGGAAGGGGAACATCACACTCTGGGGACTGTTGTGGGGTGGGGGGAGGGGGGAGGGATAGCATTAGGAGATATACCTAATGCTAAATGACGAGTTAATGGGTGCAGCACACCAGCATGGCACATGTATACATATGTAACAAACCTGCACGTTGTGCACATGTACCCTAAAACTTAAAATATTAAAAAAAAATACCAGCTACTTGGAAGGCTGAAGCAGGAGAATCACTGGAACCCGGGAGAGAGAGGTTGCAGTGAGCCGAGACTGTGCCACCATATGCCAGCCTGGGTGACAAAGTGAGACTCTGTCTCAAAAAAAAAAAAACTTATTGAAGAGAGAGAAGACTCTAGTAAATTCTCTGTATTTATGCCCTAGAATGTATATGCAAGAACCAGAAACAAACCAGCGCTTAAAGGGACTGAAGCCCATCTTCGTATCTTCTCAATCCCTAATCTAATTAAGGTTATGTGTGGTTGCTGGTACCCATGGGGTGGCTGTTGTCAGAAGCAAATATTAACAGGAGTAAAAGTGTTCTCCGTTCTCTCATCTCTACCATTTTTCCCATACATTGTCTGGGACAAACTACAAACACAACCAGGCTCAGAAGGAGCACAGACCATGTAACAGAAAAGCAAAAAGAGCCATCACTAATAAAAACAGAGGCACAAAGTGTCTTAAGAATGGAATTATCAGACAGGGACTATAAAAAAAAGTCTTATTAATATATTTGAAGAAAATCAGAACAAGCTTGAGAGCTAGAAAACATCGTAAGAACCAAAAGGAAACTCTTAACACTAAAGCATGCAATATCTGAAACTTTAAAAAGGAGTCGATAAATGGGACTAACAACAGATAGACACAATGAGAGAATTCAAGGACTGAATATTGAATATATGTCAACAGAAAACGGACCGGATGAAGCATGGAGAGACAAAGTAATGGGAATTGCCGCAAAGAATAGGAGGCATATGGAATAAATTAGTCTTCTCCATCTCAGCACTGTTGAAATTGGGGGCCAGATAATTCTTTTTCTTGAGGAGTCACCCTATGCACTATAGGTCATTTAGTAGCATCCCTAGCCTCTTCCCTGTAAGTGTCAGTAGCATCTTTCTCCCCAGTTGGGGCAACTGAAATTTTTTCAAGATAATGCCAAATATTCCCTGGGGAGAGACACTGCCCCTGGTTGAGAATCACTGAGATAAAGTGAAAGCTGTGGTGAACATGTAATCATTGTCCCAAAAAGGGAAGGCAGAAAAAATAGAGCAGAAGCCATATCTAAAGAAATATCTAGGCCGGGCACAGTGGCTCACGCCTGTAATCCCAGCACTTTGGGAGGCTGAGGCAGGCGGATCATGAGGTCAGGAGTTGGAGACCAGCCTGGCCAATATGGTGAAAACCTGTCTCTACTAAAAATACAAAAATTAGCCAGGCGTGGTGGTGCACACCTGTAGTTCCAGCTACTCGGGAGGCTGAGGCAGAAGAATTGCTTGAATCCAGGTGGCAGAGGTTGTAGTGAGCCAAGATCGTGCCATTGCACTCCAGCCTGGGCAACACAGCGAGACTCCATCCCCAAAAAAAGAAGGAAGGAAGGAAGGAAGGAAGGAAGGAAGGAAGGAAGGAAGGAGGAAAAGATCGATCGATCTGGCAACAATTGTCCAAAACTTGTGAATGAAACCAAGGAACAGATTCAATAAGTCATTCTGAATCCCAAGCAGGTAAAACAAAAGAGCAGAAACATATTCTTATCATAGCAAAACTGTTAAAAATCAAAGACAAAGAATAAAATTTAAAAGTGACCAAAGAAAACAAGAACAGAGAAGCAACAGTAAGGCATACAGCTGACCTCTTAACAGAAGTACTGAAGTCAGAAAACACTAGGGTAATCGACTATAGACACTATGCTGTATATAAAAGTGCTGTAACTAACCGGCAACACAAAGTCTGTATTTCTGAATTATCACACAAAAATTAGGCAATATAAATAAGTTTTGAAACAAACATGGAGAAATTGTGCTACTTCCAGACTCTCATGAAAGAGAAGTCTAAAGGGCAGAAGGAAAATTATCTCAGATGAAAGTTAGAAGATACAGGGAGGAATTAAAGTAACAAAAAAAGGTAAATATACGAGTAAATCTAAAAGAATACTGACTGTAAAAGACAATTATAATCTTATAAGGTTTAAATATATTTATAGAAATAAAATATATGACAATAACAGTAGATAAATTGGAATTATGGAATTAAAGTGTTGTAAAGTCCTCACATTGTACAGAAAGGTTGACGACTTTCACTAGACTTTACTTAGTCATGGATTCCTATTGTAATCTCCAGATCAACCACTGTAAGACAAAAAGAAAGAAATATGACTAACAAACTAATAGAAGAGAAAATTAGAATAATATAAAATGAGCAATTAATCCAGAAAAGTGTAAGAAAAAAGAGGAAAAAAAGAACATAGAAGAGACAAGGGTAAGTGGAAGTAAACAGTGAAGGATAGATTTAAAACCAAATAGATCAGTAACCACATGAAGGATAACTAAAATACAAAGATTATCAAATTCAATTTTTTTAAAAACCCAACTATGTGTTACTTATAAGTATCATCATAAATCATTTAAACACATTTTTTAAAATGGTTTTTAAATTACAAAAGGAATATAGATTGAATATGCAGTGATGGTAAGAGTTAATGAAGAAAACATATAAATGTATTTTAAAATCTGTATTTGTTTACTAATGGGCCTAAGTGTACCACTTTAAAATCAATGCCTGTTAATACTGCTTAAGGCACCATACATCATGTTTATACCTTTTAACTTTTAAATATTTAAATATTTCTCTACACATCTATAAACATAAAGAAAAGATAGCATGAACTCTGCCAGAATGCCTTGTGTGTGCTGATTTTTACCCCCTTGATTTTCAACTTCTTGATTCTTTTTTTGGTTTGTTTAATTTAGCTCCTGTACAAACACATATTACTTTTGTCATTTTAAGAAATGTATCTTATAAAAACATTATTAGATCCAGTTCCTGGTTCCTGATGCAAGAAGCTCAGAATGAACTTTGTCCTAACAAGTAAAAAGGTGAACACACTAGAAAAACAACAGCTCTTCTTGGAGCCCAGCTAAGAGGGGAACACACAGGATGAACTTCTGCTCTCAAGATTAGGGGGACAAACAGGGACATACAGAGAGCCAGGACTTTCCAGAGCAGAGACTAATCAGCAAAACCACCACAGGAACCAGCAGCAGAGTAAGAAAACCTGAAACTGGAATTGGCAAATTCCTGGAGGCTCAGTGTGTACAACTTTGAAAGTTAAAAATTCCAAAAGGATTCAATCATAGGGGGTTCCCAAATATCATGAGATTTACCTCCAGAAGCTCTACCAGGTTCCCACAGGAAATACTGAAGAAATGTTCCCTCATCCTTCCACCAGAGGGAAGTGAAAGAAACCACTTGGAAATGTGCCAGAATTTTCTGTTGTTTTTAATAAGGCCTGCCATCAGGAGAAATGAATTAACCAGAGTCTAACCCTCCGGGGTATTATGAGAGCTTACCTGACACAAGGGAAGGGAAATACTGAACTCCACCCACTCTAGCCATCCTATCGCACTCAAGTGGGGAGAAACAAACTGAGAAACACCTATGAAGTTCGTGTCCAGAGGGAAAGGCTCACTAAAAAACTGAGACCTAATCATAGGAGTATAGAATGCTTCCCCTCCCTCCACACCTTAACACTACATTAGTAACATTAATTTACAGCAGTTCCTTTTACCTGGTACATCACAGCCACCAATCAAGAAAAAATTACAAAGCATACTAAAAGGCAAAAAACAAACAAAAAACACAATTTGAAGAGACAGAACATGCATTAGTACCAGACATAGCAGCAGTATTGGAATTATCAGATCAGAATTTACAACAACTATGATTAATAAGCTAAAGGCTCTAATGGAAAAAGCAGACATCATGCAAGAACAGTTAAACAATGTAAGCACAGAGATGGAACTCCTAAGACATAACCAAAAAGAAATTCCAGCAATCAAAAATAATGTAACAAAAATAAAGAATATATTTGATGGGCTTACTAGTAGGTTGGATACAGCTGAGGAAAGAATCCCTAGTATGAGGAATATCAATCGAAATTTTGAAAACTGAAAAGCAAAGAGAACAAAGACTGAAAACAACAGAATAGAATATCCAAGGATTGTGGGACAATTACAAATGGTGTAACATATGTGTGATGGGAATGCGAGAAGGAGAAGAAGTAGAGCAGGGTTCCCCAACCCCCAGGCCACAGGCCAGTACCTGTCACCTGGACTGTTAGGAACTGGGCCACACACCAGGAGGTGAGGGGCAGGTCAGGGAGCATTACTGCCTGAGCTCCGCCTCCGGTCAGATCAGCGGCAGCGTGACATTCTTACAGGAACACAAACCCTATTGTGAATTTCACATGCAAGGGATCTAGGTTGCACGCTCCTTATGAGAATCTAATGAATGCCTGACAATCTGAGGTGGAACAGTTTCATCCCAAAACCATGGCCCCCGACAGTCTATGGAAAAATTGTCTTCCACAAAACAGGTCCCTGGTGTCAAAAAGGTTGGGGACTGTTGAAGTAGAGAAAGGAACAGAAGTATTTGAAACAATGATTGAGAATTTCCCCAAATTAGTGTCAAACACCAAACCACACATCCAGGAATCTCAGAAAACAGCAAGCTGATACATGTGGGGGAAAAAAAATCCAACATCTAAGTATATCATTTCAAACTATAAACAAAGATAAAGATAAAATCCTGAAGGAAGCCAAAGGCAGACAAAAAACCCTTCCCTTTAGAGGACCAAAAAGGTAAGAATTACATCTGACTTACATGAAATCATGCAAGCAAAAAGAGTAGAGTAAAATAATTAGTGTTGAGAGAGAAAGTCACAAATCTAGAATTATTGAAATCATCCTTCAAAAGACAAGGAAAAAAAATACATTCTCAGGCAAAAATTGAAGAAATTTGTTTCAAGCAGACCTGCCTTGAAAAAATGTTAAAAGAAGTTCTTTAAAAAAAGGGAAACGATACAGGTTGAAAGTCATATCTAAATTAAAGAAAGAACCACTGAAGAAGGAAAAAGTGAAGGCAAAATAAAAACTTTTGTTTTTCTTATTAATTTATCTAACAGATAACAGTTTGTTCAAAGTAACAATAGCAAAAATGTATTTTATTATACTTTGTGTATATATAATATATACATATATAATACATATACACACACACACACACACATATACACACACACACACGCACCTTATAAGAAATAAATGGTACAAGGGACAGGAGGAAGAAATTCATGTTATTTTGCATTATAAAGTGCTCTCATTATGCATGAAGTGGTATAATGTAACATGAAAGGTGACTTGGGTTAGTTGTAAATGTATATTGCAAACTCTAGGGCAACCACTAAAAAAGTAAAAAAAGAACTATAACTGATACACCAAGAAAGGAGGGAAAACATAACCATATAAAATGTCCAACTAAACCATAAAAGTCAGAGTGGAAAACAAAAACTGAAATAAGGAACAAGGACAACAAAAAAATCAGTAACAAATATGATAGTTATTGATCCAACTATATCGACAATCACTCTGAGTGGTCTAAATGCATCAATTTAAAGAGACTGTAAGAGTAGAACAAAAAACAAGACCCAACTGTATGTGCCTACAAAAAACCCACTCTAAATATAAAGACACATATAAATTAACAGTGTCTTATGGATGGAGAAAAATATACCATGCTAACACTAATCCAAGAAAGCAGGAATAGCTATGTAAATTTCAGATAGAGCGTACTTCAAAGCAAGGAAAGTTTCCAGGGATAAAAAAGGATATTACTTAATGATAAAAAGACCAGTTCTACAAAAAGACATAACAGTCCTTAATGTGTATATGCCCAAAAACACAGCATCAAACTAATGAGGCAAAAACTATTAGACCTACAAGGATAAATAGGTAAATCCATTTTCACAGTTGGAAACTTTAACACCCCTCTACCAGAAATTTGAAGAACCAGCAAGCAGAAAACCAGTATAAACATGATTGAACTCAAAACATTGTCCATCAATTGGATATAAGCAACATCTATAGTACTATTTTATCCAACAACAGCAGAATACACATTCTTCTCAAGTTCACATGGAATATTCCCCATAATTGTGCCACAGAAAGAGCCTTAACAAATTTAAAAGAATAGAAATTACACATTGCCTGCTATCAGAATACAAAGAAATTATACTAGAAATCAGTAACAGAAAGATTACTGAAAAATCCAAAAATACGTGGAGATTAGACAATATGCCTTTAAATAATATATGCCTCAAAGAAGAATTCTCAAGAGACATTGAAATATTTTAACTGAAATGAAAATGAAAACACAACTTATCAAAATTTGTGGGATGCAGCAAAAGAAGTCCTTAAGCGAAAATCTATAGCCCTGAATACAGTATTGAAATGTACAGAAATGAAAGATCTAAAAATCAGTATTCTAAGCTTCTACTTTAGGAAACTAGAAAAAAGAGCAAATTAAATCCAAAATAAGCAGAGAAATACTAAAAATTAGAGTAGAAATCAACAAAATTGTAAACAGGAAATCAATAGAGGAAATGAACAAAAACAAAATCTGTTTTTTGAAAAATGATCAATAAAATCAATAAGCATCTAGCCAGGCTAAATAAGAAAAAAATGAGAAAGGACAAAAATAACTAATATCAGAAGTAGAAGACATCATTACACAGCCCATGGGCATTAAAAGGATAACAAATAAATACTATGAACAATTCTATGCTCACAAATTTTATAACCTAGATAAAATGGACTACTCCTTGAAAGACAAAATTTCTCAAAACTCAAACAAGAAGAAATAAACAATTTGAATGGGCCTATATCTATCAGAGCAATTGAATCAAATAATAATAACCTTCCAAAACAGAAAGCAACAGGCCCAGAAGGGCTCACTGGTGAAGTCTACAAATTTAAAAAAGAAATTATACCAATTATCTACAGTCTCTTTCAGAGTACACAAGCAGAGGAAATACTTCCTAAAACATTCTATGAGGCCTGCATTACCCTAATACAAATGGCAGATAAAGACATTCTAAGAAAAGATAACCACAAACCAGTATCACTGATGAACACAGATTCAAAAATGCTCAACAAAATATTAGCACGTTGTGGTGGCTCACGCCTCCAATCCTAGCACTTTAGGAGGCTGAGACAGGCAGATCAACTGAGCTCAGGAGTCCAAGACCAGCCTGAGCAACATAGTGAAACCCCGTCTCAACCAAAAATTTAAAAATTAGCAAATTTATCTCAACAATGTACAAAAAGAATTATACACCATGGTCAAGTGAGATTCATTCCAGATATTCAAGGCTGGCTCAACATTAAAAAATTAATATAATCCATTACATCAACAGGCTACAAAAGAAAAATCATATGATTATATCAATAGATGAAAACAATTTTGACATAATCCAACTCCTATTCATCACAAAAACTTTCAGTAAACGGAATAGGGGAGAACTTCCTCAACTTGATAAATATATATATCATTAAGTATGATGTTAGCTGTACGTTTTTTGTATATGTGTGTATATACATATTTTTCATATGTATATATAAAATATGTATATTATATATACAATATATGTTTATATAAATGTAAATAAATATACAAAATGTATGTACATATTTATACATAAATGTAAACATGTACACATATTTTACATATACACAAAATGTATGTACATATGTATATTTATATATATATATATATATACATATCCAAAAAACCTATAGCTAACATCATACCTAATGATAAGAAAACTGAAGCTTTCCCACTAAGATTAGGAACAAGTCAAGGTTGTCCCCTCTCCCACTCCTTTCAATAGCACACTGGAAGTACTAGCTAATACAAAAGGACAAGAAAAAGGAAATAAAAAGTATATAGACTGGGAAAAAAGAAATAAAGCTGTCTTTGATCGCAGATGACATGATCGTTCATGTAGAAAACCCAAAATAACTGACCAAAAAAAAAATCTCCAGGAGCTAATAAACAATTACAGCAACTTTGCAGAAGACAAGGTTAACATGTAAAAGTAAATCGCTTTCCTATATTTCGGCAATTAACAAGTAGAATTTGACATTGAAATCATAATACCATTTAACCCCTCAAAAATTAAGCACTTAGGTAAAAATCAAGTAAAGTATTTACAAGATCTATATGAGTAAAACTACAAAATTCTTACAAACAAAATAAAGGAAGAACTAACTAAAGAGCTGTTCTATGTTCATGAATAGAAAAATTCAGTATTGTCAATATGTCAGTTCTTCCCAACTTGATCTACAGATTCAATCAAATCCCAGAAGGTTATTTTGTGGGTATCGATAAAGCAATTATAAAGTTTATAGAGAGACGCAAAAGACCCAGAATAGCCAACACAATGTTGAGGAACGACAAAGTTGGAGGACTGATACTACCAAACTTCAAGACTTAGGATAAAGCTATAGTAATCAAGACTGTGTTATTGATGAAAGAATAGACAAAGAGATCGACAAAACACAACAGAGAACCCAGAAATAAGACTCACATGAATATAATCAGCTGATCTTTGACAAAGATGCAAAGGCAATAAAATGGAGCAAAGATCATCTTTTCAACAAATGGTGCTACAACAACTGGACAATCACATGCAAAAAGATAAATGTAGACACGGACCTTACACCCTTCATAAAAATTAACTCAAAGTGGACCACAGACCTAAATGTAAAGTGCAAAACTATAAAACTCCTAGAAGATAATAGAGGAAAACCTGTATGACCTTGGATATTGCAGTAACTTTTTAGATACAATACCAGAGGCACAATCCATAAAAGAAAGAATTGAAAAGATGGGTTTCACTAAAGTTAAAAATGTATGTTCTGTGAAATACAATGTAAAGAGAATGAGAAAACAAGGTACTGACTGGGAAAAATATTTGCAAAAGACATACCTGATAAAGGACTGTCATCAAAAATATACAAAAACTCTTAAATTCAGAAATAAGAAAAAAAAAAAAAACCCACTGAAAACTTGGCCAAAGACCTTAACAGACACCTTACCAAAGAAGACCTACAGATGGCAATAAGCTTCTGAAAAAATGCTCCACATCATATGTCATCAGGGAAATGCAAATATAAAACAATGAGATTCCACTACACACCTATTGGAATGCTTAAAACTTAGAACACTGACAACACCAAATGCTGACATGGATAAAGGGCAACAGGGGCTCTCATTCATTGCTGGTGAGAATGTAAAATGGTACATCCACTTTGGGAGATAGTCTGTGATTTCCTTAGAAAATTAAACATACTCTTAGCATACGAACCAGCAAGTGCCCTCGTTGGTATTTACACAAGTGATTGAAACCTTATGTTCACGTAAAAATCTGCACAAGATGCTTACAGCAGCTTTACTCATAATTGCCAAAACTTGGAGGCAACCAAGATGTTCTTCCGGAGGTGAATGGATAAATGAACTGTGCTACATCCAGACCACTGGCATATTATTCAGTGCTAAAAAGGAGTGAGCTATCAAGCCATGAAAGAGTATGGAGAGAGCATAAATGCATATTACTAAGTGAAATAAGTCCATCTGAAAAGGCTACAGACTGTATGATTCCAACCATACGACATTGTGGAAAGGGTTCAACTATGGAGACAACAAAAGGTCAGCGGCTGCCAAGAGCTGTGGTGAAGGTAGTGATAAGCAGGGAGAGCACAAAGAAATTTCAGGAGAGTAAAAATACTCTGTATGATACCATAATGAGGGTATTACACATTATGCCATTATACATTTGCCCAAACCCATAGATTATACAAAACCAAGAGGGAACCTTCTTATAAACTATGCATTTGGGGTGATGATGATGTGTCAATGTAAGTTCATCAGTCGTAACAAATATACTACTCTAGTGGGGAATGTTGATAATTGAGGAAGCTGTGGGAAATCTCTGTACCTTCTTCTTCATTTTGCTGTGAAGCTAAAACTGCTCAAAAAAGTAAAGATTTTTTTAAATGATAAAGATCAATACCTGATTATACCTTCAGCATTTCTTTTTACAATATATTCTAGGTATGTGGGTTTTATAATATTTGACAGTATTTTGTTGGAGTTGTAGCATTTTAAATAGTGGCTAATGAATGTAAAATCATACATATTGCAAACCTACACAGAGGGCCCCCCAAAGGAATTCAGATAACACATAAGCCCTTAGGATACTGGGCTCCACAGCCCTGCCTGCCATCTTCAGTGCCAAAACGTAAGTGCATGACCACTTAGTTCTACGGTCTTGTGACTAAAGCTTCCAAAAAGCTGAGTCTGCATTTCAAATCAATAAAATACCAAAATAGTCAATCTTGTATAATTATGTGTTTTACATTTGTATATAATTACATGTTGGTTCATATTATTAACAAACTTGACTTCTGGACATGCTTCATAACCAATGCATATTTATTTTATGCAAATCACTTAGAATGGCCTTCAGATGCATGTGCTCAGGTGACTGACTAAACAGCACAAATAAAGGAGAAAGAAACATTATGGAAACTTGGCAGATTAGAACCTCACACATGCATCACTTCAAAATGATTTCTTATGTATTATCTCATTCCCAGCCCAGTTACAAGCCCAGGAAGTAAATTAATAATCACCAGAAGTCAGTGTGTGCATATAAGAATAATTTAGGCACTTTCACTTAGCAAATTTATTGATGTATATTCATGATGTTTATACACACAGTTATAGATCATAGACAATATATCCAAAACATCTCTTAAATCTGCCCCCTTCTCCACATTCCCACAGTGGCCATCCTAGTTTCAACCTCCTTGTCCGTTACCTTTCTCTCCTCTCTGACCCGTCTCACACTCACTGCTCTCAGCATCTTCTGCTTAAGCAGAGATTCGGTTACTTCCCTCCCCTGTTTAACGACCCACCATATCTTCCCCCTCTGCCTAGTGCTTCATGAAGGAGCCTGTTGAATAACAGCAGGTCAAGCAATTCCTTTGAGGACTCATGTTGTACCTCTAAAATGTATGCAAAGTTTTTTCACTCCAATCTATAATTTATACTTGAATTTAATACAAATATCATGGTTTGGACTATTTCCTTTTCTAGGAAAATATGCTATGGCAGGCTGGTCTTACAGCTTCACAAAACCCCTGGCACACTGCCTCCTCATGCCCTCAGAGATGCCTAGACTAGGGCCAGGTGAAATGCAAACTTGCAGAGGAACTCAGGACGCCTCACACACTGCAACCTTACTGTCCCCACACTCATCTAGCACCTCCTACCAAAGAAAAATCATAGCCTCCCCCTTGTAAGGTGTGCTTCTAGAGCATATAATTCTTACAAAAGGGTCTATAAAACTATCAGTAGTTTGGTCAGTACTATATTGGTCTTTTAGAATGTCTCAAAAAACATAGCATAAATTTTCTGAGAAGTCTTGCAGCAAAACCTGTAGTAAAGATCAACAGGTTGCCAGTGTCCCATAAAACACACCTTGTTGAAAGTGAGCTGTCCTCCACTGCACTTTCAGTCTTTCCTCAACCTGGAAAAGATTTCCTACTTTCAGTGGCAAACTCCTTCTCATCTTTAGAACTCTAACCACCATCTCTTTGAAGCCACTCTCAGCTGCTCTAGTTGAACACAATGTTTTCTAGCACTTTGTATAGATATTTATGTTAAATTTCATCACATGTAATTTTGGATTTACTTTTTAATCTCCCTAGCCAGCTCATGAGATCTCTGAAAGGAAAAATAATCCCTCATCTTTCTGTTAATTCTCAGAATTTGTCAAAGTCTACAACAGGAGCTCAATAGCATGTGTGGAATAAATTGATTAAAGAGTAAATGATCTTTCACAAAAATCAAATATGTAACATCATATGGTGTCTTCCTATCACTCCAGTCAGGAATCTCTGCTGACAAACAAAAGCAATCAATAACAATATTTGGGAGTAGGAAAACCAACTACTATGGTCTCTAGAACAGTCCAGTTAAAATGGGCAACAAATGTGTAAAGAGAATCTATACCAGCCAAGATTTTGCCACACGAAGCCTTTATGAGAACCATTGTGTCTCTGTCCAGAGCGCTGAGATTTCAGCTGGAGAGACCTGGCTCTGCTTCAAAAACCAGGCAGAGCCAAGTAAGGCTGGAATACAAATGTTTGCATATTTTGTTATGTCTGATAGAGACTTCGGCTTCATCCAGGATCTCAGGAAAGTCACATTAAATTAGTTACAATTCACCCAGTTTAAATAAATTAAATGACTTTGTTCTGCCGAAGTTACCAAGTCTAAAGGAAGCAGCAGACGAAAGACAAAGGACTTGTCCGATGTTGGTTTTCCTCATAGCCCTACCTCTAATCACAGAGTGACCTTGGGCATGTGACCACACCCTTCTAGGCATGGACTTCTTGACCTCTGAGTTGAGTAGTTACATAATTAAGATGGAGCAGACCTTCAGTGAATCACCAGTGTGGGCAAGCACTTTCTCTCATTTAATCCTCTCAAAACCCTCTGAAGCAGGTATTATTATTCTCATTTAACACATGAGAAAACAGAGCTTAGAAAGGTAAGTGAGTTTGTTCAAGGCCACTCCATGAACATAGCATTGCCTGGCTGGGAAGTTCAATGTGTTCACAGCCAATACCACGGCTAAGGTGAGAGATAAACTTTCTCCCGCCCCCTTCCCATGACCTCTGGCTGCTGACAGCCTTCTTCACATGCATTTCCTAAGGACACTGGAATGTCATTGACACAAAGTGCCAATGTGCTATTTTTGTAATTTTCTAACATGACAAAAGTTATTTTAAATGTTCATGTAGTATAACACTAACTTATGCCTAAACTTCTCCTAAGACTCAGAGCTCCTCATAATAACTTGGTTTCTTAAGAGTCTCTTAAAGAAGAAGTTCCCAGAAGAAAGCCTGCAGCTTCTCCGCGAGTGGTCTCTTCTCCAAAAGGTGCTGCCGCAGCCTTTGCAACCTCAGGAGCCTGTTCTACTGACTTCCTCCTGTTCCTCTACTGAGGGGCTACTACACCATCACCCCCATCCAGGCAATACAGGGTCACCCACTCCAAGAGAGACAGCTGTGGAGCAGACACAAACAGTGTGACAGCCTGGCTGGAGTTGACCCTGGACAAATGGGGGAAGAGGGGGCTACTGTCCCTTTCTCACCCTGTCACACACCACTTGCGGGGTGTGTTAGCTCTGCTGCCTGGTCCTTTTTCATGTGGTTTCTGCATGAAAATGACCATAATCACATATCTAGCTTTAAGGTCTCTTCAAGTTGTTTCCATATTCTTTAGTTGATCACAATGACTGACAGTGTGCATTTTATTAGCCGGAAAGCCAAGGCTCAAGATGCTTAAGAAACTTACCTAACAGCAGCCATCCAGAAACCAACACAGCCAGAACCCACCGAAGATCCCAAGTACAAATCCTGAGCTCTTTAAAGCAACTGAGGAACTGCTCCATAAACAGCAACTTTTGCTGCTCTGCAACACATGAGACTGAACCTGCCTTCCCCTACAGCTCTTCTCATGATAACTTTTCCACATCATCACATATACATTCAATATTTTAAAGCATGATTCTGTCTGTAGGAGGAAGAACACATTTGAGGCGAGTGTAGCGTTGGAAAGGAGGCAATGTATGATGGCAATTTTAACTAGGTTAAGTGATATACCATTCATCAACATGATAGTGCAGGTAACTGTTTATTTGTAGGATTATGAAATATCACCTCTTACCTTTTTCCACTTTGCCAGGTAGCTCTTAGCACTATTTCTTTTTTAACCAGTAATTGTGGCTATTCTCTCACCTCTTTCCCATCATGCTCTCCCTCCCAATGAACATTATTATCCCTGTGCCCCACCCTGCCACACTCCAGGGTGCTCCACAATAGAATCCGATACTCTGTATAGACAAGACACCAAACCCACTTATAATGAATTAAACACTTGTGTGAAGTATTTGTATTGTATGGAGAATATACCATGAATATTGAATATCCAAAGCAGCACAGAGGAACAATAGGCAAGTTTACACAGATTGGCTAACTGAAGCGGGCACTAGCAAGGCTGCAAGGCAAGAGACCCACGGAACTGATGGCAGCTGCCTGGAGGGACAGACACATGTATTCCTGACGGGGAACCCTGAGTCCTCGGAGCAGGACTCCCAGTACCTGTCCTCACCAGGAAGGCAAAGCATGCCCATTCCTAAGATGGGGTCACAGTGAAAGTTCACAGCTGGCCCTCTTGCCCTCTGCCTGGATAGATTCGCCAGCTGCAAAGCTCAGGGCCAGGCCCCCACCAAAGAAGTTACATACCATAGGCGGCAGAAAAGTCTAGAAGTGGCTAAATTGACAATGCTGGAATGCAAGTCAACACTTACACCATAAGGGAGATTAAAAAGTGAACTTCACCTGTTCTTGCTACTGAGTCCCAGCTCAGGATGCTTGAGTTTCTAACCTGAGAGAAAGGTGGGACCCAAGTAACCATGCACAGGTGGCCAGGGTGATGGAATAAGCTCTACCAGGTCCCTCCTTGGCTGGAGGGGAAACCGAGAAATGAGACACTCAGGAGAGGGCAGGCTGGGGACAGACTCAGAGCATGGCCCTGCCTAGCTTGGGGCCAACTAGAGTGCCCCAGCCGAGCTCCACCGCCTGGCCGCCCGACGCTGTCTAAAAAGCCCCTCGGAGCCCAGGAAGGGGAGAGGGCAGCCCTGTAGCCAGGCGGGACTCACCACGTCCATGATCTGCAGGAGGCTCAGGGAGAAGTAGACGGTGAGTGGTTGCGAGTCATTGGCCACGGGCCTCTCCAAGGGATTGTAGTTCTTGACCAGCTCCTTGTAAAGCTTCCTCTGGAACTCGCCTTGCAGGGACACTTAAGGAGAGAAGACCCGGGCAGGGGGCTCAGGGCAGGCCGGCGGGGGTACCCCCGACTCCCTCCTGCCGGCGTCCCCCGCCGCCCACCCGGTGCAGCCCAGACAAGCAGCCCCCGCAGCGCCCCCGCTGCCCCTCCCCGGCGGCGGGGAGATCCCAAACCTGGCCCAGGCGCGGGGCGCACAGAGGCGCCCGGGATGTGCCCGGGATCCCACGGAGGAGTGGAGGGCGGGGAGGCAGTGGCTTTACCGTGCAGGAGCGACGCGGCCAGCGCCAGCCAGACGCCTCCCGGCGAGCAGCGCATGTTGAGTCCCGGAGCTGCAGCGAGCCGGCGCGCTCCACGTCTCGGCTGTCGCCCGGGCCTGCGCCTGCGGCCACAGAGGCACCTCGCCGCTCGGCTCGCGCGCCTTTAAGGAGCCGGGCGCGCGCCCCCGCCCCGCCCGCCCCCGCGCGCCTCTCCACGTGACGAGCCCCGCCCCCGCCCCCGTCCCCGCCCCCCCATCCCTCCAGCCCGGGCCAGCGTCTCGGCGGCCACCCAGGGAACTGCAGCCCGAGGTGTGAGCGGGAGGTACTCCCGGCGCTGGGTACGCTCCGGGCACCTCCACCCCCAGTCTCCACCGAGCGGGCTCTCGGCCTCGCGCCTCTGGCCAGGCCAGGGGCTGCCCAAGGCCAGGCTCTACCTCTCCCTTGCGTTCTTTGTCCCCACTCAGCCCGCTCCCGCTCTCAGCCAGAAGCTGCGCTGGGCACTCGGGAGAAAGCCGGGACAATTCTGGGGTCCAGTCTTCCCGGACTCCCTCCTCCACGCCAGCGACCGGGTGGCAGCTATAGGGAACCAGGCTTCGGAAGTCTTGCCAACCAGACAAAACAGACCCGAGGAAGCCCCCCTCCTCCCGCTTTCCGCGAGCCCCGGTTTGCTTTCCGCACCGTTTGCTGGGCGCCAGCAGCCAGACTCTCGGCTGGGATCTGAAGTGCTGGAGGCACCCTGTCGGGGAGGAGAGATGCCGCCAATGTGTGTGATGGGATTCCCAGTGGTTACCCTAATGTATGGCTCATTCTTTTTTAAAGGAGATTAAAAAAGATTGAAAAGTTAACTCCTAACTCTTTGCTGGAAGGACAGCCAGAACTTGGTGTTCTTATCTAGGCTCTTTTGAGCCAGCGCATTGGAAAGAGTAAATGAGGAGAGGCTCTGAGAGGTCCAGGGAGTGCGGAGAGTTCTTGATGTTGAAGAGGGGGCTTGATTTTGGAAAGAGGAAGGGAGGGAGGAAGGCGCCAAGGGGCGGCTTCCAGGGTGGCTGAAGCTCCATCCCATTTGCTCCCTTCTGCTGAGCACAGCAGCGCCCTGCGTCCGCGTAGGGGGCGCTGCCACCTTCTTTCCTGCAGCCCCCGGGCATCCGAGCTCCACCAGAGCAACTCCCGTGGACCACGCAGCGGCAATGCCTGGGTTTCTGAACTGCCGAAAACCACGGGATTCTTTTAAGACTCCAAGAACTAGGGAAAGGCTCACCAAAAGGTGACTGAGCTTGACTGTACCCCAGTAGCAGGAATGGGGGACTGAGCCCAACTATTTGATTTGGAAGAATAACGCAGTATATTGCCCTTGCCATGAAGTGTCTTAAGTGTATTACTGTTAATGTACACATGTTTAAACAAAGGGTCAGCATAGGCTTTCATAACTGCGGTAAGAGCCTAGAAGAAGGATTAGCTGTTTTTGGAGAGTGGTTAATAGAAGAGGTGACAGCTGAACTGGATTCACCTCAAAGGATAGCAGTCATTCTGCCAGGAGAAAGGGACGCCAGGGGTCCCTGGAGAGCAGACAGGCGTGCCCTTAGCTTCATCTGGCTCTTGAGTCCCCCTACCACTTCTAGCAGTCCGGACATCACAGAGCAGGCACTTGATGAATTAATTATCTACAGGGGATTAGTTGTTGGTAAAGGGAGAATTAGAAGAAGGGAAATAAAACCCAGTAGCAGAATAGAGAAAGCCCATGAAGCATCAGTGAAAAGATTCTCAGTGGCACATCCCCTGCACTGGTCATGGGACTGTAACAACACTCTTCTACGAGCGCTGAAAGTACCTAAGAGCCCTGTCTTCCCTTCTAGAAGAGCATGAGCCCATGGGGCCAAGGGAATTTATTTATTTTTTCTGGAGTATGGCTATCAGGATCACATTCCTGAAACCAGAACTGCTTCTTTACCGCCATTGCACCCCATAATATCAGAAACCTAGAAATAAACCATTTTCAGGTGAGACAAGCAATTCGTAAATATTTATTTGTCCTCTGTTCTCGCTAGGCACCTGGAGGACCTGCAAGCGCAGTCCACTCACTCAGCTTACAATGTAGGACTGCTGGAAGTTGGAAAATAAACTTCAGTCTCCCCTGTGCCATAGGTAGGTCTGTGAGTTTGGCTGTATTGACTCCCATCTATGGGACTCAGGTTTTTCATTTGTGAAACGAAGAAAAGAGCAGAACATTCTTGGAATAGAGCTGACGGGACTGTATAGGTTCTACACTCACTCCCGTTCCCAAAGCAAAAAAAAAAAAACAAAAAAAAAACAAAAAAAAAACAGCAAATAAAACATAGCAGGATGTGAATACATGCCTGGGCATACCAAAAATATAGATTCTATGGGTAAGAGGGAAATTTTAACACACTCTCAGGAGGTAAGGTGACCTTGGGCTTGGGGCCTATGAGAGGTGGGGAACTGGAACTGAGATATTCACATAAATCCAGAAATTGGTGTAATCTCCTTTCCAGTGTAAAAAAGACCAGGAAACCTCAACCATTAGCCAGGGAAGTGGAAGGAAGCATGTTTTCTGCTTGGGCTCCGGATAGGGGGAAAAAGATAATTACACATTTAAAAACCAAAAAGTGCATTAGGCTTAGGTGTGGAGTCCAAATGTGTATTATATGGTTTAGAATTCAAGAATTCCTCTGGAGGAAGATTTAGTAACTTTACACACATGGGACTCCAAAAAATGCCCCCAAATCGCAATATCCATGAAAATCAGTTCAAAATAAAAAATATAAACCATTCAAGGAAACAAACTCTACATCATCCTAGGCCATCGTCAATTAGGGAAAGTCAGTAGGCAGAGTAAACAGGAAAATGTGTGCCTCACAATTTGAGATAATAGGACACTGAAAAATAAACTATAAAATTTGTGGCCGGGTGCAGTGGCTCACACCTGTAATCCCACCACTTTGGGAGGCTGAGGCAGGTGGATCACCTGAGGTCACGAGTTCGAGACCAACCTGGCCAACGTGGCCAAACCCCGTCTCTACTGAAAATACAAATATTAATCGGGCATGGTGGCAGGCACTTGTAATCCCAGCTACTCGGGAGGCTGAGGCAGGAGAATCGCTTGAACCCGGGAGGCAGAGGTTGTGGTGAGCCCAGATCATGCCATTGCACACTAGCAGGGCAACAGAGCGAGACTCCATCTCAAAATAAATAAATAAATAAAAATAATAAAAATAAATAAAATTTGTACGTTTAAAATGGTAAAGCTAGTTATCATAGTGGGTGATGTCCATTGCAGTGATAATCCTCAATTCTCATTGGCTTACCACAATGAAAGTTTCTTTCTCCCTCACACCACAATCAAAAAGGTCAGATGACTTTGCTGGGTGGCTACCTTCCTCCCCAGGTCTTTCAGATATAAAAGATCCTTTCATTAAATGGAGAGTGAATGTAAGACAAAAGCACTATTCAAAGAATAAATTCTGAGAACTTTTCAATATTTACAAAAGACATCAAACCACAAATTCACTTGGTCATGGATTTGATTACTGCTGAATTTAATTTGTTAGTAGATTTTAAAAGAATTTTCTATGTATATCCATGAAGGATATTGCTCCATCATTTTCATTTCTTGTAATTTTATCATCTAATTTTGGTAGAAGATCTTATGCTTCCTCCTCCTCTACTTTCTGAAATAGTTTGTGCAAGATATAATTTGTTTCTTAAATGTTTGATGAAACTAACTAGTGGAACTATCTGTGTCTGGAGTTTTTGTGGAAAGATTATTTTCTTAACGTTAACCCAATTTTTAATAGATATGTAGTACAATTCAGTTTCTATTTCTTCTTGGGAAAAGCTTACTAAATTGTATTTTTTTTTACAAATGTGTTTATTTCATTTAAGTTATTGCATTTATTGACATAAAGTTGTTTATTATGTGCCTTTATTACCTTATGTATATATATAGGCTATGTGGTGATACCTCCTCTTCATTACTGTTTCAAGGAATTTGTGTTTTCTCCTGTTTGTTCTTGATTACACTTACTAAGGTTTAACGATATTACTAATCTTTTCATGGTACAACTTTTTGCTTTTTCTCAATTTTTTTTTTGAAATTTCAGTGATTTCTATTCTTGTGTTTCTTATTACCTTCTACTTATTTGGGGTTTAATTTGCTCATTTTTTACAAACTTCTTGAAGTGTAAACTGAGGTTGCTGATTTTAGATTCATTTCAAATGTAAGCATTTAAATATGCAAATTTCCATCTGAACACTACTTTAGTTGCCTCCTCCTAATTTTGATATGTTCTATATTCATAACCTCCAGTTCAAAATATTTTCTAACTTCTTTGTGATTTCTTCTTTGACCGATGATTTACTTCAAATTGTGCTTTTCTGTTTCCAAAACAGCACAGTTTTTTCTAGATATATACTATTCTTAGATATTGTCAGTCTCTCAAAATATTTGTTCTAATTACACTCCCAGCACAATGTATGAGTGATCTAGTTGCCTCACATAATTCATCCACTTGTCTTTGACTTAATTTCAGATTTTTTTGGCTTATGGGTAATTTGATCTCAATGTGGCTTTTAATTTGCATTTCCCTGATGACTAAAGAAGTGGAGCAGCTTTTCATGTGTTTATTGTTATTTTGGATATCCTTTGTGAACTGATTTTTCAGGGTTTTTTGTCCATTTTTCTATTGTGTTGTCTGCCTTTTTCTTATTTATTTGTAGGAATTAATTCTTCATTCAGAAGGAGTCCTTTGTCAGACATTGATATTGAACATAATTTTTAGAACTCTGGCTTCATTTAACTTTCTTAATGGTATCTTTTGGTGAATAGATATTCTTAATCTCAGTGTAGTCCAATTTATCAACGCTTCCAATCACAGTTTGCATTTTTTGTGTTGTGCTTTAGATCTCTTTGTCTACCCCAAGGTCGTGAAGGTAACATCCTATGTCTTCCTAGAGTTTTATGGTCTTACCTTTCATGTTGATATTTGTCACCCATCTAGAATTAAATTTTGTGTATGCTATGAAGTATGGTAGGAATAGGGATTCATTGTCTTATATGAATATTAAATTGACTCTATACCACTTAATGAAAAAGTAATCTTTCTTCCTGCATTGCCATGTCACCTTTGTGCATCACATAACAGTGTATATATGTGGGTCCAGTCTATTTGCTTAGACTTGCACCAATATCACACTCTCTTAATGACTATAGCATTATAGTAGCTCTTTATACATGGTAGTGTTAATTTTCCTCCTTTTTAGTATTTCTTCAAGATTGTCTTGAATATTCTTGACCCTTTTCATTTTAATAGAATAAAATAATTTATTTTATATTAACTTTACTGGGATTCTATAGAATTTTTAGATCAACTTGGGAAGGACTGATGTCTTTACTGAGTCCTGTAATATACAAACGTGATGTTTTCTTCCACTTATTTAGATCTTGTTTAATTTCTCACAATAATATTTTGTAGTCTTCAACACAGGTATTTTGGCACACTTTCATAAGAATTATTCATAGACATTGGTGTCTTTTGATGCTATTAAAATGACAGATTTTTTACATTTAATTTTAAAACTGTTGCATGTATAGAAATATACATGATATTTGCATATTGGTCTTTTATCCAGTGAAGTTCTAAACTCTCCTATTGATTATAATGGTTTTTCTGTAGATTATCCGTCCCAATCCTTATTCATCTATTTCTTTTTCTTGGCCTGTTTCACTCACTATGACACTAGCTGGGACCATCAAATTCAATACTGAGTAGAAGTCATAGCATACTGCTTTGTCTCATTTCTGGTCTCAGGCAGAAGGCCTTCAATAATTCACCACTATATTCGTTTCCTAGCACTTCCATAACAAAGTACTGAAAACTCGGTGGCTTAAAACATATAAATGTATTGTCTTACAGTTCTGGAGGCTAGGAGTCTGAAATCATGATGTCAGCATGCCCCTGCTGAGACTCTGGGGAGAACTTTCCTCGTCTCTTCACAGTTTCTGGTGGTGGTTGGCCATCATGGATGTTTGTTGGCTGGCAGCTATGTCTCTCCCATCTCTGCCTTCATCTTCCATTGTTGTTCTCCCTGTGTGTCTGTGTTCAAATTTCCCTCTTCTTATAAGGACACCAGTCATATTGGATTAGGCCCCAACTTAATGTCCTCATCTTAATTTGATTGCATCTGCAAAGACCCTATTTCTAAATAAAGTCACATTCATAGGTATTAGGGGCTAGGATTTCAACATATCTTTTGTTGGAGACATAATTCAACCCACAACAGCCACTAAGTAAAATGTTAGCTATAGTTTTTTGTTGTTCTGTTTTGTTATTTTATTTTTTAGATAAACCTTTTCACAAGGAGGAAATTCCCTTCTATTCCTACTCAGATAACAATCCTTAAAAATCACAAATGAGGGTAGAGTTACATCTTTGTAAAGTGTCTATTAAGATGAGATTGTTTTTATCCTTTTTTCATTAGTATTTTGAATTGCAATGACTTTTTATTGTTGAGTTAACCCTACACACAATACAAAGATCTACATTATTGATCAGATTTATATGAAATTCAAGTCTTGTTCAGCACCAAGCTTTACTAATGATTAGTAAAAGATGCAAGCAAGAGCAGCAACATGCACCACTTCAATATCTGGGAGACCCTGAGCTCTTCACACTCAGCTCTCTGTGTCTCCTTTTTCTACTCAGAGTGAATTTTGCCTTCAGAGTGAGGAGTGCAAACTGCATAGAGGACAAGTTAGTGCAAGAAAGCAACTGGGTTTAGTTATCACTCAGCTTTTATATCCTCCAAGGCAGGCAGCCCTGTACTGGCTACATGACTAACTTCTATTGTCCAATGCAGAACTGCAGCTCGTAAATTGCAGATCTATTTATAACAAATATTATAGACAAGCTAGGTGTTTTGTCCTGAAAGTGCTCCTGGATCCATAGTCTGTACCTAGCAACCCTTGCTGAAGTTTCACTTACGGTGTAGCTGGTGTGTTTCATCAGCCGTCCTTTGCTAGGAGTTTGGGTCACAATTAAAACTGTCTCAGAGGCTGGAGGAATGAGTTACAGACACACTGTTTACCCATTCCTTCCCATTTTGCAATTCTGAAAAGTAACACATTTGGTTATTATTTTTAAAAGTATTGTTGAATTTGTTTCACAATTATCTCCTTAGAACTTTACATTTATCTTTATCAAAGGAAACATGCCTCATATTTTCTTATTTTAATAATAAGCTTGTAAGATTTTGGTACCAAGATTATGCTGGCCTCATAAAATGAGTTGGGAATTATTCCCCATTTTTTATATTCTGAAAGTGTGTAAGCTTTGTGTTATGTGTATATTTTCTCCAAAAGTTATTAGAAAAATTAACCAGGGAAGTCATCTAACTTGATATTTCCCTGTCAGAAGGCTTCATTTTGTAATTTTTTCCATGGAAACATATGAACAGAAAAATCAAGTCATAAGTTTCAGAAGTTTGCTTATCTGAGCACTTTTTAATACCACTTTGAAGATGTGTTAGATAATGCCAACATCTCATCATTGATGTCTGTTGCTTGTCTTTTCTAATGAAAGTTGAAGGTTTTTTTGTTTTATTCTTCAAATGCAATATAATTTTGGATTTTATACTGCACATTTTGAATATTATGTTGTGAGCCCCTTCTTGTTTAAATTTTGTTCAAATCCTATAAAAAGTGTTACTATTTATGTTTTAGCCTTCTGTAGGCTGTGGTTCCCATATCAGGCCAGTTTTCGAAGCCTTTCAGTAATATTCACATTTGTCCTAGACCTGTACCACTTACTTAGTGGTCAGTTAGGAAAATGAGCAAAGGTCTACTGGCTATCTCAGTTCTCAGAGTCTTTAGTGTGCTGATTATGATCAGGACCGTGAACGTACAGGTCAGAGGTGAGTCCTTGAGCTGATAAACAGTGTTATGGGGTCACTTTCCCAAGCTTGCGCTCTGCTATCTCTCCAGTACTTTCTGGTTTCCTGACCTTCTCTTTTTCAGTCCTCTGACCAAAAACTGCTCTGTTCCATAATTACAGTCTATACCGGGCCCATACAGTGCAGAACAGAAAGAAAAATGGAAACACCTGGGATTGACTCTACCCTCTTGGAACTATAGCCACACCAAATGCTAGAGGGAGATTCCCTCTCTCAGATACTTAACTCCTTCAGTTTTTCCATTGCTGGCTGTCTTTGCTCTTCCTGCTACCCACATTATACAATTGCCTGGGGCTAGGGTGCAAGAACTGAGGAAATGGGGAGAAAAAATGGGGGATTTCTCTCTCTTTCTCTACATTTCCCTTTTCTGGTCTTTGAGCCTGAGCTAGAGAGTTTCTGTTGTTTCTATTTCCGCACCTCAGTGCTTAGTTCTGGTTTTCTAACTGCGTTGAATTCAGACTGGGAAATAACGCAAGGAAAAAAAGATTAAACTCGCCAGCAGTTCATGTGTATTTTGATGGTATTCTGATGGTTTCTTCCTTTGATCTGCCTACTGATGTTTATTTTGCAGAGTTCCCAAATTGCTGCCTATGCATTCTGTTCAGGTTTTATAGGTTGTATTCAGTAGGAAAGGGTGTGTTTACCCCATCTTCCCTGGAACTAGATCTGGAAAGTTACTTTTCCGTTTTTTTTTTTTTTTTTGAGATGGAGTCTCACTCTGTCACCCGGGCTAAAATGCAGTGGCGTGATCTCGGCTCACTTAAACCTCCACCTCCCAGGTTCTAGCATTTCTCCTGCCTTAGCCTCCCGAGTACCTGGGATTACAGGTGCACGCCAAGGTGCCGGCTAATTTTTTGTATTTTACTAGAGGCGGGTTTCACCGTGTTGCCCAGGCTGGTTTCAAACTCCTGAGCTCAGGCCATCCACCCACCTTGGCCTCCCAAAGTGTTAGGATTACAGGTGTGAGGCACCGCACCCAGCTGGAAAGTTACTTTTTATATCTGCTATTTACTTAAGATTACCAGTATAATTTATATAGGCATAGTTAATTAATTTTATCAACATATGGTTTCTTAATTCACTCTCTTTCCCCCTACGTTTACTCTTTCTATAAACATATATCTTTACTTTTAGTGAGTCTCTTTATATGGTAAGTTCTCTGCCATCGTATGTCTATAAATGTCTTTATTTTCCATTTGAATTGTGTATTTTTTGTCAGAATAAAGGAAAACGGAAAGCAGTTTAGACCAAGTGTACCACTTGATGAGTTATTACAAAATAAATGTCCCTTTAACTCCACCCATAAATTAGAGAGAACTTGGCAGCAACCACAGAAGGTTCAGGCCACCTTCCCAAGACAAGCACCATCCTCCCCTAACAAGACTAACTCCTGCTCTAGCTTTTCTGGAAATACCCTTATTACTCTTTATTATTATTTCATTATCTAGTTGAGGAGCCCTAAACAGTGAGTTTAGGTTAGCCTGATTTTTAAAAATTTCTCTCTGTATCTTCCTAAACTGAAAGATTTTTTTTTCATTTTAGAAACCAATCCTGTAGAGTCAAGATTCTGCTGATTCTGCTGATTGCATTCCCATGGTAGAGTTTAATGTTTCATTTATCCTCTAGATTTCCTGCAGATTAGTAGTTGAATCTATAAACTTAATCTGATTCAGATTTCACTTTGGGGAGGAAGATTACACCATCGGTGCTGTTGTGTTCATTGTGTTCATTGTCAAGAGGCACACAATATATACTTATCTTTCTTTCTTTCTTTTTTTTGAGACGGAGTTTCGCTCTCGTTGCCCAGGCTGGAGTGCAATGGCACGATCTTGGCTCACTGCAGCCTCCGCCTCCTGGGTTCAAGTGATTCTCCTGCCTCAGTCTCCCAAGTAACTGGGATTATGGGCACCCGTCACCATCCCCGGCTAATTTTTGTATTTTTGGTAGAGATGAGGTTTCACCATGTTGGCCAGGCAATCTCAAACTCCTGATCTCAGGTGATCTGCCCACCTTGGCCTCCCAAAGTGCTAGGATTACAGGCATGAGCCACTATGCCTGGCCTTATCTTTCTTTTTTTGTAATTAGTAGCAATAGATTCTTAGAAGCTAGTACTTAGATTTGTTTGATTTGTAGGTGTTGCAAAGTGGCAATGCTCCAGTTCTATCATTCCCTCTTCCTTTAAAGATATCCGCACATCTGCCATTAGCTTCTGAGTGGTAGTTTGCACAGGAAAGGAAGTATACATGTTCCCTTTATTTATGAGATTTTAACACAGATACCTGGTCCCTTAGTGTCCTATAAAGTTAACTAATCAGGTAGGGGTGTGTGTGTGTGTGTCCAGGTGTCCATGCCAACTGCCAACTTCAGATAGCATAATTCAACAAGAGTCGCAGCTATGGAGCTACAAAGTCCATCCCAGTATTTGTGATAGGCCATGTCTCACAACATCCTGCTTCTTGTTCCCAGGAAAACTGTTCCTAAGAGATGCTGAACTCTGCTGACAACCAACTTGGGCTCAAGGGCTCTCAATGCTCCTGCTGAACCTTTCTTCCTGGCAGTCCAAGACTCTTCAATGCCATGTTTCCTCCCTCCCTCCTTCACTTGGGATCAGATACACATTGCAGTCTGATAGATCTCCAGACTTCTCTAGCATGCGCCCTACTTTTTTCCCACAGGGTCTTTTCCTCCAATAAAATCCTTTCACATTTAATTCTATATTGGTGGATCTGGACTAATACAGTGTATCATTATGAGCTCACAGAGAACCCTGTTTGGTGTGTTTTGATTACGGTCGTTATCCTTACTGATCCTCAAGTTGCCCCATGGTTTGGTGAGTGCCTGTTCTACAGGTTGACTCCCAAGTTCCTTTAGCGCAATCCTGCTGGTCTTGGCTGGTGCCCTTGCTCTCTGTGGTACGATGATATTCTGAGCTCCTCTGTTTATTTTCTATATTTCCCACCCCAGACCTAGAATTAGCTATTTCAACTATTTCTCTAAGAAACTCTGGTACCTTTTAGTTGCAAATGTTATTTTTGGGCCTCGTCAGTGGACAGATTTAGGATACCTATCTATCTATGAAAAATATCCTATGAGTTCAAATTTAGGATTTCAGAGTGCTTACTTAATCTTTTCTATTTCACACTTGCAGCTTCTAAAAGTCTTGGTTCTGAAGGGCCCTGGGGATTCAAATAACACATGTATTGCTTATTTTCTTCATCTCACATTTCAAGCAAAACATAAGGAGAGTAGCAATAGCAACATTGTCACCAACATGATTATAGAGAAGCATTTAAAAATTGTTTTGCATATGCTTTTTCCATTTTCTCTTTCCCTTTTTAGAAAATTCTGCTTTCCACCCATTGTCAAAGTATATAACTATTACATGCTCTACTCTCCCTCATATCGCAGATTTCGTCTTAGCTCTCCATGGAAATATATATTTAATGCTCAGCCAGTCTTTATGCCACTGTCTCTCCAGTAATGTTCATTATTTAAACCTCATTCTCAGTACATTATGAAGAAAGGGCCCATGGAAAATATTCTGTATGTTATTCCATATTGATGACAGTTTGCTCCCTTTATACTTGAAAGTCAGTTTGTTAGGATATAAAATCCTCAGCTCATTTTTTAAAAAGTTGAGTATCTTTATAATGTTCCTTTTATTCTGGCACAAAATGCTGCTCTTGAAAGTCTGATAAGCTAATTTTCTCTTTGTTTTACATCACTTTTTTCCTTTTTTTCCCCTAAATATTTAAAAAGAAAGAGAAAGGACATTTTCTTTTTAACTGTGTTTTGGTGTTGGTTGTTCTGAGTTGACTTTCCCAGGTATGCAATTTATTATTTCATTGTTTCAAATCTCTTGTTTATAAAATATTTTTTTCAACAAAATGCCATTCTTAGTACTTGTTTTCTTCCCTTATTTGGGATTTCTTCTTGGACCTGTATGTTGTGTTTTTTGTGGTTGGGGTGGTAGTCTTTTATATTATCACTTTCACTCAAATTCTTGGCATATCTTTAAAAAATTTTTTTTAAACTGTCCTCTTTTTCCACTTTTCTTAAGACACTATGTTGTGATTATTCGCATTTCTGTTGTGTTTATTTATAAGATTCTGTTTTTAAGTTTATTTTTCCCTGAATTCTATCTTTTTTTTTTTTTTTTTTTTTTTTTTTTTGAGACAGAGTCTCACTCTGTCGCCCAGGCTGGAGTGCGGTGGCGCCATCTCGGCTCACTGCAAGCTCCGCCTCCCGGGTTCATGCCATTCTCCTGCCTCAGCCTCCCAAGTAGCTGGGACTACAGGTGCCCACCACCATGCCCAGTTAATTTTTTGTATTTTTAATAGAGACAGGGTTTCACCGTGTTAGCCAGGATGGTCTCGATCTCCTGACCTCATGATCCACCTTCCTTGGCCTCCCAAAGTGCTGGGATTACAGGCGTGAGCCACCACGCCTGGCCCCTGAATTCTATCATTTAATTTACACTGTTCTTTTGTTTTTTCCATCTATTTTCTTAGACAATTACTTTAAAAGTTATAGGATATAGATTTCTATAAACAATCAAAGTGTATCCCTCTGTTGGTACACTTTTAATCCTTTCATCAAAATGTCGTTCTGGCAAGCATTTAACATTTTTTCCATAGAATGTTTGCATTCCTTTGATTTATTTCCCTGTTACTATCTTTACATGACATTATAGTTCTAAATTTTCAGAATGGAGGCATGATTTAGAAGCGTTTCTTGTATCACAGCTCTCGAGTACTGTGGTAGTTTTGTAATGTGCCTATTTGACAAGGCCAAACTGTTTTTCAGAATTCCCTTCACTGTATTTTTTTGGCTCGACTAGAGAGGTTTTTGGGGGAGCTTTGGAAGGAAGACCTGGAACATCAGCCATTTTGAAGCTTACAGGTATTGGAACTGATCTGCTGACTCACTTTCTTGGTGTGAAGCAGTGGCTGGGCTTCATCCTCCACTGGATCTTCCTTCAGCTTCTGCATCTTCTGGGCCAAGCATGTGTTTAGCTCCATGACACAGAGCCACAGCTTCTGCAGGATACCACTTCCACTAATGTCGGGGGCAGCAAGTCTGACCCAGATGTCATCCCATCCTCACAAGGTTCCAACATGTGCTTGTGAGTTCCTGCTTGCTGTTGCTCTTCCCCACTGTACAGACATCTTCCCTTCCTGGCTAACTGCCTCGGTGTGAACTCCAGACTGCAGCTCCAGAGGCAAATATAACAGCTTCTCAAAGGCTGGTGAAGCAGCTCCTAAGATTTGCTGTTACACAATCATGCACACAAACACGCACACAGACATGCTAGTGGTGCTGCTTCTCTGATTGAATTGTGACTGCTAACACAAGTGACCTGTTGTTTTGAGAAAGTGTTCGAAAACATGGCATTTTGCTTTCTAGGAGTCTGACTCTATTCGCCTCCCCAGTCATAACTGGATTTTAATTCCCGTTTTCTCTATTGTTATCTCCATCCAGTTCAATTTGAACTCTGCCCTTCCAGTTTCCTCCTATTTTGGGGCTTTGTCCTGAAGGGAGGTTTGCTTATTATTACTGAGCGTTTTCAGGACCTTGTCTGCTCTGCTGTCCTTTCTGAGATATTCTGGCTCTCCCTGGCTTTAAGAATGAGCAAATCCTTCCCAATTCCAGCTGCTTTCAAAAGTTGGCCTTCTGGGGATTTCCAGAAAGTAGCCATTGGCAGGGTGTATTAGTCAGGGTTCCCTAGAGAGACAGAATTAATAGGATAGATGTATATATGAAGGGGAGTTTATTAAGGAGTATTGATTCACATGATCACAAGGTGAAATCCCACAATGGCCGTCTGCAAGCTGAGGAGCAAAGAAGCCAGTCCTAGTCCCAAAACCTCAAAAGTAGGGAAGCCGACAGTGCAGCCTTCAGTCTGTGGCTGAAGGCCCAAGAGCCCCTGGCAAATCACTGGTGTAAGTCCAAGAGTTGAAAAGCCGAAGAACTTGGAGTCTGATGTTGGAGGGCAGGAAGCATCCAGCACAGGAGAAGGATGAAGGCCAGAAGACTCAGAAAGCTAAGTCCTTCCAAATTCTGCCTGATTTATTCTAGCTGTGCTGGCAGCCAATTAGATGGTGCCCATGCAGATTGAGGGTAGGTGGGTCCACCTCTCCCAGTGCACTGACTCAAATGTTAATCTCTTTTGGCAACACCCTCGCAGACACACCCAGGAACAATACTTTGCATCCTTCAATCCAATCGAGTTGACACTCAATATCAACCATCACACTGGGCTTGCCATGTAATTTTTGTGAGACCCAATGTAAAACAAAAATGTAAAACCCTTGTTCAAATTAAGAAAGAAAAAATGTTTTCCCTTTTTTCTGTGATCTCTCTCCGAACCTGTTCTGGTGACTTTTATTTGCTGTTTAATGTTGTACTCACTTGAGCCCAGGAATACCTGTGGGGTGAGTGCAAACCTTTATAGGCCCCAAAGCCCCAATCCACAGTTCCCTTCATTGGGGCGCACATGCCCAACCCCAGGCCTCCTGGTGCCAGGTCCCCACAGGAGATGAAGCGTGGCTGAGGTCCTTGGGCAGAGGCAGGGAAGCAGAGGGCTGAGAACACATTATGCAGAGGCAGGGAGGCAGTGAGACCCAGGGCCACACAGGTGCTGAGTCTCCAAACCCCTGGTGCATGCTCCATGTACTATTGGACAAGTTTAAAGATGAACTCATTAAGAATTTCTAGACAGCAACTGCTGATCAATCACTAACTTCCCAGTGAGAGCTCCTTCTGGGCACTGGTGGCAGGGCCTTAAAGTCAGGCCTGCCTTCTAGTCAGTCATACTGAAGGCCTCAGGCCTGTCAGACAACCATTGTTCTCTCTTCTGCCAGAGCCGTGCATGTCTTTTGGAGGTCAGTGGTTCATATCTCTCCTCTTGTGTTTTGAGCTCTTAGGGACACTGGGTTATCTAGCTTTACCGTAGGAGATAGCTACTGAATTTGTGTTTTGCTGTCTCCATTTCTGTGTGTTCATGGGGGCGCCTAGAGAAATTCAAAAACAATACTGCTACTTGTACCATCTTCCAAAAACCCTTGAAAAATTTTTTAATCTGTATATAAAATTCTCATTTGATACTTGTTTATATTCAGTCCTTTTGAAGATATTATTCACAATGTTCTGACAATTGCTTTTGCAAACTCTATGACCATTCTCTGTCATTCCTAGGTAGCTACCTTATCTTTTCTCTTCAAAAGCTTTTAAGATTTTTTTTTCCATCTTTGGGTTCACTAAGACATGCCTTGGTGTGTATGTTTTTATTTATCTCACTTGATACTCCTAGTCAATTTTAATTTGAAAGCTCCCTTACCTTACAAAATATCTGAATTCTCTGTTGTAAAATTGCTTTTCTGCCATTTCCTTTGGTTTCTTATTCTGAAATTCCAGCCAAATTTATGTTGGAAACTTTTACTTTTCCTTTGCTTTCTAATCACTGTCCTTTCATTAACTTTTATTTGTCTCTAACTCTGAGGTTGGTGGTGGGTGTGTGGACTGTATTTCCCTATTTGCATGGGATAGTTTGGTCCCTGCATGTTGTCCCTGTGAAATTACTATGCCCTTTTCACTTTCAAAAATTTCCCTGTTTAGAAGGTCCTCACTATGATCTATGATCGGTGATCCTCACTTTTACTTTGAATTCATTAATCGTCTAAAATGTATTCATTCTGTCCATTGAGGTTTATAAATGTCATTGTCTATATGTTTTCACTTTTATTATTTTTAATTGTTTGAGTCCACTTAATCTTATTTCATTTCCACCTGTTTTGTTTCTAGGTTGCCTCTTTCCTGGTCCTTAGCCAAGGGAAGCAGGCTTTTGTTGAGACTTTTTGTTTTGTCTGTACCTGTTGGCAGTGTTTGGAATATGCAAGGCAGAAATAAATCCCAGGGAGCTCGCTGCTGAGTTATTTTTCTGTCCTGACATCCCTAGTTGGTCTCCCTTTTTCTCTCTCCCCTTCAGCATCTGATGTTTGTTTTCTGTATAATGTTCAGGGCTTAGCTGGAGAAATGGGGAGAACTCTGTCATTCCATTTGGTTCCAGAACTAGTTGCCCCTGCTGCCTATTTTTATGATGTTATTATTTTCATTAGTTTTTTCAGTGAAAATATGCTTTATTTATTGGCATTTTGTGGGAAGAGGCTAGACTTTCTTAGCATAAGAATTCCTTATGTGTTTGGGAACTTTATTTTCCATGTCCCTCTCCTCCCTATTCTACTATACCTAACAATTTTGCAACTGACAATATCTACATCCTTGGACCCTCAGTCCGAAACCACATTTCATCTTATTGAGTCCAGTGTGTGTTTCTCTGTGAACCTGGGGGCATTGCATATACCATCCCCAGGTCAGCAGAGGCCAGGTCCATGTCACGGTTCAGTGCTCCCAATTGGGGTTCACACTTCCCAGCTGTCCCAGGAAGCAGCAGCTTCTCCCCACCCTTCAAGAGCAGGAGGCTGTGGGGGCAGGAGGTCATTTTAAGCACTGAGATGGCTCACTTCCCATTCTTCCTGGGTGCCAGAGGCTTCCATCAGCTCTGCACCTTCTGCTTTTCTAGATTTCTCAGCCACAGATATGCTTTTCCTGTTTTACAGCCTGGTTACACATTTTTAGGTTTTATTCCCATGCATATTTTATCTATGTGATTAGAGAAGAGGGAGCCTTCAGCACAGGCTCTTTCAGTGCTGCTTTGACTTGAAGTTGAGATTCCACATTTAGCCCATCAAATAAGGAAAGATGAAGAATTTTGATGAAGGCCAAAGTCTGAGGGGCCTAAGAAAAGGTGCACTCACATGCACGGTTGTTAGGAGAGGAATTGAGAATATACATGAAAATTTGAATTTGCATCCTATTTAACACAATAATTTTATAAATTAGCCTACAGAATACAGTGAGTAATATATACATTTAAGATATATGTTAAAATATTTATTACAGTTTTGTTTACATTAACAAAAAAGAACAACACATTTCCTAAAGCCCATTGATGTGGTTTGAATGTATGTCCCCTCTAGATCTCATGTTGAAATGTAATCCCCAGTGTTGGAGGTGGTGCCTGGTGAGAGGTGTTTGGGTCCTGCGGGCAAAACCCTCATGGCTTGATGCTGTCTTCACAATAGTGAGTGAATTCTTGCAGGATCCAAAAGAGTGTAGCATCTCCCCTCCCTCTCTAGCTGCTGCCCTTGCCATGTGAAACACCAGCTTCCCCTTTGCCTTGTGCCATGACTGTAAGCTTCCTGAGGCCTCACCAGAAACCAAGAAGATGCCAGCACCACACTTCCTGTACAGCCTGCAGAACTGTGAGCCAAATAAACTTCTTTTCTTCATAAATTATCCCGCCTCAGGTATTTGTTTATAGCAATGCAAAAATGGCCTAATGCACCCATCATGAAGAGACAAGTGGATAAAGGATGGCATACCCATGAACTAGAATGCTTTGTAACCTTAAAAGAGGGACATAAATATGTACACACAGATAAGTGAATACACACAAAAAACTACATATTAACAAAGTTTATGAAACATAGAATATTATCTCATTTGGGTAAAACAGTTCTAAAAGCCAATTAAATAACTGTTGGCAGTCATTAATTGTAGTGATTGGAAATGAGGTAAGAGGCACTTTTACCTTTGTACCCTTTCATAATGTTTGCAGGTTTATTAACATACCCTTAATTGTGCTGTTATATTAAAAACTAGCCCTTATTGCTGGTGGTAATGTAAAATGGCATAGGTACTCTAGAAAATAGTTTGGCAATTTCTTATAAAAGTAAATGTATGATTAGTACAGACACAGCACTTGCACTCCTGGGCATCTATCCCAGATAAATGAAAACTCATGTTCACACAAAAACCTGTAGACACATGTTCATAGTTACTTTACTTTTAATAGCCCCAAACTGGAAACAACCCAAACATCCATCAATGGGAAAATGGTTAAATATAACTGCGATATATCACTACAGTGGATGACTACTTAGCAATGAAAAAGAATGACATTGATAAACACAAAACAGCTTGGACAGATCTTAAGGGAATTATGCTGAGTTTAAGAAAAAACAATCCTAAAAGAGTACATAGTGTATAACTCCATTTACATTTTATCCTTTAGATGGCAAAATTATAGAAATAGAGAACAGATTAGCAGGTGCCAAGGGCAAGGGATGGAGGTTGGGGGTGGACAGGTGGGTGTGGCTGTAAAAGGACAGTATGGGGGAGCCTTGTAGTGATGGAACTGTCCTGTATCTTGACTGTGGTGGAGGATGCATAACTTATGCATGTGATAAAATTGCACAGAACAAAACACACACACACAAATGAGTACATGCATGTAAAATTGGGGTAATATATACTTTTGAGATGTTACCATTGGGAGAAACTAGGCAAAGGCTACACAACATATCTCCATATTCTTTCTTACAATTACATATGAATCTAAAATTATGCCAACATTTTTAAAGTTTAATGAAAAAAGAGCAGTTATTTAATAGTGTGATTTTCTTTTCCATACAGATTGCATGAATTTCTTTGTTGGATTTTACTAAATATTTTAGAGATTTTGTTTCTATTGTAAATTGAGTCTTACTGTCTATTACATTTTCTTAACAGTTATTACTGGTTTCAAGGGATACCATTCATTTTTATATGCTGGTCTTGGATCTGGAAATGTCTCCAGATTCTCTTTGTTGTTCTTACAGCTTGTCTATTGAGTCTCTTTTTCTATGGGTTTCCAATGCAAATAGCATTTAACTGTAAAGATGTTTGTAAGAATGCATTGAGAAAAAAACCATGTAAGTTTCTTCTTTATCTGCACTCGTAAAAAAATTACACTGGTAGATTTTTCTGATAATAAAATAATATGATGTTGAATCATTTCTGATGGCATTCTTGCTTTCCTGGTATAAATGCTTCACAATCATTTTGTTTCATTAATTTAAAAATACACTCGGGTTTAATTAGCCTACTCCATTATTCCATTTCTGATTCTGAGTGTATGTTCACCCATGAAATCGGTCTGTCATTTTCTTTGCTTGTAATTTACTTGCTCTGTTTTGGTAGCAAGGTTATGAACTGACTTCATTAAATGAGTTTGGAAGCTCATCTTCAAGTTCTGTTTTCCATAACAGATTATTTAAAATATGGGTTACACATTCTTTGACAGTTTGGTAGAATTTACCCATGTAATATTGTCTGGGTTGGCAGCTTCTGGGTAAGGAGAAAATTTGATCACCATTTAAATATTTTTATTTGCTATTGGCCTTTGTAACATTTTTCTTTCTTTTGGTACCAAATTTGTTACTTTAAGCTTTTTCATAAAATTTTTTACTTCATCTAGTTTTTTTTAACTTGGTGTATAATAGTTGGACATATTTTGAGGTACATGTGACATTTTGTACCTGTATACAATGTGTAATGATCAAATCAGGGCAATCGGGACATCCATTACCCCAACCATTTATCTTTTTTGTGCATGTTGGGAGTATTATAAATCTTTCAGTTATTTTGAAATATGTAATAAATTATTGTTAACTATAATTTTTCTACTGTATTGTCAAATGCTGGAACTTATTTCATCTATCTAACTGTATCTTTGTATCCATTAAGAATTTTATATTTAGTCCTCTATAGCTGTTCATAAAATTGTTGTCAAAAATGTTTAAATCAAATTGTTTTTCAAATGTATATAAAATAAATACTTCACTCTCTAAGAGGAGAGTACTTCCAAGCCATTAATAATATCCCATTTTTTTCCCAGATACTCTTCAAATGGAATTCTTAATCTGGTTTACTTGTGCTCTTGTGGTTGAAACATCCAACTGTCATCCTAGAGTTTTCTCTTTTCATCATCTGGGGATTCTTCTTTGATTGTTTTCTGAAATTTTTTTGGTCCCATACTTACCTCTTTCTTCTATTACTGCCACATTTTAGTATAGCAAATACTTTTAAGGAAGCGTGCACAAGAATTGGCAATCACACGCTTTGAGGCCTAGCTGAAAGCATCTTCACTGTGTCCCCATATGAGATTGACTGACTGTTATACAGAAGTCTGGATTGGATATATCTTTTCTTTAGTAGGAAGGTCAAGGCATTGTTTATTGTCTGAGGTCATTTCCACGAGTCACCTTTTTTATTCGTCTTTTTAAAATCCATAATGTTGCCTCTTCCCCTGATATTCCAAAATACCACAGTGGTTAGTTTCACGCGATTCCACATCTTACACTGTGTGCAGTGGGACCTTTCAATCTGGAGGCTTATGCCCTGAGAATCTGAGAAACTTTCTAGTATTATTTCATTGTCATTTTTCTTCCTTTTTATCTGTCCTTGCCTTTCAGAAGTGTAATTATTTGGATATTGGCCCTTCCAGAGGTATTCTTTTCCCTTATACTTCATTTGTTGTTTTGCTTTAACTTTCTGAGAGAACAATTCCACTCTATCCTCTGGCCCTTCAATCAAATATTTTGTTTTTCCCATCACACTTTTTTATTTCCAAGAATTTTTTTCTGCGTGCTTTTTAAAAGCATCCTGCTTTATTCCTTGGCCTCACTCCCCACAGGCACTTAGCTTTCCGTGGACTTAGTTTGTAACATTAAGAGATGTTACAAACTTTTAAAAGTGTGAAAGTAAACTAATGGAGCTTCTCACTTTTAAAAGTTTGTAACATCTCATATCATCTTATTTGCTCTGTCCTTTTCCACTGATGCTTTACTTTTTCTCTTTATTCTGATTTCAGTGAAATTTTAAATATAGGCTTAATCTGTCATGTTTAAAAGAAGTTTCTTATAATTAAAAAAATCTAGTACATTTATGTCAATTCCTTTCATTGATATTCCACTTATTTGCATTTTAATTTTTGGGTATAACTTTGCCAGATAGCACTCTGCATAATAATCTTCCTTTTAATAACCAGGCTTCATTTTTATAGTAATCTTCTTTAAGGAAAATTGAAACAATGGCTCTAGAAGTTTGTAAATTACTAAACAAATTCTGAAAATAAAGCACAAGTTTGGACAGTTATCCTACCTTAAAATAACACATAGTACAAAACTATTGTAATAAAAAATAATGTGCTACTAGAACAGGAGTAATAGAATAGCCTGGGCAGTGCAGGCACAGCCACCCATATATTCAGGGATACAGTGTATGATGGTGGTTGCATTACCATTCACAAGAATTTGTTTATTACTGCATAAATGGTGTTGCATAAACAGACTGAGTGCCCACTGAGTGAAATGAAACTGGATTCCTACCTTACATGTGAACAAAAATAGTATTGAAAAAGTTAAAATTCTATAAAGAAAGTAAATCTGCTAAACTAACGGGTGAAGATGCAGAATTCCTTTGTGAACTCAGCTGGATAAATCCTCCTTAACAAGATCCAAGAATCACACACACGGAAAGGAAGGATTGATGGACATCACTCACTCAGAATTTATTTCTGTGTAGCCAAGGTAAAGTTAACATACAGATAACAGATGGAGGTCTACTATTTTAAGTGCCTAAAACACACAAAGTACTTCTGCAAATCAGTATGGAAAAGGCAACCATCCAATAGAAAAAGAATGGACCATGGACATGAGAAAGCTCTTCAGGTGGAAAACCAGACAGAATACCTGCCAACCGATGCATGTATGCTTAACCTCACCATCTGAGACATGCAACTCCTAACATCATATTGCCGTACTGACATCAGAGTGGCAAAATTAGAAAATTTGATCATGTTAAATCCTAGTGAGGATGTGGAGAAATGGAAACCTTTGTTTACTTTGGAAATTGAAAACCAGTGAAGCCATTCTGGAGGGCAATCATTAAAAATTATGTATGTGTATGCCACCTAACCTGGGAATTCTTCTCCAGGATGTATCCCACAAAGAAAATCTCAGTGGTAAGCACAGAGAGACCTCTACAAAATTATGCATTCAGCCTTGGTTATGAGAGCAAAGAGCTGGGGTTAATCTGAAAGCCTTCCTTACAGAAATGGATAAGGATGTGTGTTGCACTGTTTAGATCTCAACAGTGGTCCATGTAAGGAATTAGATTTATATATATCCACATATGTGTGACTAATAAACAAAGCATTATTTACATTAATCACATGAACACACAACTACTCTATATCCTACATATATTTACATGAATATATAAAAATGGTTTGAAAAGATTCTCTTTAGATAGAATGTATGTACATTGTGAAGGTCAGGGTAGGGAGTGGAATGGGAAAAGGAATGATGGATTAAATAACTAACAGAAAGAAAAGAAGGAAGGAAAGGATGGAAGGAGAGAAAGAAAAGAGAGAGCAAGAAATAGGAGGAGGAGAAGGGAGGGAGGAAGGAAGGAAGGGAGGGAGGGAAAGAAAGGAGGGAAGAAAAGAAAGAAAAAAGGGAACTTTGTACAGACTGATGGTAAGTGTGCCATAAACTGGGGCATATAGTCTAGTTAATTTTGTTCATCTGTAATTTTTTTTTTTTTTGAGACAGAGTCTTGCTCTGTCACCCAGGCTGGCACAATCTCAGCTCACTGCAACCTCTGCCTCCTGGGTTCAAGCAATTCTCCTGTCTCAGCCTCCCAAGTAGCTGGGATTACAGGTGTGCCCCACCACGCCTGCCTAATTTTTGTAATTTTTTAGTAGATTCGGGGTGTTACCATGTTGGCACCAGGCTGGTCTCAAACTCCTGACCTCAGGTGATCCACCCTTTCACCTTCCCAAAGTGCTGGGATTACAGGCGTGAGCCACTGCCCCCAGTCCATCTGTAATTTTAGAAAACAAAACCAGTTATAAATTGGATGCTAGTGACTAAAAGTCATCTGTGGAGAAATTCACAGCCCAGTTGGAGAGTTGGATAATACAGCTACAGAGATGACCATTATTCTCAGGACGACAGTAATCTTGCCACCCAGTGGAACATTACTATGTAATATGACAGAAAATCTATCAGGGGAAAACAAGACTGTGACCTTTTAGTAATCTTCCAGGGAAAAGCGTTTTTCTATATTCCATTAGCCCTGAGATTGATGATCTGGGGTTAAAGTAGAGGATCTCAAATCATGTGCTTGGATTACACAAGAGACTGGAGATTGATGGAGGGCTGCTGGGTGCCCACATCCAACCAGCTTGCGTTCCATCCAAAGTAGAACTGAGAGTTGATTGAAGAGCCCTTGTTGTGCTGTGTCATGATGCATCGTGATGGCTGAGGACAAAGAGACAGGGGAATGAAGTGCCTAAGTCCACACTGGAAACTAGTAGTTATGAAGGCCCTATTGTATGCCAGGTGCTTATGGAGACTATAAAAATTAATCTTCATGACAAACACAATAGGCAAGCATTCTCATCTGAAATTTTACAGATAGGATCAAGAGAGGTGATGTAAATTGCACAAGGTCTACTGGTAAAAAGAAGCTGAGGTCCAAGGTCAAATATTTTTGACTCTTTTCAATATATAGCACCTTATCTTCATCCCTAAAAGGCTAGAGTTGCATTCTGTTATCCACATGGACTCATCCAGTGCTAAGATTTTATCTTATTAGGCATGCCCATTACAGGGTTTCCCATGGTTGTGCCCATATAGACCTTTCTAAGAGGACAGCCTTAGGTACTCATGTCATGACCCCCACTCCCAGTTCATAGCTGATGGACTAGAGTCTGGTGATGGGCTGAAGGTAACCACACTAACAGGGGTCTAAGGTG